>NC_000005.10:119200716-119503746 GCF_000001405.40 Homo sapiens
TCCATTTGTTTGTGTCTTATCTGATTTCTTTGCACAGTGTTTTGTAATTATTGTAGAGATCTTTCACCTCCTGGTTAGCTGTATTCCTAGGTATTTTATTCTTTTTGTGGCAGTTGTGAATGGGGCTGCCTTCCTGATTTGGCTCTCAGCTTAGCTGTTGTTGGTGTATAGGAATGCTAGTGATTTCTTGTACACTGATTTTTGTATCCTGAAACTTTGCTAAGTTGTTTATCAGATCTAGGAGCTTTTGGGCTGAGACATGGGGTTTTCTAGATATAGAATCATGTTATCTACAAACAGGCATAGTTTTACTTCCTCTCTTCCTATGTGGATGCCTTTTATTTCTTCCTCTTTCCTGCTTGCTCTGGCCAGGACTTTCAATACTAGGTTGAATAGGAGTGGTGAGACAAAGCATCCTTGTCTTGTGTTGGTTTTCAAGGAGAAAGCTTCCTGCTTTTGCCCATTCAGTATGATGTTGGCTGTGGGTTTGTCATAGATGGCTCTTACTATTTTGAAGTATGTTCTTTCAATACCTAGCTTATTGAGAGTTTTTACATGGATTGATGTTGAATTTTATCAAAAGCCTTTTCTTCATCTATTGATATAATTATGTGGTTTTTGTCTTTAGTTCTGTTTATGTGATTCATCACATTTGTTGATTTGCATATGTTGAACCAAACTTGCATCCTGGGAATGAAGCCTACTTGATCATGGTGAATTAGCTTTTTGATGTGCTGCTGGGTTTGGTTTGCAAGTATTTTGTTGAGGATTTTTGTGTTGACATTCATCAAGGATATTGGCTTGAAGTTTTGTTTTTTTTGTTGTTACTTCTGCCAGGTTTTGGTATCAGGATAATGTTGACTTCATAGAATTAGGTGTGAAGGAGTTCCACCTCCTCAGTTTTTTGGTATAGTTTTAGTATGAATGGTACCAGCTTTTCTTTGTACATTTCGTAGAATTTGGCTGCGAATCCATCTGGTTCTATGCCTTTTTTGGTTGGTATGCTATTCATTACTGATTGAATTTCAGAGCTCATTATTAGTTTGGTCAGGGAATCATTTCTTCCAGGTTCAGTCTTGGGAGGGTGTATGTGTCCAGGAATTTATCCATCTCTTGTAGGTTTTGTAGTCTGTGTGCATAGAGGTGTCCATAGTAGTTTCTGATGGTTATTTTTATTTCTGTGGGGTCAGTGGTAACATCTCCTTGGTCATTTCTAATTGTGTTTATTTGTATCTTCTCTCTTTTCTTTTTTATTAGTCTAGCTGGCAGTCTGTCTGTCTTACTAATTTTTTCAAAAGACCAACTCCTGGATTCGTTGATCTTTTGAATGGTTTTGTGTGTCTCAATTTCTTTCATTTCAGCTTTGATATTTGTTATTTTTTATCTTCTGCTAGCTTTGGGGTTTATTTGTTCTTGCTTCTCTGATATTTTCCATTATGATGTTAGGTTGTTAATTTGAGATCTTTCTAACTTTTGATGTGGACATTTAGTGCTGTGAATTTCCCTCTTAATGCTGCCTTAGCTATGTCCCAGAGATTTTGCTAAAGCATACCTACTTTTGTTAGATCCTATGGCCCTAGGTTAGGGATCAACAAACTATGGCCATCCCCACAGGTGAAATCCAGACCTCTCCATGCTTCTTTAAATAAAGTTTTATTGGATTATAGCCATAAATCCTCTCAATTGCATATTGCCAGTAGTTGCTTTCCCACTGCAAGTTGACAGTCCCTAATTCAAATCTGAAATGCTCCAAAATTCAAAATTTTTTGAGTACCAACATGATGCTATAAGTAGAAAATGCCACATATAACTATTTAACACAAACTTTGTTTCATGCACACAATTATTAAAAATATAATTTCTCACCTTCACTGCCTGTAATGCCAGCACTTTGGAAGGCCGAAGTGGGTGGATCACCTGAGGTCAGGAGTTCAAGACCAGCCTGCCAACATGGTGAAACCCTGTCTCTACTAAAAATACAAAAATTAGCTGGGCATGGTGGCAGGTGCCTGTAATCCCAGCTACTCGGGAGGCTGAGGCAGGAGAATCGCTTGAACCCAGGAGGTGGAGGTTGCAGTGAGCCAAGATCGCCCTGTTGCACTCCAGTCTGGGCCAAAGATTGAGATTCCATCTCAAAAATATACATACATATATATATATATATATTTTTATATATATATATATATATATTTATATATTTTTATATATATATAATTTCTTACCTTCAGGTTATGCATATAAGATGTATATGAAACATAAATGAATTTTTAATTTAGACATATATATTCAAATATTTCAAAATCTGAAAACATATGAAATTCAAAATACTTCTGGTCCCAAGTACTTTAGTTAAGGGATACTTTACCTGTACATTATCAGACTTGAGTAGTTGTGACAGAGACCATATGGTCCACAAAGCCTGAATTATGTACTAATCCTTTAAGGAAATCCTTTAAGGAAAAGGTTGGCCATATGATCTGCCTCCAGTCATACAGTCTGATTGCAGTTAATTTATTATAATTTATATGGCACCAAGGAATTGTTATCAAGTTAGTCAGAAATTTCTGAAGTTTATCATTAAATTTGCTGTCTCTCTCTGTAGATCCAAACACCATCTGGCACTGTCTGTGAAGAGGCTTTGGCAGTATTTGGTGAAGCAGGAAGAAATTCAGGAAACCTTTATCAAAAATATATTCACAAAGAAACGGTGTCTAAATGAGGTCTGTATAAGTTAAAACCTGTTTACTATTTTATTATTGAAGTCTTTTATATTATCATGTAACCATTAAAATGAGTTGTATTTTACAGATTTTTTGAAAACACGTATCATAAACATAGGCAATTAATGCTTAGAACAGTGTAATTTATAAAAGGGGCAGTATTTTCATAAATCAATTTAATTAATTCAAATGTATTTGGGACTTTTTTCTCGATAAAAATGTTTAATATTCCGCATCTTGTTTTGAATTGTCATGATCATCAATTTAAGAGACAAGATAGAAATTTTCTATGATTTTCATGTGACAGTTAAAAGAAGTCTATCTTAGAAGTTTAATTGTAACTTAGAAGTTTAATTGTATACTGAAAATTTTTTATTTATTTATTTATTTATTTTTTCTTTGGAGATGGAGTCTTGTTCTGTCACCCAGGCTGGAGTGCAGTGGTGCGATCTCAGCTTACTGCAAGCTCCGCACCTCCCAGGTTCACACCATTCTCCTGCCTCAGCCTCCCGAGTAGCTGGGACTACAGGTGCCCGCCACCACGCCCAACTAATTTTTTGTATTTTTAGTAGAGACGGGGTTTCACTGTGTTAGCCAGGATGGTCTCGATCTCCTGACCTGGTGATCCACCCGCCTCAGCCTCCCAAAGTGCTAGGATTACAGGTGTGAACCACCACGCCCGGCCTGAAAAATTTTTATTGTATTTATTTATCTTTTTTGAGATGGAGTCTCACTCTGTCACACAGGTTGGAGTACAGTGGCACCATTTCAGCTCACTGCAACCTCTGCCTCCCAGGCTCAAGCGATCCTCCCACCTCAGCCTCCCTAGCAGCTGGGACTGCAGATGAACGCCACCATGCCTGGCTAATTTTTTGTATTTTTGGTAGAGACTGGGTTTCACCATATTGCCCAGGGTGGTCTTGAATTCCTGAGCCCAGGCGATCTACCTGCCTTGGCCTCCCAAAGTGCTGAGATTACAGGCTTGAGCCACTGCACCCAGCCAACTTTTTAAATATGTACATTTTCTTTTCTGTGGATTATGCTTAAATTAATGAAATTTTACAAACCCAAATTAACCTGTAGTGTAACTGGTTGCTTATACCTTGATATTATCATAATGGGTTTTTTTTTTTTTTTGTCATTTAGTTTAGTGCTAGTAATAAATATCAGTCTGATGATATGGGGAACTTGTTTCTTTCATTGGGTAAGTTTTGTTACTAAAAAGTTCAGGTGAACTGAACAGTAGATGCAGTGATGTAGTCAATTCTTTTTGTCTCCTGGACTGGTAACGAAGAGTTCAGAACTGACATTTGGTATGTGAACCACATTTTGAGTAGCATTGAACTAGTCTGAAAGCAAGCTTTGTACAGTTTTTGAAGTTGGAGGAAACACTGAAGATATTTCAGTTGAAGAAATAAATTGAATGGCTTCACAATAGACAAGTAAGCAAAAAGCAAGATTGACATCTAACCTTTCTACCTTAAAGGAAAATTACATATATATCTCATTGTCTCTCAATTTAAGCACCAATTTTAAGTGGAAACTGTATATGCTGTTATTTACTATTTGCCTCATTTTGTAAATATATTCAAATCGACCAAGTCAGGAAATAGTATGTAGTGTTCTTGCTGACTTAGAAGACTTTTGACCTGAGTACCTTGGTGTAATATTGAAATTTAGACAAACATGAATGTATTTCATTTGTTTATTTGATCTTTTTTTAAAAAAATTGACATATTTGATTAATCTTAGAAAAATCTTATTTTTCTACTGCCGATATATTTGGGTATTTGGGAAATGAAGTAGTTCTGAAAACAATACAAAAAAACTATTGAGCCATTAGATTGTCTAGTTGATTCAGGAATAGACTCATTAAAGAAATAGAGTAGTATAGTCAAGCCAGAGTACGTAAACATAGCAAATAATAAGTATAACTACACATTTTAAAATTTCTGTTATTCTTTGGAGTTTCATGATATCTCAAGAAAATTTTAAAATTATTTTTATTGTAATTATTTTAATCAGGAGCATGAATATGAATGTTGGACTAACAGTTTTGTGACTATCAGTAAGCTGAATATTTTCTCTGAATTTTGTTTTTTTAATGCACAATGACTATAATAGCCCTTACTTTGCAATGTTTTGATAAATAGATTTAACTTATTTAAACCTTGACACAATTAATGGTAGTTATTAAAAGTTTGTTGTTATTGCTTTGTTGTTTTATTCTTGATAGTGATACTCTTAAAATAGTGTCTTTTTGATAGAGAATATGAAAAGAAAAATGTTACATAGTAAAGCATAGATTTGAATGGAATTAAATAGAATATAGAGTTTGTGTGAAATTAATCTTTACCGGAAAGGTTACTAGCCTATTTTTAGTATTAACAAAATCACCTTCCATCTCTTATTTTTCTAAAATGATGATTATGCTTAAATATTTTAGTCAAAGTCACTGTGATTTTCCAGATGGTTAGGAGATACATATATGACAGGCCCTGTATTTTGGATGGCAGGTGATGGGAGAGTATTCTGAGAACTGCTCTTTCTTTATTTCTTTATGTGTTTGAAAATGAAATTTTACAGTTTCTTCATCTGACCCTAAAATCCTGGTTTTCTCAGATCTTTTCTTTTCCTGTTTGGTAAAGTTTACTGGTACCTGTGTTTTAAAATAGAATGTCCTCCCTTTGTATTTAAATAGAAAGTACAGACAACTGCAATTAGATTAAGTCATTCTTAATAAAAAATTGGGACTTGACAACTCCCATCATTGTTCCCAATTCCTTTTTCTGTTTTTTTTTGTTTTGTTTTGTTTGAGTTTCTGAGAAGAACTAAAAGTCTTGGAACAACTCTTTCTTTAACAAGTACTACTATTCCCTTTTAAGAAGTGTATGTGCTTCCCAGCAATTTATTGACTATTTCTGGCTTCATCAGTGGAAGAGAATTAGATACATGTAGAAATTGAAATTTTCTAATCAAGAGATTTTCCTGAAGGTTCAGATGTGGAGATAAGACAAAGCAGCGAGTAAGAGAATAATTCGACTTTGTTCATAGTACTCTGACACCAGTAGCTCTGATTATTTTAATATAAAGTATTTTGGTTTCAATCGTGCTTTAATGTCAACATTTCGAAATTGAGTAAAAACTTCTTAGGGTTAGAATAAAATTTATAGTGGTAGTTAATGAGTTCTGAGGGATTAAGTTTTGCTCATTTCCTAACCATGCACCCTCACACATGCTTCTTATAAGGTGTATGAAATTTTGAGAATAGTAACTCCATATAATGTTCTTTTCTAGTAAATTTGGTTTAAAATATAGCATTGAAACAATCCCCAGTATTTTGCATGTTACATCTCATCTTTACTCTTTGTCATGTGGTTATTCTTTCTTGATGAAGTCATTAGAGGACAACAGTGAAACCATCAAAAATTCTATGATGGAGGAGCCAAACATCAATAAGGTACAAAATATCATTCAACTGAAATTAAAAATTGCATTCTTTCACAAAAGAACAAAGCATTTGCATTTTACTTTTAAACTGGTCTTTGTTTCCAATGGATTTAAAGTATTGTTCCCTCAAATTATTCTCCTTTTATTTTAACAACTTAAATACTGCAGTTGTAAAAGTGGTTTCTGTTTTGTTAGATAAGAGAATGCAATTTTAAAGGGAGTTGAATGTATCTTGTTTTGGCTACAAATTTTTCTGAGTAAATACAACTAAAGTTCTTAATACATGTGATTACAATAGCAATTGTCTAGTAGTATTGTTTTAATTCTGCAAATATCACTTCTGAAGTTAAAATTCAAATTAGGAATTAATGATACTAAAATTAGGAATTAATGATATTAAAATTAATGATATTAAAAAATTCAAATTAGGAATTAATATTAATTCCTAAAAATATAGTAAATACTGTTACATAGCATTTATTTTACTGGTAGCAATAGCATGTAGCAAAGTGCCTTAAGAGGATACATAGTAAGTACTCATGGTACTTGAGAACCAAAGCACAAAAGATGAGAATCTGTATAATTATGAAAAAACTCCTAGGCGTCCTGTGATTGCATATTCAACTATGACTATATTTTATTTTATTTTTGAGACGGAGTTTCGCTCTTTTGCCCAGGCTGGAGTGAAGTGTCACAGTCTTGGTTCAGTGCAACCTCTGCCCCCCAGGTTCAAGCGATTCTCCTGCCTCAACCTCCCTAGTAGCTGGGATTATAGGCGCCCACCACCACACCTGGCTAATTCTTTTTGTATTTTTAGTAGAGATGAGGTTTTGCCATGTTGGCCAGGCTGATGTCAAACTCCTGACCTCAGGTGATCCACCTGCCTTGGCCTCCCAAAGTGCTAGGATTACAGGCGTGAGCCACCGCGCCTGGCCAATTCAACTACGACTTTATGAGGTTAATATTTAACTCATGTTTTTCATATTCTATATTTAAAACAATCTCAGCAGTGATTTTTAAGTGAAAAATTGCTCAAAAAAATTTTTAAGGTTACTAATTTCTACCCCTTATTCTTTCCAATGGGAATCCTTTGGTAAAATAGGAGAAATAATTCTGTGCAATTAATTAAAAAGCCTGATTTGATATCAGGTGTATATTATAACTAAAACTTTTGCAAAATAAGTCTGTATGTCATTCATACTTTCAAACTATCTAGTGGCCTTTGGGGGTTTTGAGGGAATATAATTCAAACTTTTAATCAGTTAACAATTTTCCTTGCCTGGGTTTTGATGATTACTTATTACTGTCTACACATTATCAGGAATTTTTTTTTTTTTTTTTTTGGAAACAGAGTTTCACTCAGGTTTCCCAGACTGGAGTGCAGTGGCGCGATCTCAGCTTACTGCAAGCTCCGCCTCCCGGGTTCAAGCGATTCTCCTGCCTCAGCCTCCCGAGTAGCTGGGATTACACGCATGGGCCACCACATCCAGCCAATTTTTGTATTTTTAATAGAGACAGGGTTTCTCCATGTTGGTCCGGCTGGTCTTGAACTCCCAACGTCAGGTGATCTGCCTGCCTTGGCCTCCCAAAGTGCTGGGATTACAGGTGTGAGACACCGTGCCCAGCCACATATCAGGAATTCTTATACAAACATTTTTGTTTTGATGCTGTTTATAAAATGCTAATAATCATAATGTTGTATTTCTATAGTCAGCTTCATGCTACGTCAAAATACAGTCTTTTTGAGGGGAGGGTTAACATCATTTTGGCCAGCATTTTTCCAAGCCCACTGCTATATAGTTTAAAAAAAAAATCTTTGTAAGGTATGCCTGACCTAAAATAACTACATATATTTAAAGTGTACAACTTGTTCAATTTTGGCATGTATATACACTAGCGAAGCCATCACCACAACCAGGATAATGATTATATCCATCAGTCCCCAGAATTTAATCCCTCCATTTTTTTTTCTCTCCCACCTGTGCCCTCTTCCCCAGGCAGCTACCAAACTTTTTCCTGGTGTTAAAGATTCATTTGTTGTTTTCTGGAATTTTATGTAAATAGAATCATATAATACATCATTTTTGGTTTATAGTCTGTGTCCATTGACTTAGCATAATTATTTCAAGATTCATCTATGTTGTGTGTTTTAGTAGTTCATTCTTGTTATTTTGATGCTTATTACATTATATGGATATACCATAGTTTATTTACCTGTTAATGAACACTTGAGCTGATTTTATTTTGGACCTATTCCAAATAAGACTGCTTTGAATATTCATGCAAAAGTCACATTTTATGGAAAAATGCTTTCATTTCTCTTGTGTAAATGCCTAGGAGTAGAAAGACTGGATCATGTGTAGGTATATGTTAAACGTTTTGTGAAACTATTCAAATATTTTCCAAGGTGGTTGTACCATTTATGTATATTCTCAATGGATTGTGTACGAAATCCCATTCTATTTTTTTTTTTTTTTTTTAAAAGGCAGGGTCTCACTGTGTCTCCCAGGCTGGGTGTAGTGGTGTGATTGCGGCTCACTGCAGCCTTGACCTCCTGGGCTCAAGCAGTTCTCTTGCCTCAGCCTTCTGAGCAGCTGGGACTACAGGCATGCATCACCATGCCCAGCTCAATTTTATTTTTTGTAGAGATGGGGTTTCTCCATGTTGCTCAGGCTGGTCTCAAACTTCTGGGCTCAAGCAGTCTTCCCACCTCAGCCTCCTGAAGTGTTCGGATTACAGGTGTGACCCACCATGCCCAGCCTTGCATCACATTCTTACCAACAGTTGGTGTGTAGTCTATATTTTCATTTTAACCATTCTAGTAGGTATGTAGTAGTAGTTCATTGTGGTTTTAATTTGCATCAAGCATCTTATCACATGCTTATTTGCCATTTGTCTATCTTTCTGCATGAATTGCCTTCAAATCTTATGTTTATTTTGTATTAGGTTGCTTGTTTTCTTGATTCAATTTTAACAGTTATTTGTATGTTCTGGATAAAAGTAATTTATCAGAAATGTGATTTGCAAATATTTTCTCTTACTCTATGGCTTGTCTTTTCATTCTGTTTACAAGGTGTTTTCATTTTATTTATTTATTTTTTAAGCAAAGTCTTGCTCTGTTGCCTATGCTGGAGTGCAGTGGTATGATCTTGGCTCACTGCAATCTCCACCTCCTGGGTACAAGCGATTCTCATACCTCAGGTGTGCACTAACACACCCGGCTAATTTTTATATTTTTAGTAGATGAGTAGACTGGGTTTCACCATGTTACCCAGGCTGGTCTCAAACTCCTGGGCTCAAGTGATCTGCCCACCTCGGCCTCCTAAAGTGCTGGGATTAGGAGCGTGAACCACCGCAGCCGGCCACAAGTTCTTTTGAAGTGCAGAAGTTCTTAATTTTGATGATGTCTAATGTATTAGTTCTGGTTATTCATTTTCTTTTGGGTGTTGTATTTAAGAAATCTTTGCCTAACCTAAGATCACAAAAACTTTCTCCTGTTCTAAGTGTTTTTGAGTTTCAGTATTACATTTAGGTCTAATCCATTTCAAGTTAATTTGTTTACATGGTGTGAAGTATAGACCTCAGTTCTTTGTTACTGTTGTTGTTTTTGCATCTGTATGTCAATTGTTACAGCATTATTTCTTGAAAAGATTATCTTTTCTTTCACTAAACTACCTCTTTCACCTTTTCAAAAATCAGTTGACACAGATGAGTAGGTCTAATTCTGGAGTCTGTTTTGGGCCATTGATCCATCTTTATGGTAATAGCTCACTGTCTTTATCACTATAACCTTATAATAAATCATGAAGTCATGTATTGTAAGTCATTCAAATATATTATTCTTCTAAGTTCTTTTTTCTTTTTTCTTTCGTTTTTTTTTTTTTTTTTTTGCCTTATCACTCTGACTTAGAACTTCCAGTCCAATGTTGAATAGAAGTGATCACCAGCAGACATTATTATCTTGTTTCTGATCTTGGGGAAAGCAGTCTTTTATTATTAAGTATAATGTTTTCTTTAAGTTTGTTGTAGATGCCCTTTATAAGTTTGAGGACGTTTCTTTGCATTCCTACTTTGTTAAGAGTTTTCATAAGGAAAGGATGTTGGATTTTATCAAATGATTTTTTTTTTTTTTTTGCCTACTATTGAAATGATCATCCTTTTTTCTTTTTTAGTATGATAGGTTAAGGATTTTTTTAAAAAATGTTAAACCAATCTAGCATTCCCAGCATAAGCTATACTTGGTCGTGATGTGTTATCCTTTTTATATATAGTTACATTTGATAAAATTTTAAGAATTTTTACATCTATGTTCATGAGGGATATTGGTTTGTAGTTTTCTTACAATGTTGTTTGTGTTGGTCTCAGATTAGTGCTAGACTCTTAGAATGAATTGACGAAGGTTCTGTCCTCTTTAATTTTGGGGAATAATTTTTATAGAATTAGTGTTATTTCTGAAGTGTTTGGTAGAATCCTGAAGTTTTTTAAATGACAAATTTAATTTCTTTAACAGATGTAGGGCAATTCAGGTTTATCTATTTCTTAAGTCAGTTTTGGTAGTACATGTCTTTCAAGAAGTGTACATTTCATTTATGTTGTCAAACTTACTGGCATAAAGTTATCATGTTGCCCTATTAAAATATGTGTAGAATCCATGGTGATGCTGCCTCTCCTTCTTCTGCTATGACTTTGAAAACCAAATTATGTCTTCTTTAGTATTTATATTCCCTAATATTTGGGGTATTGACACCATTTTATGTTCACCTGATTGCTTCCTATTTTCTTTCAGTTATGCCTTCGGCATTCTTTAGATATCATTTTACTTCATATTTGTGTCATTAGAGTGGCAATGAAGTGTTCCAAGTACACAACCTTATATTGTAGGTTTTAGTAAATGAAAATCACTACTGACTACCCAGGGTCTCAGTCACTTTTTCCATGGATCTGCTGTATGACCTTTCACTTCTTCCACTCTTGGAGCCTCATTTACTGACATGTAAAATTAGGGCTGATAATTTTAAACCTGTTGCTTCTCTAATTGAAATATTCCGTAGGATCCTGGTGTTAATCTATTGTAACTATCTCTTTCTCCTCCAGCTTCTAAGGGCAGCTCTGTGGAACCCAAGCAATGTTCAGATCAGTTTCTGCATAATTCCTTTTTGTGGTAAAATATAAATAACATAAAAGTTACCATTTTAACCATTTGTAAAGCAGCCCAGTGGCCATAAGTACATTTACACTGCTCTGCAACCAACACACCATCCATCTCCAGAACTTTTTCATCCTCTCCAAACTGAAACTTTGTGCCCGCTAAACAACAGCTCCCCATTCCTCTGGCGCCCACTCCAGGCAACCACCATTCTGCTTTTTGTATCTATGAATTTTACTATCCCTAGGTACCTCATGTAAATGGAATTGTATAATAGTTATCCTTTTGTGACTAGTTTATTTCACCAAGCATAATGTCTTTGAGGTTCATCCATATTTTAGCATGTGTCAGAATTTCCTTTCTTTTTAAGGCTGAATAGTATTCTAATGTATGTTCATACATTTTGTTTATCCATTCGTCAGTTAGTGGACATTTGAGTTGTGTCTGTCTTGGTTATTGTGAATAATGGTGCTATGAACATTGATATACAAATATCTGAATCTCTGCTTTCAGTTTTTTGGGGTATATACAGAAGTGGAATTGCTAGATCATATAGCAATTCTGTGTTTAGTTTTTGATCTGCATAATCTCTTTAAATCTCTTTTAGCGTTAATATTTGGATTCTTTTTTCTTCACATGTCCAGCCCAATCAAAGCATGAAATCTTTACAGAGTGTGACTTGAAACTTTAGGAGATCTTTTAAGACCATATTCATTGTGATTTTTTTTTTAACTATAATGTTATGTTGTGAGGCCTTTAACAAATAAAATTACATTCATAGCACATGCAAGTTCTGTCTCTATTTTTAGCTGACTGTATCATGTTCCTAGTTCCTTCCCTTCCCAGCTTAGATTTCATGATCCATCATGGAATCAATCAGTCACTTGCAAACATCCTTATCCCTGTTCTTCCTACTTGCCTTGAAAATTCCCAAACCTTCTTAAACCCAACTTTTTGTCCTATTCTGTGCCTGCACTCAAGCAGCTGAACATGTTTGGAGGAAAAGCACAAACCCTGGAGCTTGCCTCACTTTACATTTATTAGCACAAATCCAAAATTAATATAAAACTACCCTGCAGTCATAATAAATTGCTCTGTAGCAAATTTGTTTTTTCATTTTCATTTTCATACTTTTTCCTTGTTTCCTGAAACTTCCAGTATTTGTTTCCTACTCCCCACAGATCAATATATTTTGCTGTCAAAATAAGTGTAGTCAGCAGTGATTTAGCCTAACCTGCCCATCATCATCTAATTTCTGCTCTGTATGCAGATATTTTCTTCTGCCTCCTCTAACAGAGTGAACTGTTACCCTTTTTGTTCAAGGCCAGAACTTTCACTTGTGCACAGTTCTTATCTGCTTTCACCTACCCAAGAACTTGTCTTCAGTTCTTAATAACTGAAGCCCATCTCCCTCTCTCCTTGTCAATAAATGTTTACCTCTCTCAAATTATTCTCATTAGCATGAGCAAATATATTTTAATGTTTTGCCTTTAAAAAATACTCCATTTCTCTAGTCTCCTATGTAGCAAAATTCACTTAGAGTTGCCTATAAAGTCCTTCAAGATTTAAACAATAATGTTGAAACACCATAAACAAACCACCCAGCTTAAGAAATAAAACATTATCAATTCAGTTGAATGTCTCTGTGATCCTTTCCCCGTGGACTCCCCTTCTTATTCACCAGATATCACATTCTCTCTAATTTGGTTATTATCTCCAGCCCACTCCACTGAGATTGTCCTAGACACAGTCACCACTGACTTCCAGTATACTAAATTTAGTAGTCAATTATCTATCTTCATATGATTCAACTTCTTAATAATCATTTGGTAGTGTTGACGCATAACATTTTTCTAAAATTGTTTCCTCACTTAGTTTCCATAATATCAAACTAATCTATTTCTTATATTAGCTAATTGATAACTACTGAATTGTCCTTTTTCCCATCCTTGAAATATTGGTTGCCCCAGAATTCAGTTCTCTAACTTTTTATCTTTCCTGTCTTTACTCTCTCCTTGGGTTATCTTACGGTTTAAATATTAATATAATTTGTATGCTGACAACTCTCAAATCTCTCTCAACTAATTTCCCGAACTCCAGACATTGCCTGCTCCGAACCTACTCCCTACTGTTTCCTTCACTTCTGTCCATCTCAGTAAATGGTACCTTTACTCACCCACCTATCAGGCCTGACACTAGGATTCATCCTTTTTCTTTCCTTCTTTTATTCACACTATGATTACAGTCCATTAACAAAATGTATCCCAATTCCAGCCACTTATCACTATCACCATTCCTACTGCCCTAATCCAACCCACTATGATCTCTCACTTCAGCTACTGTAGTCGCCTTTTAACTGGTTTTCTGATAGTCATTCTCAAACCCTTTATGTTTTATCTCACAGTAGCCTGGCTTTTCAAAATCCACCAATGGTTTCGCTGCCTTAGAACAGGATTTGAACTCTTTATTATGTCTTTTAAGGCCCTGCAAGAACTGAACCTCTACCTTTATCTCCAATCTTATCTTCTGCCACTTATGGTCATTCACAAATTTAATTTAAGACTTCTGAGATACCACTATTTCTTTGACCCACCCCCATGACATTCTGATTATGTATCTGACATGGGGTTCAGAGTATTTGTATTTAAAAAAAAATCACCTCAGTTGATTCTTATTCAGGTTATCTTGACACCACCTTACTGAGAAACAATGTTTTTAGTAAATAATGAGGACAGGAATGTATTCCTACATAGAGAAAGGTTTTTTGAAGTTCATACCTGCAGGAGCTTTCTTCCCAAACTTTACATGTAAAGTTCGAAAAAGCTCCCCAGGTGAAACTGGTATGATGCCCTATCCAACCATTACCAGCAAGTGGCACATCCCTCTATTCCATGGAGCCATCATCTTTCTCTGTCGCCAATTTCTTCAAAACCTAAGAATGAACATTTAGTATACTTTAGATGCCAGGCAGATTGGTGGGTAAGTTGGAATTTTGTCATAAAATTATGGAATTTGACTTGTACATCATTAACGGATGATCGGCGTTTTGTAGTCAGAGCTGAGACTTTCCTTAGAAGACAAGTTGATCCTCAAGTCAGCCAGAATGTTCAGCGAATACTGAAATTCTTCCTAAGCAAGTTATACTTTAGATTAGAATATATTTGACTCTTTATATCTGGCAACTGATTTTTGTTTGTGTAGGGATATTTTGGTTTGGTTATCTTGTAGGTCTCTTTGAACTTTCCAATTGAACAGTGATCTTAATTGCCTTTCTTTTATTTATTTATTTTTTTGAGACAGGGTCTTGCTCTGTTGCCTGGGCTGGAGTACAATGGCTCGATCTTGGCTTACTGCAGTCTCTGCCTCCTGGGTTCAAGTGATTCTCGTGCCTCAGCCACTCAAGTAGCTGGGATTACCGATGCGCACCATCACGCCTGGCTAATTTTTGTATTTTTAGTAAAGTAATTTCTAGTTAATTTTTGTAATTTTAGTAAAATTTTGTACTTTTCTCCATGTTGGCCACTCCTGACCTCAAGTGATCCACTCACCTCAGCCTCTCAAAGTGCTGGGATTATAGGCGTGAGCCACCACACCTGACCTTAGTTGCTATTTTTAAAACACTGCATATTCTGATCCATTCTGTGGTCAATGGCCGGGCATTGGTGATATTTCTATCAAAATTTTGCAGTAAGTAAATTTATTGTATGCTGATTTCAGATAATTTATGCATTTCACAATAAGTCTGAAAACCTAATTCATTTTAAAAGATTGAAAGTTAGAATGGCTGGGTGTGGTGGCTCACGCCCATAATCCCAGCATTTGGGAGGCCAAGGTGGCCAAATCACCTGAAGTCTGGAGTTCCAGACCAGCCTGGCCAAAATGGTGAAACCCTGTCTCTACTAAAAATACAAAACTTAGCCCGGTGTGGTGGCAGGTGCCTGTAATCCCAGCTACTTGGGAGTCTGGAGCAGGAGAATTGCTTAAACCTGGGAGGCAGAGGTTGCAGTGAGCTGAGACTGTGGGCCACTGCCCTCCAGCCTGGGCGACAAGAGCATCCATCTCAAAAAAAAAAAAAAAAAAAAAAAAAAAAGCAGGATAATATGAAATAATGTCCTATATTAGGCAACATTTCAACTCTTTAATTGCCTCCTCTTTTCTGCTTATTTTAGTAAGTGTCGATTTTATATAGTATTCTTTTCTAAGTCCAAAGATGTATACACTTTGTCTGGAGTAAGCAGAAGGTCAAATATATGTCCCTCATCTAAAGTACTTAGAATGGTGGTTTATTTAGCTACTAAAATGATTACTCACTTGGGCAAGTTACATTGCCTTTCAGAATTTCAGGTTTCTCTATAAATCAAAGGTTAACTACAGCCATCTGGCCAAATCTCACCTGCTTCTATATAGTCCATGAGCTGAGAATTTTTAAAGGGTTTGGAAAAAATGCAACAGTGACCCTTTGTGGTCTGCAAAACCTAAAATATTGACTATCTGACCTTTTAAATTTTAAAAAATAATATGAAAGAATTATAATGCTAGGAAACTTGGTAAATACATTTTGCTTTAATAATTAGAATGTGTTGATCCTTTAAAGTTAATTAACTGTATCTCGGGAGGATAGCCACTTAATGAAGTTGTATGTTGTATCAGCTGTTTTTTTATGTGTAAAAAAGCAAGTTTGAAGAAATTTAAATTTCCCATGTCAAATTTTGTTTTAGGGATAATTAGCATATACAATAATACCTTTAGAATTGAAATATCTACTTTCTTAAAATAATTTATGCAAGTACTAATTGATAGATTGGCATATATTATTAGTTCTATTACTAAAATCAGTGCATTTTTGTGTTTTGTTTCCTTTTATTTAGATAGAAGCAGATTTGGGATATCCTGGAGGTAAAGCAAGAATTATTCATAAGGAATCTGATATCATTACTGCGTTTGCTGTTAATAAGGTAAGTACATAGACATTCTTCTTTTGTTTATTAAGTATTTATAGTTGGATAATATCTTCTGTTTTATCAGTTTATCCAGTATTTCTTTCCCAAAGCTGCTTCCAGTTCCTTAAATTGCAATCTGGATACTTTTTTAATTTTATAAAATGATATTATTTGATAATGTGATTTTGTTATTATATGATTTTGGAGATACAGCTGATACATAATGTTTTATTACTATGCAGAGAGAAGTACCAAATATATAGACAATCGCTTTAGAATTTATACAATGTACTATAGTAGTTAACCCACAGAAAAAGTTTTTTATGTTCCTTATGAATATGTCAAATGTGGTTCTGGGTATTTGGTAAGATTTAAGCTTATATGTGACTCAAATTCTCCCTCTTTGATTTATACCTCCGATAGCTGCCCAACGTGTGTATTTTCTTAGTATTTCTTAAATTTCTACTTAACATCCTCCTTAGATGTCTATACACTCCTCACAGAAGAGGTGGCCTTAGGTACTATAGTCCAAGATTGAAATCTGTCTTATTAATCATTTTCCCCTTCTGTCTCCCCTAATTGCCTTACTGTATGGTTCCTAATGACTTCTAGTTATTCTTTTGTTTTCCTTCCATTAACTTAAAGGATATGTGTATCTTCTTTTTATGTATTCATAGAAGATACCTAAAGGAGATATTGTATACATATATATAAGATGTTCATATGTTCCTAATTTTAAAATAATTGTTAAATGTTATGTAGATACATACCCTGTAATATGTATATGTAATATGTAATACAGGGAAGTGTGATATACGGGGAAATTACCCATTTAGTAATCCTTTCACCAGTTGGTTTTCTGTCTTTCTGTGCTATGTCTGTCTTCTCTGAATTCTTCTGGACAGTATCTTTGTTGTTCTGTGTGCTTCACTTAATTTCCTTCTTAGACACCGTTGAGCAATGACTGGCTAAAGGGCTGATTCCAGATTTGCCTGCTTCAGACAGTTCTGTTATCAAAGAAACAGTTCTGTTTGAAACAGGCAAATCTGGAGTCAGCCCCTTAGCCAGTTGTAATATCTGTATAACATGATATTATATATACATGTCAAATACAAAATTATTGGCCAGGTGTGGTTGCTCACACCTGTCATCCCAACACTTTGGGAGGCCAAGGCAGTAGGATCACTAGAGGCCAGGAGTTTGATACCAGCCTGGGCAACATTGTGAGACCCTGTCTCTACAAAAAAAAATTATCTATACCTGCATTACCTGCTCTTTCTTGAAGAAAATATGATTTAAAATAGTCTGTGCTATAAAAGAAACTAGTTGTTTTCTTCTTGAGGGTTTATATATAAGTACTGGTAATGAATAGCTATTCACATATATAAAGTCTACAAGTTACTGTCTATGAATATGCCTGTTTAATTTTTATTTCCCCAGATTTGCTATTTTTATTTATTTTATTTTATTTTATTTTACTTTATTTTATTTTATTTTATTTTGAGACGGAGTCTCGCTCTGTTGCCCAGGCTGGAGTGCAGTGGCGCGATCTTGGCTTACTGCAACCTCTGCCTCCCGGGTTCAAGCGATTCTCCTGCCTCAGCCTCCCAAGTAGCTGGGACTACAGGTGTGCACCACTACACCCAGCTAATTTTTGTATTTTTAGTAGAGACGGCGTTTCACCATGTTGGTTGGCCAGGATGGTCTCGATCTCTTTACCTCGTGATCCGCCTGCCTCGGCCTCCCAAAGTGCTGGGATTACAGGCGTGAGCCACTGCACCCAGCTGATATGCTATTTTTAATATCCTTACTAAATTTGCAGCTGAGAAATAATACCTCTTGCTTTAAGTTGCATTTTTTTAAATGCCATTGAGATTTTTTTTGCCATTTGTTTAGTTGGGAACTACCTGTGTCAAAAACTATGAAGGGTCTCAGATTTTACCTTAAATTAAAACTAACAGTTAGCTTTCTGTTTCTGTTGCCACAGAAACAGTTCTGTTTGAGGCAGGCAGTGGATTGTTTAAACAGTCCATTTAATTGATCCATTAAACATTTTAGTGGATGCTGTTAGAAGACATACGACTCTTGGATCAGAGACAAAGGACAGTTTATGTCTAACAGCAAAAGCAATAACCAGAAAATCAGCACTTTACACTGGTTGCCTGAGCCACAATTTCCAGAGAATGACGGGAAGAGGGCCAGATGATACCTACCTTACCTACACACATAGTAGGTTATATTACAGGAGAGGATCTCTGAGTTTAGGGGACCCAAATCTTTTATAATCGATAGTAAGCATACTTGCCCTTTGCTCTGGAGGGAGAGACGATAGTTATACAAACATCCTGGCAATTATACTGCAGAAAAAAGGGCAGACATGACTCACTTATAAAACATGCAGAATTTGGGATACCCATGGAGAATAACCACCCAATAATCTAGCTATATCATTTTTTCATTTATTTCTAAGGTCTCAGTTTTTTCTTAATAGTTTGTGTTAAAATCTAACATAACAGTAATGGTAATCCTATTTTCTCTTTGCTGTCAATATCTTCCTGTTTTCTGTTTCAAAGATACACATTTAATTAATTAATTAATTTATTTATTTATTTATTTATTGAGACAGGGTATCATGCCTGGTGCCCAGTGCTGTGGTGCAATGTCAGCTCACTGCAGCCTCGACCTCCTGGGCTCAAGCAATCGTTTCACCTCATTCTCCCAAGTAGCTGGGACTGCAGGTGCATGCCACCATGCCCAACTAATTTTTGTATTTTTTGTAGAGACAGTGTTTTGCCATGTTGCCCAGGCTACTATCGAACTCCTGAGCTCAAGCTGTCTGCCTGCTTCAGCCTCCTAAAGTGCTAGGATTATAGACGTGAGCCACTGCCCCCAGCCAAGATGTACATTTTTGATTCATAGGCATTTAAAATTTCATGTCATTTAACCTTAGCAACTTTTCATTTGTGATCTTTTTCTGGCATACTTCTCCCACTATATTTCTGCCCCTACACCTTTTTTCTGTGACCCTTTCCCACTTCTTTTTTTTTTTTTTGCCTAAGATTGAAAAGCTTTAGGAGAAAGTTTGTTTTATTTAAATAATTAATAATTATGTTTTTAGTTTGGAGTTCCTTATTGCCCTCACCTTTCTGTACCCTACAGGTTCCTATCTTTTTCAGCATCTTCCTCCACATTTCTGAATTGTGCATACCTTAGAGCGATCATAGCATTCTAGCAGTCTAGAAAAACAGTACTGGGAGAGGAAATAAAATGCTGCATGTATTGCCATTTATACTGGCTTTCTATTGGATGTACTTTTCATAGAACATAAACGTATCTCCAAACTGAAGCTTATTATTTCACTAAAAGTAAGAATGCTGTATATCCTGTACTTTAGTTATCACTGCTAGAGGTTATTTCAAAACTACCATTTTCAAAAGCAGCTCATATACTATCTCTTTTGCCTATTGCTTTTAAAATTACCATTTGACTTATTTTTCAGGCAAATAGAAACTGCATAGCAATCGCTTCCAGTCATGATGTTCAAGAACTGGATGTTTCTGGAATTCTGGCCACACAGGTCTACACTTGGGTAGATGATGATATAGAAGTGGAAACCAAAGGGTACCTTCATAGTTTGTTTCTATTTAGTAATGTTGCAATATGAGTGACTATATTTACTGAACTAAAACTTTCAAAAGATTCTTTAAAGCAATGTATAGATTGTAAGCAGAGTAGAAGCTGATGTGCTAAATGAGGGGTGGCAAGAGCTTTAAATAAGGGAACTGAGAGAAGAGTAAGTGAAGGGAACAGAAATTGTTGAGGTATGAGGTCATTGTGTGTGAGTTACAAATAAGAGCTGAAGAAAATTAATTTTAAAGGGAACTATAAATTCAAATTTTAGACCTTTCAAGTGTAAAAAAGAAAGAAATGATGAGTTGTTTTTATTCTGGTTGACATTCCTTTATAGATCAGAAGATTTCTTGGTTATACATGCTCGTGATGATTTAACAGCTGTTCAAGGTACAACTCCATATACACATAGCAATCCTGGCACTCCAATCAACATGCCATGGCTTGGTAGTACACAGACTGGCAGAGGAGCATCTGTGGTATGTAAAGTTAAAAATAAATTTAAGTTATATGTAACTTTTATTTTTCCCTCTAGGTTAATGGATAAAGGATGATTTAAAACATTTTTCTTAATTCCTAAAGTTTTAGTAAGTCTTACATGTTGGAAATTGTAAATTTTGATAATGAAGACTAGTATGTTTTCATTTGAAAGGGTAATAATAAATTGTTTTAAAAATATACTTTGCTTGAAAACCAAAGAGCTATATTTTAATTAAGAATTATTTGAAACATGGTTCAGATCAGGCTTCAGCAAGGTGTTCCCCATAGATCAAATATTACCCATGACCTGTTTTTATATAGCTAATATGCTAAGAATGGTGTATACATTTTAGTGAAATGGTTTATACATTGTTTTTTCAATAGTTGAAAAAACAAACATAGTATTTTTTGGCACATGAAAATTACATGAAACTGGATTTCAGTGTTTTTTTACAAATAAAGTTTTATAGGAACACAGCCAGTCATTTGTTTCCATTTTGTCTGTGGATGCCTTCACACTACAGTGGCAGAATTGAGTATCTGCAACAGAAAGTAAATGCCCATAAAGCCAAAACACTTGCTATCCAGTCCTTTATAAAAAAAGGTTTGCTAACCCCTTGTCTAGGTATCTTTTAATGGATATCAATTAATAACTATATCCATATTAAGTATCACTTTTTTAAATGCCAGGACAAATATTCTTTTTTTTTTTTTAACAAAAACAATATATAATTTCTTAAGTTAAGCAAAAAGCAATATAATAATGAACTGAAACATAATTTTTCTGTAGTGTTGGAGGATCTTTTTTAGCCCTGATTACCTAGAGATGTGATTCATATTTGTACTTCCAAGCCTTTATTATTACGTAGGTTATAGGAACTAATGAACGGATTTGAAGAAGCAAAGAAAGGTGGTAGGGTTTTTCAGAATTTCATAAGTACTGTAGAATGCTTTCCTTGGCCAAAAAAAAAATTATTTTTCATTAATTAGTATGAGCAATTGTTCAAGTAAAATCTGAGTTATCTTTAATAATACCTTGTAATATTTTGTACCTAATGGAGTTCCTTTATAGTTGCTATAACCTTATAATTTGCAGTATCTGTTGTAGTTGTTATTTACTCGTATTTAAACATTCTTCAGATGAAGCTTGAGATCCAAAAAGGTCAAGTGGATCAACTTATGTCACTTTGTTAAATGTATGGTAGAGCTTGTTTTAAAGCCCTCTGTTCTCCTTAGTTCAGTGATTTCAAGTAGCAGTGTTTTAAGGATTAAAATGAACTTGAAAAGCAATCTAGTAATTATTCAAATGAAATGACTTGCTCAGTGGTGGTTAAATAATTTTTCCAGCTGACAGATATGTTACAATTCATTGGTAAAACTTACTGATATTATATTCTTTTAAAGGAGAACTCAAAGGGAATATATGCCAAAGAAGTGCATAGGACTAATAGGCACTTTTTTGAATTCCAACCTCAGAGATTACAATATAGTTCTTCCTGTAACATCTTTCTTGTTGGTCTCTTCCTACTTCTATTCTTTACACAGCAGCAGCCAGTTACTCTTTTCTAAAACATCATTCAGGTTGTCACTCGCTTTCTAAAAAATTTCAGATTTCCCAATACGGCTTTTAAATAACAAGTCATTAATAGGGCCCTACAAAATTTAACCTTCTGCCATCTCATCTCCCTTTATTCTACATCTGATTCTCTTTGCTGTAATTACACTGGCTTCTTTCTGTCTCTTGAACTTATTAAGCTCATGGTTATGTCAGGAGCCCTTGACTTTCCTTCTGCTTAAAATGCTCTATCCCTCTGTTGTACCATTCACATCTCAACTCAAATCCCCCCACATTTCCCTGGCTTCCCTAATTAAGGCATTTGCCCCTACCCACTCTACCCCCAGTCACCTTATATTTTATCATCTTTATTATCCCTTGCGCTTACCAGTTATTGAAATTATTCATTACTTAGTTGTGTTTTTTTTTTTTTTTTTGAGATGGAGTCTCGCTCTATTGCCCAGTCTGCAGTGCAGTGGTGCAATATTGGCTCACTGCAACCTCCACCCCACAGGTTCAAGCAATTCTCCTGCCTCAGCCTCCCTAGTAGCTGGGATTACAGGCATGCACTACCATGCCCGGCTAATTTTTGTATTTTTAGTAGAGATGGGGTTTTGCCATGTTGGCCAGGCTGGTCTTGAACTCCTGGCCTCAAGTGATGCACCCAGCTTGGCCTCCCAAAATGCTGGGATGACAGGCATGAGCCACCGTGCCCTGCCTTAAGTTGTCTTTTTTATATGCCCTGGAATCTAAGCTCTTCGAGAGCTTGGATTCTGCCTGCCTTGCAGATTGATGATTTCTAACTAGAATGGTATTGGACGTATAGTAGGTGTTCAGAAAAATGTGTTTATACTCCAAAGCATTGTAATACAGAAATCTACCATAGGCATAACACTAAGGATTGAATTTTCTTCCTACCTAAATCTTAGGACATCTTTTTATTTCGGATAACTGTGATTTGTTAACATGAGGGTTCGGATTGCCTCACTCTACCCTCAACAAAAAGACACCAGTAGAATAAGGTTGTTCTTTTTTACATGGATCTTCTAAAATAATGATTTTACATATTTTACATATGCTTTCAGAAACTTTTTTAAACCTGTGTTTGTATATTTTTTTTACGTATGGTTCTCCTGTGAATATTAAAAAAAGAAGACAAAAGCAAGAATAGGAACCTTCAGGCATTTCTTTAATTAAGAAGAACATGGAATTTAAATATGAAGTTTACTAAACAGAAGTCATATGCAGCAGGTTTTTATTTTTTCTAGAGAACTGATAAAATATTTTCTTTATCCTTTCATTTTATCAAATGATAAAAACTAATAGCAAAAAAATATCATTATGACCAGCTTCTGCTATTTTGGAGTATAACTGCATCAATATATGTGTTTCAGTTTTATTTATCCCTCTTCTTTTCTCTGGCCTAGTCTCTGTTCTCCCTACCAACTCCCCACCTTCTCCACAACTTTAGGCTAATTGAACCATTTAAAATCCAAAAGAATAACAATAACAAAACCTACCTGAGACTGATGCTACAAATTTAAGATAACATATATTTGTAGTTATGATGCTATATAAATTGGAAATGTTCTATAAATTTTTCCTTTAATTTTATGTGTTTGTTTTACTCTTATTTGACAGGCTAGTTAAATTATTCAAAGCATAACTTTAAAATGAGTAAATACATAGTTCCAAACTGTTTTTAAATTTATTTAATTTTCTCTTCTTTTATTTTCACATGCTCCTGTCTTTTAAACTTACACTATTCAGGATTATTACTGAATAATAAATGTAATGGGATCAGAAAAGAATTGACAAGAAAGGAGGGAAGACTAAATTCTTGAAAGGAATTTATCTTTAGATCCTAGTCAGTAATGCCCAAAATATATGTGCAAATATAAGAGCTGCACTATTAAATTTCTGTTATCATGTTTAGTATTTTTAGCACCCATAATGATAGTTATGAACTCATGTAAAAATAAATAAATGAATGTTATTTGAATTTCCTGTCACAATTTAAATGTTTAATCCTTTTTATTATGCCTATAAAATAATTTTTCTATTTTACCAGATGATTAAGAAAGCCATTAATAATGTTAGAAGAATGACTTCTCATCCAACTCTTCCTTACTGTAAGTTGAATAATAATTAGCAATTGTCCTTTCTTATTCTTAAATCTATTTTTGGTAATTTTATTATAAGAAATGTGTGGGAACCTTTTTGTTTTAATTGAAAGCATTTATTTGACTTTTTTTCTAGCGAATATTTGCCAGTAAATAAAATCTTGATTTCAAAACTGGGTAAAAATAGAAAAAGATATTTCCCTAAAAGAGAAAGCTGATTTAATGAAGTAAATTTTTTGACATTTTGACTACCAATCAAAATTTGCGACTACCAATACACAAAATTTGTGTATTTCTAAGTTAACACATTTTATCTTTGAACATTTCTGGATTTCTTTGATCATGCTAAATTATAGTGAATAATTATTTTAATAATAGAACCACTGCCAACCTTTATTACATAAGCCACAACCGTACCTCAATTATTTATTACCTCATCGTACTCAGTTTGTATTTTATTACTTTTTTTCAGTTGGTCTTTTATGAGACACATTAATAGTAAACATAGGAAATTATTATTAGTTTTTATATTCTAAGGCAGAATATATGTGTTTTCAGTTAATCTTCCTAGGAATCTTAAAAGTTTCTCTTCCTTCAACCAAGAACTTAATTAATGGGGAATTTATTGGAGGTATTGATTCTGGTGGGTTGGAATCAATACTCATACTGGTGTGTGAGTATTCCAAGTTTTTTAATATTTTTTTTTAAGTTATGCCCTTCGTCAAATTGTCCTACTACATAGTAACAAGAATAATGCATGTTAATTAATGGGTATTCATGTCCCCCAGTTTAATAGCCTATTAAAAACTTTAGAAACTTTTCTCTTGGGAGATATTCTGATAAAATGCAGTTAACAAAATCAGTATTCTTTTCTGCTTCATTTATGATAAATGCTCAAATAATCTATTATCAAAGTTGTGTACGCTGTACGAAACAAGGCTCAAGAGAACCGTATATGTAAAATGAAGAGAATAACATCTGTTACTTATGCTAGAGGTATAACATAATATAAAAAATTTGTCTGTTTTCACTACATCAAATTTATTCATCGCTAGAAGTGTGTATTTTTTACCCACAAGTTTAATGTCAGGTGAGAACTAAAAAGCAGTCATGAAGCCTATAGTGTAAGGAGTCAAAATGTGTTTTATATATAAAATTTAAATAATATTATTCTACATCAGGAAATACTTGATATTGCTTAAAACTACCCTATTCTATGCAGTCTGGTTGGAAGTTTTCTGAGATACTGAAGGGACTTCATTTTTCTCTCAGTCCCATACCATGTGTCCTGGCAGGTGTAAATATCCTATACCTTAATCCCATAAACTTAAAGAGGCCACGCTCAAAGCTTCAAAGGTAATTGATGGACCTATTGTCAGAGGTGTTAGGTAGCATCAATTACTGCTGTCTTGAGAGATAAATCCTTTCTCTGTTTAGAGAACTGCCAAAACTAGCAGATAAGACACCTGAAAAATTAAAAGCTAATTACTGGATTTTTTTTCCAGTATATCTTTTCATGTCACAAACAAGTCCCACAGGTAGTAATTTAGTTTGATAACAAACACTTTTCGTGTTGTGAAAATGTTATGAGACAGGATTTTTAAAAATATTAGTCTGAAGTTCAGATACCTCAAGATAGCTGTTTTCTTTCCTTGGAATAGATCTTTTGAAAAATTCTTAAAGAACTTTTTAGAAGTTAGCCTAGTACATTTTATAATTTTCTGAGTAGAAAACACACTGTTTCTCTATGCTGTCATGTACAGTTCTGATACCAGATGTGTTGGCTTTTGTCCACTCCAAGCCATTCTCCACCTCTCCAAGTACTGGCTGGGTGCCTTATAATTTGGTTTAATTATGACACAGTCTACCTGGAGTTAGAATCATATCCTACAGGTTAAGGGCTCAGTCCCACAAAACTGCTCCTTACTTCAGACACCACTCGCAGGTTATCAGTTTTCACCTACACATCTGGCATACTGGCTATAAATCAGAGTGCCCACAGCTCCCTCCTTGGGTTTGATTAATTTGTTACACTGATTCACAGAACTCAGGGAAAATGCTTTACTTACATTTATCAGTTTATTATAAAAGAAACAGATGAAAAGTACATAGAATGAGGTCTGTAAGACTCCTAAGCAGAGGAGCTTCTCTCCCCTTGGAGTTAGGGTGCACTACAAACCTGGCACATGGATGTGTTCACCAGCCAAGAAGCTCATCAGATCTCCTTGTTCAAGAGTTTTTATAGAACTTAATCTCCAGCTCCCTTTCCCACCCTTTTCTGGAGGTTGGCGAGTGGAACTGAAAGTTTCAATGCTTTAGGCTATCTGTGGGACCCCATCTAAGACACTGCATTAGCATAAATTCAGGTGCTCTTCCATGGGTTTTAGTAGCTGTATGCCAGGATCCAGGGACAAAGACCAAATATGTATTTTATGTCACACTGGGTCATTTTTTTTCCCTTCTAAAATGTTTAATGTGTTTTCCCTGTTTAATTTTTTTCCCCTTCTAAAATGTTTAATGTGTTTTCCCTTTTTAATAAGTATTTGTTGAAATCATACACTTGATAGGTTCTATATAAGCCTAGCTGAGTAAAAGTGAAGTCTGCTCTGCTGGAACATTAATAAGGAATCTCAGATAAGATTTTTAAAAACCTCTTGAGGCTCAGAAGTCAAGCCAAGGACTTGCCATCTGATTTCACCTGCAGTCCTATAGATTTGGGTTGATTGCTCTTTTCTTGAGGTCCTCAGAAAATCCTGGGGTTCCTTTGTCTGCCAGGAAGTGATAGTCTTTACTCTTCTGTAAGGCAACCATGTAAGGGACTATATATGTACAGTACCAGGCCAGTTTTTCTGTTTTTTGGTTTTTTTTCAAGGTATCTTATTTGCTCTGTCAGCCTTTGGTTCCTTAAAGCTGTCTGGGTGATATCTGATTCTGTGCATAGTCTCCAATATGATATATGAGTCAAAGCCTTGGTAATACGACCGATGTTTCCAATTATGTCCTGCTATAAGAAGGACAGGTTCTTTTTGCTTTTACTCCTGGCAAGCTGTAAAGAACAGATTCTTACTGAACTTATGCAAATAACTATATTGCCATGAAAATAAGAATACTCACTAATAGCTTCCAAATTCTGGAGGGATCAGGTAGAGAGAAAAAGTAATTGTTTTATCTTTGTTCACGAAGGCATACTTTGCCAAATTTCCATAAACTACTGAATAGCTTAAGAGAAAAGAAAAAAGTTTTCTTAAATCTGGAAAACAAAATAAAGACCTAGCAATGTTTCAAAACCATAATTATTAAAAAACCATAGATTTTCTTCAATAAGTTATTCAGCCTCTCATACTTAATTCTTGTTCGACTTGATCTTGGTTAGCAGTTTAATGAATTTATAAGTTTTTTCCCTTAGAGTTCTGGAAGTTCTTACACTGTCCAATGATAGGATCTAAATGTTATCAGAAACCAGTACCTTTCAGAGTCTTTTCTATGAATCTCCTTGAAGACAGAGCACTTTAGGATTATAGTTACTTGCAGACACTTTCAGTGAAGATCAGGAGAAACAATAACCATCTGTCAGTGACAAAAGACT
This sequence comes from Homo sapiens, assembly GCF_000001405.40. Taxonomy (NCBI): domain Eukaryota; kingdom Metazoa; phylum Chordata; class Mammalia; order Primates; family Hominidae; genus Homo; species Homo sapiens. Next base: position 119,228,347 of record NC_000005.10, read on the forward strand.
TAACATGGCCATGACTAAAGATCAATTCATTATCATAATGCACAATTGACAAGTAAATTTGATTGCTTCTGTGGCATACAATATTTTAACAAAATAACTGAAAGTATGGCTGATAACATTATACAAGGACACATCAGATTTTTAGAACCTTCATGCAATTTCTGGAATACTTATCTAATAGTATATACCCATACAAATATAATATAAGAAGGTATCACCGTTATTTGACAATGCTTCCCATGCAATTTAACATATCAATTAAGCCTAATTATTTTAACATTCTTCTTTTTAGAGGGAGTGAGAACAAATTTTTTTTGAGATATTGCAAGGGCCCTTTGGAAACTCGCAAAGTTAGAGTGAGGTCAAAAGTACTTCATTTATAATGTATTTTTGGGAAATTTGTCAAAAATATCAAACAGTTTAAAACACTTGATTATAGTAAGGTTACTGTGGAAAAATATTTAACCAGAGTGATAATTAAAAGACATCAAAGGCAAATACAGAAAGTTATGTTGTTGTAGAAAAATCCTTAGCTATTTTAATGTTGTAGGAAAAAAACCTTAGATATTTTAATATTGAAATATAGCTAATTTAATAATAATGTTAATATTAACATTAGGTCTTAGGTAATCAAAGACCTAAAAAGACATGAAGCACAGGAAATTATCTTGATAAAACAAAATCTCGGCTGGGCGCGGTGACTCATGTCTGTAATCCCACCTCTTAGGGAGGCAGAGGTGTGGGGATAGCTTGAGCCCAGGAGTTCAAGACCTGCCTGGGCAATATAGGGAGACCCCATTCTCCACAATAAAGGAAAAAAAAAAAAGACAAAAAAACAAAATCTCGATTTTGTAGTCAGATTGCTTAAAAGGTAAAAATAATAATATTAACATTAGGTCTAGGTAATCAAAGACCTAAAAAGACATGAAGCACAGGAAATTATCTTGATAAAACAAAATCTCGATTTTGTGGTCAGATTGCTTAAAAGGTAAAGGAAAACCTTTCATAATCTCTTGTCAAGAGAAAACCAATACTCCAGTAAAACTTTGCACCAATGTACTTCTGATATTAAGGCTCATCATTCTTTTAATAACATATATAAATACACACATATTAGCCAGCTTGGCCACACATAAAATTATTTTTCCAAATTCCTCTTACACAAACCCTGTATAGCATTCTCGTATCCATGCATATTTTGTTCTGTACTCTTCCTCTTTCCCAATATGGAACAGTCTGCTTTAGGACAAAAATTATTCTTTTTCCCATAAGAAAAACATCCTTCATACCTCATAGCTTCACATTCCAAAAACATCTTACTTTCCTGACATACAAAATTATTTATCTATTTTCAGTAGTTTTAATTACATATATTGATTAGAATTCTTAACTGTTAGTAATGTTAGTTTCTAGTGAAAACTAGGTAATAAGCAGTTGTGCACTGTCAGTCACACCAGCATTCTATAGAGTAGCAAATCTATATCTTTCATAATTTACAGAAGCATGTTCTTTTTCATAGTATAGTTTTTCAGTGTGTCACAGGACACCTTTACTAACAGACCCAAATATCTTTATTCTTCTGCAATAAGAAGCCAAAAGTAGATAAGCTTATGTTTAGCAATTAATGTTTTAGTATTTTATGTAATTTGGAAGTGATCTAGATATTCAATTAATATCCATCATTTAATTTAACTTAATGAAATACTAAGGGTATAAGTTGTCAAAGGGATTTGGAAAACTGTTTTGAAGTAGACATAACACCAGACAAGGCCAGCCATCAAGTTAGTCATTATTTATTTTTTGCTGACAAATTTTGTAACAAAGATAACATGAGTGTATTTGACTAGTAAGCCTAAGTAAAATAAAAGTTGTATATCACATTATATTTAGTGCTGGTAACTCTTAAGGATATGCCTGCTTTAATTAAACCAACAAACTTAAATTTGCTTTCATTTACCAAAGATTATCCCACATCAGATGAACTTGAAAAACATTTGGGTCTGTTTCTATCTTTCTAAAAGTTTAAGGAATACTTAATTTATATAAGTGCTTATTTTAAGTGCGTTAGATATAATTATTAAAAATTAATTTTGACAATACCATCTGGTGATAGAAAAATATTACATATATTTAACATATATAAAGTCATACACAAACATACAGGCAGAAGCAGATTCTATAGTTTTCCTTCTAAATTTTGGCGATCTGCCAGATACAAAATATCAAACTCAGTCGTTTATAAAAAGGATATCTGGGCCGGGCACAGTGGCTCACGCCTGTAATCCCAGCACTTTGGGAGGCCAAGGCGGGCAGATCACAAGGTAAGGAGATTGATACCAACCTGGCTAACATGGTAAAACCCCACCTCTACTAAAAATACAAAAAATTAGCTGGGCGTGGTGGCACACGCCTGTAGTCCCATCTACTCAGGAGGCTGAGGCAGGAGAATCACTTGAACCCAGGAGGTGGAGGTTACAGTGAGCCGAGATCACACGATTGCACTCCAGCCTGGGCAACAGAACAAGACTCCGTCTCAAAATAAATAAATAAATAAATAAATAGGATATCTGGATCCAAATTGTGTTTCTGAAAATGGGACAAGATTACCCACCCAGATTGCTAAAACTTTACTATTATTTGTTGAAGACTTTTAAGATTTCTCATTTGTCTTTTGTAAAGACTCTTTTAGAGAGACAATTTACAGTTCATTTAGTCTTCTAGTAGCCTCTGCATACCAATCAAAAAATGCCTCCCACTGTTTGTGAAGCATTAGAGATTCCCTTTTATTTAGTGCTTCCTGTAGATGGACAATTTTGTGTAAATTAAAAACTTCCCTGTTGTGGCCACCATAATTCTAAATTGTCTTTGGTAAATATACTCATTTCTCTAGGAAAGCACAGGTTCTGGGTCCATAATGTTTATGCATAAAATTAGCTGGAGTTCCAGTTGGAGGAGTTTTTGAATTCCTTAAATTCAGATGAACCCATGATTTCTTGTCCTTCCAAAATCTTATCTACCTGAGGCCTCTGACTGGACCCAATCCAGTCAGGTTCAGTCTGACTTCTAGACCTGATCTGAATGAAAAATGCTTAAAGGATAAAAGTTGCAGGTTTCAGGTCAAGCGGTAACCTTCAAATGCACAGTGAGAAACAGTAGGCACAAGGGGCCTACCAGGAGGTAACTGTGCCTGGTTACTTGTTGCTCCTGGAGGTCATCATCAGGGGATCTCCTTCATGTTCCTCTGCTGAGAACTCTTAAAACATAGGTACATTAAAAATTTAATGAGTTTATTTTAGCTTTCAGCTCAAATTCATGAACTGGGCAACACCAGACCAGAAGCCATTAAGGCTTCACCGAGGTGGCATGAGGGGAAAACTTTTATAAGGTGTTCAAGGAAGCACAACAAAGACAGTATTTGATTGGTTAAGTGGAAAGTCCTCAGTTAGAAGTTAGTTGGGGGTTTCTAATTGATAAGCATCTAGTTAGAAGTTAGTTGGTGGTTTCTGATTGATTAAGCTTAAGCTTCATTTTACTGTTTACATTGAATTGAGTTTTGATTTGCTCGTATAGGCATGCAAGGCCCTGGAGCTGTCTTAGCCTAATAGCCTCCCAATTAATTTCTTTTTTTTAAGATTTTTTTAAGAGACAGGGTCTCATTATGTTGCCCAGGCAGGAGTTTTATGGCTACTTACAGCACAATCAAGGCACACTACAGCTTTGAACTCCTGGGCTCAAGTGATTCTTCTGCCTCAGTCTCCTGAGTAGCTAGTACTATAGGTGTGTGCCACCAAACCCAGCTCTTAATTTTTTAACGTTATAAATAATAATAGAAAAGTTGAGCGATTTTAGTGCAACCACCCCAATTTATTTTTCTGATTAAGCTATGCAAGCGCATTGGGGGAAAGGGAGTAGAGCCAGTCAAATACCTAGTCTCAAAAAACTCTACCTCCTACCGCTGCCCAATGGTAAAAGCTTTCAAACCAATTGAAGTTCATTTATTTTAAATATTTGATAAGGAATGAGGGAAACTTGACTGATATGTGACTAGCAAGTGCTAGATGTTTTATATAAATGTATTTTTTTTACTACCTCCATACCACATTAATATTGATAATGATACTCTATAAATTGAGTGTTATATGTTAGGCATATTTCTGGGTGCCTTATATATGTGATCTCATTTTCTACTCACAACTGTCCAGTGACTTATATATCATTAGTCCCTTTTTACAGGAAGGAAATGGTCTCAGAGAGATTAAGTAAATTTCCTAGTATAACACAAATAATAAATGGCAAAGCGAAGAATCAATAGTCATTTATCTTATTCATATTTCTCAGTAAAACAAGTCCGGTGCAGTGGCACGTGCCTATAAATCCCAGCCTCTTAGAGGCTGAAGTGGAAGGATCACTTGAGGCCAAGAGTTAAAGACCAGCCTTGGCAACACTGCAAGACCCTGTCTCTAAAAAAAAAAAAAATTAACTACAAAATTACAAAAAAAACAGATAACATATATTTGAGATATTAGGCCAATCAGGATAACTTTTAGAACTGATTTTTTTCTTTAGCATGACATTTAAAACCTTCTTTAATCTGATTTTTTTCAAAGAAAAATGTGTATACATTTACACATTAATAGTATAATAAGGATTGATTCTAACCTAAGAATTTCTTATAATGAGTAATATATAATTTATTATAAAAAATAAAAGGCTGTTAAGACATCATTGAGATAACTTTAAAGGGAAATAAAATTTATGGAGCTATGATTTAAATGCTCCTATCGTATTTGAGGATGTGTTCTTAGTCAAATGAAAGTGTATTGTATAACTATTTTTATGATGAATAGTATTCAACTGAAATTTCATACAAAGGTAAATTTATATAAGTTGATTTAGATGTTTCTTTCATAAAGATTTTCACATAGGATAAAGAAATAACTTTTCCCAAAGATTCTTGAAATAAATCTGCAATTTTTGCCCTCTTGTAATGCAGATCTGACAGGAGCTCAAGATGGAAGTGTCAGAATGTTTGAATGGGGCCATTCTCAACAAATAACCTGTTTTCGATCTGGTGGCAATTCAAGAGTTACAAGAATGAGATTTAACTATCAGGGAAATAAGGTATTATATAAAAATGTAAATGGTAAAAAATTTATTGTGTTGGAGGTTTATAAATTCCACTAGTTTGGGTTTCTGAAAAGAACAGCTCCGTGGGTAGTAGTAAAGTATTGATCTATATAGATGCTTTTAAATTCTTCTCAAAGAACACTTAACTTCACTTGTTCTTCCTAGAAGTATGTTATATAGGTGTCCATTAAAACTCAGTTAAGTGATTCTTAATGACCAAACGATTATAAGTTCACCTTATATTACACACTTTTTATTATTAAATGCTCCTACTCTCTTTATCCCTCGGAACCTACTCAGTGTGTGATCCAGCAGCAAGTAACATCTAGAGCTTATTATAAATGCATATTATTGTTCCTTCTCCAGATGTGCTGAATCACCATCTGCATTTTAACCCGATATTGTTGTGATTTTTACAAATATTAAAGTTTTTTAAGAGGTACTGCTCCAGAACAACATCAGCAAACTACATCCTAGCCACCTGCTTTATAAATAAAGTTTTGTTGGACCACAGTTACCCCCATTCATTATTTTTCTTTGGCTACTTCCTACTACAGCAGCATAGTTCAGGAGGACAAAGACCTTATAGCTGGCAAAATAAAATATTTATTATGTGGCCACCTAAGAAAAAGTTTGCCAGACCTGCTCTAGAGCATCCTTTACTGTCTTCACTTCTCATAATCCTTTGTTCAAACTGCCCCCCTCCCCACTTTTATGTTAGACAGCAATCTTTTATTGAACAGTACTGCTCCTTGTGAAGCAGGGCTAGTTCAGAGGCAGTGCACCCACAGCCAGCCCAAACTGCCTCTTTTTGCTCCTAATATGTTATTAGCCCTTTACAAAATAATTAAAGAGTAAATCAGTCTTCTTTTTGTCTTCAGGGCCATGCTGCACCAAAAATTACTCTCACAGACTCTAACTGATGGTTCACCTTGCCTTTTCTTTCCCCTCAGCCTCCCTCACACATTAAATTCTCCTCACACATTCCTTTTATCATTGTGTGCTGCAACCTTTTTTGTCTACCATGTTTATCACATGGCTCTATTTTCATTTCACAAAAGTAGTTTTATGTAGTTGTGAAACAAAATTTTGAGAGCTTGTTTCTTAATACTAATTAGCAACATTCTTAGCTCCTTAGTGGGAAATTAAGGGAACTTAGTACAGATGCCTGTATAATTCTATTGTACTTTTAGTTGTATTCTCTATCAATGTGCTTTTTGTGCATTTCAACTTGGGTTGTCAGTTTTATATTGCTCCTAACTAATCTCTATACCTGAACCCTTATCTCTCTAATGCATCTTGCCAACAGTATTATATAACAAAAAACATAGCTACATGATTACAATATAGGTGAGATCACATTATTATTTTTTTCAAGAACCCTTCAAGGCTCCTCATGTCAACTTCTTTAACAAGTATTTAAGACCTTCTATAATGTGACTATTTTTCAGCTTTAACACTCACTACAGCCTTCTGCATAGGCTATTTTAAGGCACAAAAAACTGCTTGTCTTTGCCTGCACAAGTATCTTTGACCGGCAGTCAACTTACTATTCATTCACCTTAGCCTTGACGAAGTCTAATAGCACAGCCCCTAAGCATGCTATCTCTTCTAGTAGGGAAGCCTCTTAAGGTAAATGGAAGAGATAACTCACACTGTATCACAGTAATTCTGATGAATTGGATATTCAATTATGAATAGAAATACAGTGCCAAAAGCCAGTGAATATTTCAGAAAAACTAAGTGTCTGGAAAGGGGTATTAAGCAGAATAAATAATAAATAACCTATGAGGACTAATTCCTCAGAGATTCAAGAATATATTACATTTATACAACAAGAACATGCTAGCATTAAACAAGGACAGTAGGAAAACAGAAAAGAGTTATTGGAAATTAAAAATACGATTCCCAAAAATGTGGTCAGTGGGGGAACTACTTATTAGAAAAGCTGAACAGCAGAATGGAAATAGTTGAAAATCAGGTTTGTTGCTGGGAAGCACAAATTAAGAAACTATCCCATAATGATGATAATTTAGGAAATATTTCAGAAGAAAAAAATGGAGGAAAAACAATATTCAAAGGAATAATAGATACTTCCCCAAAGCAAAGAATAGAATATTGGAAGAGAAAGGGCCTACCAAGTATTGAGAAGCAACACGTACCTGCACACATCCTGTTTGTGTAACTTTTGGTTTTTAGAGTTAAAGAGAGAATCCTATAAGGTTCTAAAAAGGAGTGAGAATGAAAAAGGTTATTTACAACCCACATCCCACCCTGCCACTAAATGTCGTTGGCCTGTCACAAATAGATAGGAGAACAATATCCACAGAATTCTGATGGACAAGGAATGGGAACTGAGTCGATGTGCATCCAAACTATCATTCAAATTTGCTAGCAAAATAAACATATTTTTAGGTATACAGAGACTTAACACATTCCATGTGTATACCCTTTCTGAAGAACATACCTAGATCTACTCCAGAAAATGTAAGATAAACTAGAAAAAGGAATAGACCTGGGAAAATATTATTAACAAATATAAAAACAGTAGGTTAATATTCATAATATTAGTCATATCAGTTAAATTTTTTAAAAGACAAATAGTAGAGAAATAGATAAAACATCTTAACAGTTTACCAAGAAACTTTGCCTGGCCAGTAGCCTTCTACCTTCACTAATAATTGAAGAAGTGCAAATAAATTGAGACTTATTCTTGTCTGCATAAAATTAACAAGTATTTTAGATTTTAAAAATACCCCATGTTAACTAAAGTGTAAGAAAAATGGCTGTATCAATTTATATTACCACATAGGATTTAATTTTGGCATAGTCTATTAATTTTAAGTGATGCTCTTTAACAAAACTTTCCCATTTCTAGATGTCTATCCTACATAATTATGCAAAGGTATATGTATATATAGGAATGTTCAAAGCAGCCCTTTTTATATTACAGAAAATTGAAAACGGTATGGGGAAAGTTTTAAATTGTAATACCACTGTACAGTGTAATACTACACACAGCACAAGAATGATCTAAATTTATGTGTAATTACCTGGGAAAGATAGCTATAATAAATAAAAAATGTAATTGTGTAGTGGTATTATTATGATCCCAATTTTTTAAATGCTATATTGTGAATTTTTGAATACTCATAGAAACAAATCTGAAAGGAAGCACATCAAATTGTTAATAGATGTTAGATCTAGAGGCAGAGGAGGGTGGGAGTACAAAGCAGACATTTATTTTATATACTTTATAATAAGCTGCGTTATTTTTATAATCAAAGGGAAAAAATTTAGCTGTCTTACTCATCCTTCAAGATCTGTATCAAGAATACCTCCCTTAGTGGATTATTTTGACATCTTACCAGTCAGACTTGCCCTGAGCTCCCATAGCGGAATTATTTTACTTTGATAATCCTTATATCATTTTACTTTGTACTCTTGTTCATGTGTTTTCCTTATTGTTTGTTTCTGAAAATCCTTATTTTATCTTTCTGGAAATGAACAGTTTTCTTTCTTATATATGATAAAGTTCTGTCACATAGCATAATCTGTTAATCCAGTATCCTGTTTTTGTAATACTTACAGAGAATATATAGACTATGCTAGAGGCTACTGTAATAAAATGGGTGTCTGATGTTTGTTCTCTTTATGTTCACCCTGGGATTTTTAAAGTAGTAGCTGAATGTTTTTCTGAAATAGATCCATGTATAGGTGAAGTGAAAAATCACATGACATACAGTCAAATGTTTACGAGTCAAAATATGGGTGTCACACTGAGGGTAAGGATAAATATATGCTTTTATATTTATATTAAATACTTTTAAATATTTTCTTTCTCTAAGTTTGGAATAGTTGATGCTGATGGATATTTAAGTTTGTATCAAACAAACTGGAAATGTTGTCCAGTTACTGGAAGCATGCCTAAGCCATACCTGGTAAGCCAAGAATTTCTACCTTTAAATAAAATTTGAATTTTCATTTTAAATAAACCAAGAATACGTATTTGAGACAAGAAATATAGAACTAATAAATAAAATATAGTCCTGTGTTCTCAGTCACTTTGCTGTAAGATTCTGTCCTTGTGTTATGTGAAAATTACTCTGTGAAGCATAAAATTCCTTAGTCTCTGATAATTTGGGAAGTTGACATGTATAGAAGCAACATGATACCCCCAGATACCTATACATCTTGTGGATTACTAGAGCCCTTTTCTAACCTCACTAAACTGGTTATTATATTATGCCTAAATAGAATGATTACCAGACCAATGCGTCTGGTTATTTTTCTGCAATTATCTCTTATGAACAAACAAAGTGAAAAGGACATCCTATAGCTGGTACTGTTATTTTCTTGTTCATCTCTTTTAATTTAGGATTATGCAGGCTTTTATGAACTTTCTGTGGCTTCATAGAATACTGAATTTATATTTCATATCTTCAGTGAAGCTCTTTATAGGACTAAGCAATTCCTATCAGAAAAAAAGTTAAGAATATAGGTTAAGATTCTGGTAATTTGCCCAAGGTTAATTGCTAGAATACAGTACTGATCTAAGTAAAAGCAAGCAAGCATGGGAGGATTGATTAGGGTACCTTGAAAGAATATTAACTGTTTCTCATATTTTTATTAAGCTTAAAGATTTAGATGTATAAGTTTGTTCTCTAAGGGACTGTTTTTTTTAACTTTTAAAAAAATGAATTGGTTTAAATTATGAATAACTGGCTTTTGGAGATTAAGAGGATTTTGTCTGTTTTAAGGACACATCATCTAGCCCAGCTCCAGTAGTGTTCCAGGGGAAATGGGGAGTTGGCTCAAAGGAATAATCTTTGGTGTGGTGATTTTGGGATACTTAAAAAAAATCATTTTTTATTAAAGAGAAATATGTAAAACATAATTTTGAAGCTTTTATAAATGAAGAAACCTCATAATTAAGTGTACTGTTTGGTAGAATATTGAAAAATGCTATATGTTTTCTAATTTTGATGACTATTAGTAATTTTTTTCATGTACTTGAATTTTTAAAAGCTTAAATATTTTTGAAAAATATATGTCAATTATTTAACAAAAGTCTGGTATCATCTAAAATTCTAGTTTCTATCTTCTGAAACAGAAATTTTCACTATGCTAGGAGAAGGTCTTTAAGTTTAACCTCATGTTTTCCTTTGAACTTTTGGTTGAACAAAAGCAAAGAGATTCATAACGGGTCATGATATATGCAGCCTACTTAAATAGTTCAGGAAAAGTGTGTGTATGCGTGGGTGTCTACAAATATGAAAGAGAAGTAGAGGCAAAACAAATGTGCCAAAATGTTAAAAAGTTGCTGCATCTGGGTAAAAGGTATATGAAAGTTCTCTGTATTACTTTTACAATTTTTCTAAAGTTCAAAGGAAAAAAACGATACAGAGGATTTAAGAAAGCCAGAAACTACATGATCACTTTTCGAAGAATACATTTACCTGGTTATGACATTTTTAGTGAGAGGAGTAACACGTATTGTTTGTAACCATTCCAGACTTGGCAGTGTCATAACAAAACAGCCAATGATTTTGTCTTCGTTAGTTCCTCCTCTCTGATAGCTACAGCTGGTCTTTCAACTGACAATAGGTAAGAGATGATAGCTAAAATTGAAGTATGAGAAAGTATAGCTGAACTTTTTTTTATTGTTTCTGTCCTTGTGTTTGACTAAAGTTTACTTATGGCTTTAGATACAGTATTTTTATTCTAAAAACTATTATTTATTGGCCATGTTATTCCAGCCCCACCCCCAAAAGCTGTGGTTGTAAGAAAGTGTCATCTCCTGCCCCAGTATCTGTCTGCCTCTTTTGATTTCTGTTATATAACTGAGTTCTGAGATCAAGGCCCACTGAGTTTGCTTAGCTTATATATTTATCTGTAAGGCCACACTTTGCACTAGAAACAGGATTGTAAGACTATAGATTCTTCAGCTCGTCTTCCGTAGATATTTCTTACGTATGTTGGTCCCCCCACACAGTAGAAACAAGTTTTCTTTGTGCTTAAGAAAATTCAGCATCTCTCCTGTTAATGTATGTCAGTCCAACTGTTAGAGATTCAGTGAATACAAAAAGAAGTTTCCATATTCAGACTTCATATATTATTATTTGTAAACGCATGTTAATCTAAAGTTATTCAAATTTTTAAGCTATAATAGTAGCTTTAAATTTTCTGTAAAAATTGTGGGTCGGGCACAGTGGCTCATGCTTGTAATCCCAGCACTTTGGGAGGCCGAGGTGGGCGGATCACTTGAGGCCAGGAGTTTGAGTCCAGCCTGGGCAACATGGTGAAACCCTATCTCTACTAAAAATACAAAAAATTAGCCAGGCGTGGTGGCAGGTGCCTGTAATCCCAGCTACTCTGGGGGCTGAGGCAGGAGAATCGCTTGAACCTGGGAGGCAGAGGTTGCAGTGAGCCAAGATCACACCATTGCACTCCAGCCTAGGCAACAAGAGTGTAAAACTCCATCTCAAAAAAAAAAAAAAACAAAAAATTGTAGCCAGAGCATGTTGGCTCATGCCTGTAATCCCAGTGCCTTGGCAGGCTGAGGCAGGAGGATCATTTCAGCCCAGGAATTTGAGACCAGCCTGGGCAACATAGGGAGACTCCATCTCTACAAAAAAAAATTTAAAAAATTAGCCAGACATGGTGGCACACATCTGTAGTCCCAGCTACTCGGGACATTGAGGTGGGAAGATTGCTTGAGCCCAGAAGGTCGAGGCTGCAGTGAGCCAAGATTCCACCACTGCATTCTTTTTTTTATATAAAAATTAGTTTCATATAAATTTGTTGGTTACTTGTATTTGTTGCTTTTATAAATTTAAGAACCTTCTGTGACAGCAAGGTTTAAAGGTCACACAGTTATATATGACATATTTTTTATTGTTAGCTTTTGTGTCACTCAGAAGTAATCTTTTTTTTTTTTTCCAGAAACGTATGTTTGTGGGATACTCTTGTAGCACCTGCCAATAGTTTAGTCCATGGTAAGTTTTCAAAGCATTTTATAAATTTTGAAAGTCAGGAAATTCATAAGCTAAATATTATTTATAAGTGGATTTGTTACTGATGACACATATATTTATTAACCCATGAGATTTCTTTTGCCCAGGATGGCAGGATTTGAAAGCAAAAAGATGCAATATACGTAATTAACTCTTCACTATACCTTGATGGGGGACAGTGAGACATCGATAATATAAAAATCATTTGTCTTTACTTTGAATCTGATAGCCACAGGTTATCGTTGTAAACATGATGTAAACTCAATATTATGTCCCCTCTTACCACTCCTATTCAACATTGCACTGGAATTCCTAGCTAATGCAGTAACACAATAATAGGAAATAAAATGTATATAAATGGAAGGGAAGAAATAAAACTGTCTTTATTCACAGAAAACATAATTTTCTATAAAATATCCCAAAGAATCTACAAAATAAATTCACAAGTATAGCAAGGTCCCAGGATACAAGGTCAATATACAGTTGACCCTTGAACAACATAAGGATTGGGATGCTGACCCCTGCACAGATGAAAATCATAATTTTTTATTCCCCCCAGAATTTAACTACTAATAGCCTAGTGTTTACTGGATACCTTATTATTAATATAGTCAATTAACACATATTTTGTATATGTGTTTTATAGGAAGCTAGAAAAAAGAAAATGTTATGAAAATCATGAGTACATACAGTAGTGTACTGTATTTATTGATATTGTAAAGTTTATGTCATCTGTTTACAAGATGAATTTTCTGTCTGAGGCCGGGCGCAGTGGCTCATGCCTGTAATCCCAGCACTTTGGGAGGCCAAGGCGGGTGGATCACGAGGTCAGGAGATCTAGACAATCCTGGCTAACACGGTGAAACCCCATCTCTACTTAAAATACCAAAAAAAAATTAGCCAGGCGTTGTGGTGGATGCCTGTAGTCCTAGCTACTTGGGAGGCTGAGGCAGGAGAATGGTGTGAACCCGGGAGGCGGAGCTTGCAGTGAGCTGAGATGGAGCCACTGCTCTCCAGCCTGGGCGACAGAGCAAGACTCCGTCTCAAAAAAAAAAAAAAAAAAAAGATGAATTATCTGTCTGAAATGGCAGGCAACTACAGCTGCAGACCTCAATTTGTGGTGCATATCAAGCAATTCAACTTTTTTCTTGTAATGTCTTGACTTTGGTCTGCTTTTTGGGAGCACTTCCAGCATTACTAGTGGCATGTTGTATGGTTCCCATGGTGTTATTCAAGGTTTACACTGTTGCACTAAATACAATGAAAAATTCACAAGTGCCACAGGAGATCACTTTTCACTGCAATATACAGTTTACTGGAGAGAAGACCTGCTCACATGGAGATGATGAGCATCACACAGCATTTTAAGTATATACTCGCAACACTTGAGCTAACTGCAATAGCAACAGGAGGTGGCTACTAAATTATAACAGTAGTACAGTATGTACTATAATTAATTTTATGTACTTATGATTTCATACTGTATTTTTGTTTACATTTCTCGACTGTCGATGGCACCACTTACAATCTGTATTTGTGTGCGTATGTTTCAATAAATTTAACTTTTTGTAATTTGTGTATATTTTATGGTAGTAAATGATAAAATAGACTAGTATCTACATATGTTTTATGCATTCATGGCATACTTTTTCTTAATTTTTTGGATATTTCTTGGCTATGTGGGTTGTCTGCAAGTTTTTTCAAATTATCTCAAATCTTTAAAAAATGTTCCAATATATCTATTGAATAAACCACATCTAAGTGGACCCACACATTTCAAACCAGTGTTGTTGAAGGGTCAGCTGTACTAAATTCAGTTGCTTTTTGATGCATCAACAATGAACAATTGCAATTTGAAATTTAAAGAATATTACCATTTACAATAGCACCCAAAACAATGAAATACTGAGACATAAATCTAACAAAATATGTACAGGGTGTGTATGCACAAAACTATAAAAATGATTTAAATCAAAGAAGATCTAAATAAATGAGTGATACTCCACATTCACAGATTAGAAGACACAATATTCTTAAGATGTCAGTTCGTCTTGATTTTATAGATTCAACACAATCCTAATCAAAATTCCAGCATGCTACTTTGCAGATATCAACAAACTGATTCTGAAGTTTATATGGGAAAGCAAAGGAATAGCCAACCAAATACTAGAGAAAAACACACTTGTGGGACTCACATTATACTATCTGATTTCAACACTTATAAGCTACAGTAATCAAGACATTGTGGTATTAGCTTAAGAATATACATATAGATCATAGAACAGAATGGGGAGCCCACTAATAGACTCACATATATAGTAGACTTATGTTTAATATGTCACAGAGGCAATTCAGTGGAGAAACGATAGTCTTTTCAACAAATAATGCCAGAACAATTTAATGTCAACATATAAAAAATTGAACCCAGATACAGACCTCACCTTTCATAAAAATTAACTCAAAATGGACCATAAACCTGCATGTAATATGCAAAATAATAGAACTTCTGGAATGAACTAATTGGATAGAAGTCAGAATAGTGATTGCTTTTGTTGGGGAGGAGAATTGACCATGAAGGGGCATGAAGGAACGTTCTGGGATGATGAAAATATTCTGTACCTTGATCTTAGTGATGGTTACACAGATGTATTCATTTGTCAGTGCTCATCAAGGTATATACTTAAAAAGTGTGCATTTTCCTCTGGGAAGTTATATCTCAAAGTGCTGGTCAAAGTTCCTTCTCTGTAATTAATTTTATTTCAAGTCTTACAATAATAACTAAGTGTTTAGTTTATGCCATGGACTATACATGATCTGCATATATTAAATCCTCAGGCAACCCTATTAGGTAGGTGATAATCTCTTTTACAAATGATGAAACTGAGACTTAGGTAAGTAATTCAGCAGAAGTACACATTTAATCCCACACAGAAACCAGGATTGAAACCCAGGCAATCTAACTCCAGAATCCTCACTGTTCATTATGCAATATTCTCCTTGAGCTATATGCAGATTTTTTTCCCTAAAATTTGTTAGGCTGGACTCTTTTTTAAAGAAAAATAGTATCATATTTTTATATTTCTCATACTGCTGTGTCTTCAAATTCATGAATCTTTTATTTTACAAGGCTTAATCTGCTGTTAATCCCATCCAGTTCCTTTTTTATCTTGAGCCTTGCTGTTTTTAATCTGTTAAATTTTGATTTAGGCCTTTCATGCCTCTAATTAACTTAAAATTATAATGGACTTTTAATTTCCTTACCTACTAATTCTGTCATCTCTATTATTTCTGGGTTAGTTTCAATTGATGGATTTTTCTTCTCCTTATGGGTTATATTTTCTGCTTTATCACATTCCTGTTAATTTATTATTAGATGGCAAGCATTGTGAATTTTACTTCATTAAGTGCCTATTATTTTTGTATTCTGTAAATGTTCTTGAGCTTTGCTCAGGGACAACTTACTTGGAAACAGTTGAATCTGGGGGACCTTGGTTAAACAGGACCAAAGCAGCATTTGGTCTAGGGCTGATTTTCCTCCGCTACTGAGTCAAATGCTTCTGAGTACTCCACCGAGGCTGGTACGGAACCAGTTCAACCAGGGTTCCTCTCCTGGTGCCATGGTCAGGAAACTCTAAGTAGTAAGCTAGGGCAGTTTTATGACTCACCCAGTTTGTTTCCCATCTCTCAGAGATCATTCTTCATTACCTTATATCCAGTGTCTGAAATCATTGGTTTTTATATTTCATTTGATTTTTTAATTGTTTCAGGCAGGATTGCAAATCTGGTCTATTATTTCACTTTAGCCAAAAGCCAGAAGTCTATTTCTTTTATTGTTAAGTGTTTTTGTTTTTTTTTTAATTTACTTTCAGCATTTACCTGCCATGACAGTGGAGCCACAGTTTTAGCATATGCTCCAAAACATCAGCTACTAATATCAGGTGGCAGAAAAGGTTTTACATATGTATTTGACCTTTGTCAACGACAACAGAGGCAGCTTTTCCAGAGCCATGATTCTCCTGTTAAAGCCGTTGCTGTTGATCCAACTGAAGAGTACTTTGTTACAGGATCTGCCGAAGGCAATATAAAGGTAAACACAGTTGATGCCACAACATCTACAAAATGAAATCTTCAGAAACCTTAGCTCTTTAATCGTATTGATGACATCAATCTATTTAAATAATAGTTATATTAATTCCTTTGTAGTCAGCAGTGCTAATTGCTATTTAATCTTTCAATGAATGGAATATTTAACTTGAAAATTTTCTATTTTTCAGTTGTTTGAAAATATGTTTAATTCATACTAAAACACCAAATTTTCCATGAATATAAACATAATTCAGATATTAGAATTTGTCTTGACTCCATGTTCAGAGTTACATAATTTACTGAATTTAATTTCCAGGGGCTGAGAAATGTATTGATATTTTCTTTTATCCCACATTGCTCGCCAGTTTTTCATATATATTATTATCTAGTCCCTCAGTGCCTAATTCAAGAATTCTGGATAAACCTTGCCTTTAGCAGTCCTTTTCAGAGTCCATTGTGTTGAAAACTTAAGACAGGTTTTTTCAAATGTTAAGCAGCTTGTTAAAAATGTTAAACAGCTTATTAAATATGCAAATTGCTGGGTCTCACTCCAGAAATACTCAGTTGATAAGTAAGTCCAAGACTCAGGGATCTGCATTTTAATAACACACCTAGTAATTTTAATGGAGGGTCTTTTGGCCCTGTTTGGTAATTGGTAAATCAGTTTAGACTAATCCCTATGTTATTTTAATGGTCAGCAACCCTAGACTAGGGGGGTTTAGTTTCATCGAATTTATTAATTTAAGCACTTACACTTATTTAGTAGAATCAGATGGGTTTTTTAAAACCAGCAAATTGTTTTCATAATTCTCAACCAGGAAAAGACTAGAATTATGGAATTTTTAAAAGCCTTTTTCTTAAAATCAAATATATATATACCAACAGAATTATTTTCCTTCAGTTTGAAACTACTTTCTTATTTGGACTGACTCTCTAGTTTAGAATATGCCATAGTTAAGTCGGTTCTTTTTTTTTTTTTTTTTGAGACGGAGTCTTACTCTGTCGCCAGGCTGGAGCACAGTGGCACGATCTCGGCTCACTGCAACCTCCACCTCCCGGGTTCAAGCGATTTCCCTGCTTCAGCTTCCAGAGTAGCTGGGACTACAGGCGTGCGCCACTACACCCTGCTAATTTTTTGTGTTTTAGTAGAGATGGGGTTTCGCCATGTTGGCCAGGATGGTCTCGATCTCCTGACCTTGTGATCCGCCTGCCTGCCTCTGCCTCCCAAAGTGCTGGGATTACAGTTGTGAGCCACCGCACCTGGCCTAGATTGGTTCTTTAGTTTGTACTTTGATCCTGTGGTTTATTGTTTAATCAAGGTTAAAAAAAAAAAAGAGTTGAAAATATACAATGTATTCAGAAGCCCTAATTTAACAAATTCATATGCAGGGTAGTATGAATTAATGAATTTCTTAGAGTAAAGAAACGTTTAGAAAAATGATCTCCAATAAAACCAGGAAATAAGTAGGTTTCGCTAAACCTAAAATACATGTCCTGAAAGCATTTACGTTCTTCCCATAAGTAAAGATGCGTATAATTTGCTTTACAGGCACATTTATTTTGATAAGGGCTGGAAATACAAAATCTTAGTAAATTAAGTATCCTGAAATTGTAATAATTGACTTTGTCTTATAGTTAAAATATAGCTTTGCCTGGTCAGAGGGCCTCTAGGTGTCAAGTACTTCCCTCTTTCTAGCTGTTCTGATCCCTGGTGAGCATTCAATAATGTAAAGAAGAGATTACCTTACTGTACACCTATACGGCAAAAGCTCTGCTGAGAGATAGGAAACGTTGATTTTAATCCCTACAGTATTGTAAGTTTCTGTAGCATTGTACACTTAACCTCCTTGTTACCTACATTGTTTCTCTTACTCTCTTACTAGATGGATTTTTAAGTATTTTGTGTTAAAGCAATTGGTAGATTACAACACTCTATACAGAATCAAGGTGTTATGATCCTAGGCCTACACAGATTTTTCTCTATTTTTGTTTTGGAAATTCCTTACTGCACAGGAATGCAGGCCTAAAATTTTTATTTGGTTTCTTTTCTTTTCCTTTTTTTTTTTTTTTTTTTTGAGATGGAGTTTCACTCTTGTTGCCCAGGCTGGAGCGCAATGGTGTGATCTTGGGTCACTACAAACTCCACCTCCCGGGTCGAAGCAGTTCTCCTGCCCCAGCCTCCTGAGTAGCTGGGATTACAGGCATGTGCCACCTCGCCGGGCTAGTTTTGTATTTTTAGTAGAGATGGGGTTTCTCCTTGTTGGTCAGGCTGGTCTTGAACTCCTTACCTTAGGTGGTCTGCCTGCCTTGACCTCCCAAAGTGCTGGGATTACAGGCATGAGCCACCGCACCTGGCCTCATTTGATTTCTTAAGGTCATCATCAACCCTAATTTTCCGTTTGTTCTTAATATCTTTCAGATTTGGAGTCTCTCTACCTTTGGTCTTCTCCATACTTTTGTCAGTGAACATGCTCGGCAGTCCATTTTTAGAAATATTGGAACTGGAGTGATGCAAATTGAGACAGGGCCTGCAAATCACATTTTCTCCTGTGGAGCTGATGGAACAATGAAAATGAGAATACTGCCAGATCAGTTTAGCCCTTTAAATGAAGTGTTGAAAAATGATGTGAAATTTATGCTATAACATTTTTACAATAAGATGTACAATTTATTACCTATATGGAAGTGGCCAACAGATATAATATACAGTGATCATTCTCTATGCCACAAATTAGCTAATGCTTTCTTGTTTTTATATTTATTTTATGGAGCTTTGCCCTTGATGCACTGATGCCTTAAAAATTAACAAGGTCATTCAGAAGTAGATTACATTGCCTAAAGTAGAATGTGTAAGTAATGCTGTAATAATACATATCATAGTATATTATAATCAGTATGTCATAGTGTTAAAGGTGTTTTGTTTTCTTATTGATACTTTTCCACAGGCATCTCTGCATGAATTTCTTCCACAGTAAAAATACGTTTTTTGTAAAGGCAATTGTACATAATACTCATCACTTAATTCACCACACTCTCACTTCCTTTATTAGCCTTATACATCTCAAACTCTTCTCTTAATTAATGATAGGTATTTGAGTAAGAATGAAAAAAATAATGAACATCTTCATTAAAATTGTCATTGAGACGTCAGTGATAAATGAGCTAGATGGCTCAATATGTAAGGTTTTCAGTAGTTTACCCTCCGGAACCCAAGTTGTATGTATGTATACGTGTGTGTGTGTGTGTGTGTGTGTATCTTACACATCTTATTTGAACTTAGTTGTATATATTAGCGAAAACTGGTTTTTCATGTGTTTTTGTGCCATAACAACTATTGCCACCAGAATAACTTTTTTTTTGCAACTGTGCTTTTCATTTTTAAAAAATTTTTGAATTCCCATCCTAATTTTCAAATAAGTTTCAAGGAGACTATCAGGATTATTATTTTAAAGATTAGATTTAGTCAAATAAGTCTTAGCAGGCAATAAAGTTTCTGTGGTGGCATATATCATGTAAGACACTTAAAGTAAGTTTGTGAATTTGTCAACTTTCGAGCATCAAACAAATATTTTACTTAAATTTTATTTTATCTTATTTTTAGGTGCTTTTAATCTCAAAATTCTGAAAAGCGAATAGCAGTGTTTTCAGAAACAAATGTGAAAGCAGTCAAATTAAGTAGATACTATTTAGAAATGTAAAATACTCTCCAGATCTACCATTAATAGAAAATAAACTAAACCTTATATTTTATTTTTGCCAAAATATTTTATTATAAAATATGACCAAAATATTTAAAATGCACAATGCTTTTAACTTAAATGTGCTAACCCTGTTTCTGTCTGTTTTGTGCTGTACCTTTTCTGATTCAGAATTATAGAAAACTTGATAAATACTTGATTTTAACCAATGAGACTACAGGCAGATGGGACTAAGTGTTTATGGGACAATTATGTACTATTTAACTTAAATATATTTTGTTTAATAGGAAATATATAATAATAGCATTTTATGTAATAAAATATGGGCAACGATTATCTTGGAAATTAAAGAGTCAAAGCAAAGAAATGAAGGGCTGGTAAAATGAATTTTGTAATATCCTCAGGATACTTTTATCTTAAAAGTATGTTGTTAAAGATTTTGTAAATTGTATTTCAACAATTTTAAATGTGTTGAGCAAGTTGCAGTGCAAACACTGTCATTATGTAGAGAGTTTATATGCACATAATAACCTGTACCTATAAATCGTGCAATAACCATATGCGACTATTTTGCCATGGAGAAATCTGACAGCATTGCAAACAATAGTATTGTTTGATGTAGTTAACCTTAAGTTATTTTTCAGTAATTTCTTCACAAATCAAGATTCAAACAGCTTTAAACACTTCCAATGAGATAAAATATTTACTATTATGCTTATTAGAACAAAAGGTGTTTAAGGATGAACTAAATATTTTAATTGAGCATTTATATGGATAATCATACATTATGTAAGCCCATATGTATTTACATCCAGAGTCATAATATTTTAAATAAACAATCATGCAGAAACTTTTTTAGGGGGTATACTATTGTTTTAATATCGTTGCCAATTTAGCTGACTTAAAATATGTGACATTTTAAAATCAAGAATTTCCATATTTGTATTTGGTTAATGTAAGGAGGATGGAATAACTTTCCCGAATACCCTGTTCTTTTCTACCGTCTTTTTAAGTTGATAGGTAAGCAGCATTCAAGGAAGGTGGGAATAAAAATTGTTGAAATGTTTAAATATAAAATGATATACATATATGTAAAATTTCATTATCCACATTAATGGAGTGGATACATCAAAATACATTTTTTAATTGTGTGTTTCCTAAGAATGTGGCTTTGTGATCATATAAGGATTCACAACATTAACAAATCTTATTTTCTGATATCTAGGATTTTTCTTAACTAAAACCATGGACCAGTCATCTCCATCCTCCTTTCTTGCTCTTTGCCCTTGCCCTCCCTTCTTTGAAAAAAAAAATATTTTTTAGAAGAATTGCAGAAATTTCTCACATTGGTCCCAACAATGGAAACACAATACAAAGACACATTCAAAGAAAAGTCTATACAACCTTAGGGTGGAAGTGATCTTTTTAACAAGATTGGAAACACAGACATATTTTACTTAATAAAAAATTTAAATGTCATATGGCAGGGACCACAGTCAAAGTTAAAACAACAAGTAGACTAGAAGAAATATTTGTATAGTAATAGGAAACATGTCAGTGTCCCTGTATACAAAGAGAAGTTTAAGTTATTGGAGAAGTGGTCACACTGTGAATAAGCAATTCACAGAACAGGACATTGAAAAAGTCAACAAATATAAAGTGTGTTCATCTTCATTATAAGGGTTAATGGATTGTTTTTTAAAAAGTATTACTGTAATACTAGTTTTTATCAGATTGGTTTAAGGTTAAATAGTGACAATATCCATTTTGGTGAAGATGCAAGGAAATTGGCAGAAACATTGCTGGCAAAGTTATCTGGGTGTGAATTAAAATCAAATACACATAACTTTCAGTGAACAACCTTCTGAGAAATTATAAAAATAAAAGCTTCCATGCATAAAAATGTAAGGACACAGATGTTTATTGAAACATATTCTAGAGGCCAGATGTGTTGGCTCACACCTGTAATCTCAGCACTTTAGGAGGCTGAAGCAAGCACAGGTCACTTGAGGTCAGGAGTTTGTGGCCAGCCTGGCCAACATGGTGAAACCCATCTCTACTAAAAATACAAAAATTAGTGGAGTATGGGGTTGTGTGCCTGTAGTCCCAGCTACTCAGGAGGCTGAGGCAGGAGAACCACTTGAACCCAGGAGGTGGAGGTTGCAGTGAGCCGAGATCATGCCACTGCACTCCAGCCTGGGTGACAGAGCAAAAGTCTGTCTCAAAAAATAAAAATGAAAAAAAAAAAAAAAAAAAAACTGGAAATCTAAATGTTAATTAGCAAGTAAATGGTTGAATAAATTATGGTACATACATGTAATATTATAGAATATTCTCTCACCACTAAAAAGAATGTTAGATATGTATATGTTGGCCTGAGAAGAGGCTGATGAGGAAAAAAAATTACAGAGCAAAAGATACAATATCCTAATTGTTTAGACTTTTTAAAATATATATGAACAAAGAAATGCATGTGGAAAAAATACACAAAACTTTTAGCATTGGGAAAAGGAAGAAGGCTGTAATATTTTCCCAAACTCCTTTAAACCTCACTCAGTAAAGTAATACCAAAGATAGTTTTGTTGAATGTGTGTACGTGGGAAAAACAGCTTTATTTTTAAACCAAGTAGTACTTCATGACTTTGGGAGCTGCTCTGTTGAATAAAGTGATCTGGTGTCAGGAACACTCCTCTTTGAATTGTTGAGATATTTTTGGTGAAATTTATTTAAGCTGAATGTTAAAATGTTACCCTTTGGAGCAGGAGTCCCCAGCCCATGGGTGACAACTGGTACCGGGTTGCACAGCAGGAGGTGAGTGTTGGGCAAAGCTTCATGTGTATTTATAGCTGCTCCCCATTGCTTGCATTACCACCTGAGCTCCGCCTCCTGTCAGATCAGTGGAGGCATTCGATTCTCATAGGAGCAGGAACCCTACTGTGAACTGCGCATGCAAGGGATCTAGGTTGTGTGCTCATTATGAGAGTGATGCCTGATGATCTGTCACTGTCTCCCATCACCCCCAGATGGGACCATCCAGTTGTAGGAAAACAAGCTCAAGACTCCCACTGATTTTATGTCATGGTGAGTTGTATAATTATTTCATCATATATTACAATGTAATAATAAACTGCACAATACGTGTAATGCGCTTGAATCATCCTGAAACCATCTGGCTCCATGGAATAACTGTCTTCCCACGAAACCAGTCCCTGGTGCCAAAAGGGTTGGGGATTGCTGCATTGGAGTACCTGGAAAAAGTTGATCATAGATTATTTGAATGTGCCTGTTAGTATTCTAGAAATGTGTGTAGATTTCAGTCCAGTTATTTTCAAAGCTGAATCTGTTTTTGAGCTTTTCAAGATGTTTTTTCTTTCTGCTTGGCTGTCATTGCACATATATGGTCCATTACTCAAGGAACTAACACTGAGAGTGTCACATTGTTTCACAGGGGTCCTTGGAACAAAAACACTTTTAAGTTCTTCCACTGCAAATACAGATGACTAATAGAAACAATTGGTGTGACAACACATTTCACTCCACAGTGGAAAAAATGCTTTATTCATGGACAATCAATTTTCTATGCAATGTACAGGTATGACCTGTGTAACAGAACTCAGCCAGTATGGTGTATCCCTGGACATACGTTAAATAAGTTTTAAAAATCCTTTGGAATCTACTCTTAGCATCATTTCTGAAATTGCAGCATATTTGTTTTCTGAAGCCATACCTTTTTTTTTTTTTTTTCAGTTTATTCTGAACACAAGCAAAGATAATTCCTTAAAATAGGATCTGGTTGTCTGTATTTGGGTTGTTTCATTCTGTGTTTTGCAGAAAATGCATCAGATTACTATGGCCATTCAGACATGAAGATAACTAAGCAAGCTACAATACTTGCAGTGTATGTTAAGATCTCATAGGGCTTTTTCCTAATGAGAAGTTTTATGACGGGGGGGAATGCCCCATCTGGAGTTTACATTAAAGAAAACTTCATGTGTAGATGAAGTTACATGGATGTAGCCCTACAAATGAGGCATATCTTCTGATAATGCAGTTCCACAAGAAACAGCAAATGAAGCGAGGGCTAGACTTCACCCCAACACATCCCCCTAATAAGTTATATAAGCATTCACCATGGCCCTGTACCTCATAGTCAGAAGCCCAAGATTCTTATACAGTAATGACAGTCATCTAAATTTCAACTGTTTCACAAATCCCTTTAAAGAACAAAAAGAACAAATCACTCAGATACCATACCTAAGCATATTAGATGGCAGAGAAGACAGCAACCTTTAAATTACATATAATTTAGGAAATAAATATCTGAGTCTCCCAGACCCCACACTGTAGCAGAAAATGATTGGAAAAGGGGTACATAGAAGAGTGCAGGATTCTACTGGTACTGACACAATATGAACTGGAGTTTAGAAGGAGAGGGTCTCATTCTGAATGGTGAAATAGAACAAATAACTGGCTACTGAAAAATAGAGTTGGAAATTGTATGTGATTAGGTGTGAATATTTTGGGAAATTAGTTCTGAAATAGGCCATCTTCAGAGGAACTGATGTCCTTTGGAGGCTTATTGGTGAAGGGAGAGAAGGAAGTAAATGAAGGTAAGTGTCGTTTAACAAGATATCAAAGAATCCAAAAATATCCTCCATAAAGGTGTGTGATTTTTTTAAAGGAAATCGTGATTTATTTTACAAATAAAGCACTGTGCTCCTGAATGAAAAAAACAGCCCCCCTACACTTGTCCATAAGATTGTTTACTATTGTAACGTGAATAGTTTATACCACATGTGAAAAAAAAATCCACACAAATTTACTCTCAAAACGTTTCTTTGAACATACAAAAACACGCTAGGCCAGGTGCAGTGGCCAGTTCCTGTAATCCCAGCACTGGAAGGCCCAGGCAAGAGGATTGCTTGAGCCTAAGAGTTCAAGACCAGCCTGGGCAACATAGGAAGACCCCCATCTCTACAAATAATTTAAAAATTAGCCGGGCATGGTAGCACATTCTTGTGGTCCCAGCTACTTGAGGCAGGAGGATTGTCTGAGCTGGGGAGGTTGAGGCTGCAGTGAGTAGTGATCATACCACTACTTCAGTCTGGGTCCAAAGTGAGACCATGTCTCAAAAAAAGCAGGGGAGGAGGGGTGGCTCATGTCTGTAATCCCAGCACTTTGAGAGGTCAAAGTGGGAGGATTGCTTGAGTCCAGGAGTTCAAGACCAGTCTGGGAAACATGGTGAAACCCCTTCTACAAAAGAAAAAAAAAATAGAAAAATTAGTCATGCATGGTGTCACGTTCCTGTAGTCCCAGCTACTCAGGAGGCTGAGATGAAAGGATTACCTGAGCCTGAGGAGACCAAGGCTGCAGTGAGCCATGATTGTGCCACTGCACTCCAGCCTGGGTGATAGAGTGAGACAGTCTCAAACATAAAAATATAAACCACCCTCAATAATTTCATGAAACAGAGGAAAGCAGTAATTCAAAATAGTCTAACTTACTAATTGATCGACAGGGTCTCACTCTTGCCCAGGCTGCATTTACAGGACCTGCATTTACTCAGGAATGAAAACAGCAAAATTATCTCATAAATCAAGGCTAAATTAGAGATGGCCCAAGGGAGAAGAGATATGACTGAAAGCACACATGTAACAGAGAGAATAGAAATTAAATGAGCCAAAAAATGAAGTAAAAAATTGTTGTAGAGAAAATAATAGATATAGAACACAGAAAAATATGCAATGTTTATGGGAAGGCAGAACTCTGGGTGCAGAGCCAGGAGTTGCAAGCCCAGAGAGCAGAGCTTTGAATCACAGGGTTATTCTCAGGCCTTGAAGCTGAATGGAATTTTCCCTGCTGTTCTTTGAAATTGCTTGGGACAATGTCAGCACCCCATCAAAAATTACCAGACAGGAACAGAAGCTGAAAAATGTGACTCATACGAGAGAAATATCAGTCAATAGAAACAGAAAACATGGGCCGGGTGCAGTGGCTCACGCCTGTAATCCCAGCACTTTGGGAGGCCAAGGCGGGTGGATCACAAGGTCAGGAGATCGAGACCATCCTGGCTAACACGGTGAAACCCCGTCTCTACTAAAAAATACAAAAAAATTAGCTGGGCACAGTGGCAGGCGCCTGTAGTCCCAGCTACTCGGGAGGCTGAGGCAGGAGAATGGCAGGAACCTGGGAGGCAGAGTTTGCAGTGAGCAGAGATCACGCCACTGCACTCCAGCCTGGGAGACAGAGCAAGACTCCGTCTCAAAAAAAAAAAAAAAAAAAAGCAGAAAACATGGCAGACTAGAAGTTCTGGCACTTGTCTCTCTCACAATGACAACCAAAACGATGAAAACTACAATTTAATCTGGGCATGGTGGCTCATGTCTGTAATCCCACTACTTTGGGAAGATGAAGTGAAAGGATCCCTTGAAGCCAGGAGTTTGAGACCAGCCTAGGCAACATAGCAAGACTCCATCTCTACAAAAAATTACTTAAAAATTAGCTGGATGTGGGTGGTGCATTCCTGTAGTCCTAGCTACTAGGGAGGCTGAGATAGGAGTATTGCCCAGGAGTTTGAGGTGTATCACAGTGAGCTATGATTGCACCACTGTACTCCAGCCTGGACAACAGTGAGATCCTGTCTCAAAAGAAAACACAACATTTTAAAAACAACAAACAAAAATAAAACGGAGAGTTCCAAAGTGTCTCAGAGGAGTAACATAAATCTGGATGGGAACAGAAACAGATGGCCACCTAGAAAACAGAAGAAAACATTGGGCCTCTACCACCCCATTCCCCAACTAGGATTAGCTGAAAACCAGGAGGAACTTCTCCTTTCAATAAGGAGGTAGGAATGAGGATGGTAGCAACTCCCATCAATACTTTGGACACCAAAAAACAAAACAAAACAAAACAAAAACGGATAGGAGGCAGGACTAAATCACAGCTCCCACTCATACAGAGCATTGGGTGGAGACACATTGTGAACTCTTGCTCCAAGAACTACTGCAGGAATATACCAGGAAAGATGAGCGAATCCACAGACCCTTTGAAGGAAGTGGATTGCTCCTGCAGGACCCAGGAGATAGCCCAAATACTGTGAGTGCCCAAACTGTGAAAGTGGGAAAGAGGGATCATCTGCCCCTGAACACATACCCTCACTGGGGAACCTGAAGGTTCAGGTCATAGGAGAAGGATTTGACTTACCAGGAGCTGAGACAATTTAGAAAGCCAAGCAAATTACATGGGTAGAGGAAGCAGTGGGAAAAGCCCTGTGGGCTCTCTGGGTCCCCACGAAAGCCATTTCTGACTTTTCTCTCAGGGATCCTTGGGGAGGTACGCCAGAGGAACAGGGAAAAGACCACAGGGAGAAAGAAACCTCCAGCTGAACTTTGTAACAATTCCAACTAAACACAAAGTCTCCTGGCCAGAACTCTGGGGATGGTGTGAATCCAGTGTGCAGACCGATAGGCGGGGAGGAGTGAAAGCCCTGCTTGCTTCCTCAGCCAGGAGGCTGGTAGCCTGGGGCAAGTTCTCAGCCCTGCTTGCCCACTGCCTGGAAACCAACT
The DNA here is from genome assembly GCF_000001405.40 of Homo sapiens. NCBI lineage: Eukaryota > Metazoa > Chordata > Mammalia > Primates > Hominidae > Homo > Homo sapiens. The sequence continues at coordinate 119,255,842 of NC_000005.10, forward strand.
AGGTGCTGTTGGTTGGGGGGCATGGTGAGAGTGAGATCAGCCTTTTCAATTACATGGGAGCTGGGTGAGGCCTGTAACTGCCAGCTTTCCCACACTTCCCTGACAACCTGCATGACACAGCAGAGACAGCCATAATCCTCCTGGGAACATAACTCCATTGACCTGGGAGCCACACCCCCATCCCCAACAGCCACCACAGCAAGCCCCGCCCAAGGAGAGTCTGAACTCAGACACGCCTAACCCTGCCCTTACCTGATGGTCCTTCCCTACCCAACCTGGTAGCTAAAGACAAAGGTCATATTCTCTTGGGAGTTCCAGGGCCCTGCCCACTGGCTGATCCTCCTCCATACTACCACAGCTGATGCTCTTTTGATAGATAGCACCACCTCCTGGTAAGAGGTCAACCAGCAGAAAACTAGTGCATTAAACAACTACAACTAAAGACACTCAGAGTCCATTTCACTCATCTGCCACCTCTACAAAAGCAGGTACTGGTATCCATGGCTGACAGACCTGAAGATGATTCACATCACAGGACTCTGTGCAGACACCCCCCAGTAGCAGCCCAGAGCCTGGCAGCCCTGCTGAGTGGCTAGATCCAGAAGAGAAATAACAATTACTACAATTTGGCTCTCAGGAAGCCACATCCCTAGGAAAAGGGGGAGAGTACTACATCAAGGGAGCACCTCATGGGACAAAAGAACCTGAATGGCAGCCTTGAGCCCCAGATTTTCCCTCTGACATAGCCTACCCAAATGAGAAGGAAACAGAAAAACAATTGTAATGTGACAAATTAAGTTTCGTCAACACCCCCCAAAAATCACACTAGCTCACCAGCAATGGATCCAAACCAAGACGAAATCCCTGAATTGCCAGAAAAAGAATTCAGAAGGTCAATTATTAAGCTAATCAAGGAGTCACCAGAGAAATGTGAAGTCCAACTTAAGGAAATAAAAAAAATGACACAAGATATGAGGGGAAAAATCAGTATGTATAATTGTGTCAATTAAAAACAATAAAAGCATAAAAGAAAAAAGACTCAGAAATGACACATAATGGAATTAATAGAAAAGGGCTGTAAAACAGCTATTGTAAGTATGCACAAGATCTGAGGAAAAACATTAATGTAATGAAAGCAGATGGTAGAACTATGTTGAACTTTTAGAGATGAAAAATACAATATCTGAAGTAATTCACTGGATGGGCTTAATTCTAAAACACTTTTGAAGAGAAGATCAGAGAATTTAAAGACATGGCAAGTGAAGCTATTCAAGAGAAAGCAAACATAATAAAAAAAAATTAGAAAAAATACAAGAGAGCAAGGAACACTGATTAATTAATGATGCTATAATACCAAGTGGTATGATACATCTACTTAGAGTCCCAGGAGAATGAAAATAAGAGGAAGAAAAAATACTTTAAAAAATAGCTTTAAAATTTTCCAAACTTGATGAAAACTATAAACCTGAAGATACAGGAAACTCAAAAACCCATAGTTGAGACAAGGTCTGGCTCTATTGCCCAGGCTGGAGTGCAGTGGCATGATCTCAGCTCACTGCAGCCTCCATCTCCCAGGCTCAAGTGATCCTCCCACCTCAGCCTCCTGAGTAGCTGGCACTACAGGCACACACCACCACGCCTGGCTATTTTTTTTTTTTTTTTTGTATTTTTAGTAGAAATGGGTTCTCGCCAGTTGCCCAGGTTGATCTCGAACTCTTGAGCTCAAGCGATCTGCCCACCTCAGCCTCCCAAAGTGCTGAGATTACAGGTGTGAGCCACCGTGCCTGGCCTCCATAACTGGATTAACACACATACATACCGCCATGATACCTCATAATGGCATTGCTGAAAATCAGTGATAATGAGGAAATGATAAATGTAGCCAGAGAAAGCAATATATTAGGCAACGAAAAACAATATAAACCAGTCTTTTCTCAGAAATTATGCAAGTCAGAAGACAATGGAACAATACCTTTAAAGTGCTGAGGAAACAACAAAGACAAACAAAAAATCTATACCCAGCAAAAATATCCTTCAAACATGAGGGCAAAACAAAGCCCTTTTAGACAAAAGAAACTAGTGAATTTGTAATTTGTTGCCAATGCATCTGAACTACAAGAAATACAAAAGGATGTTTTTTAAAGATTCAATGCTATTCCTGTCAAACTACCAATGACATTCTTCACAAAACTAGAAAAAAACTATTTTAAAATTCATGTAGAACCAAAAAAGAGCCCAAATAGCCATGGAAATCCTAATCAAAAAGAAGAAAACTGGAGGCATCACATTACCTGACTTCAAACTATATCACAGGGCTACAGTAACCAGAACAGGGGAAAGGAAAGGACTTCCCATCAATAAATGGTGCTGGGATAACTGGCTAGCTATATGCAGAAGATTGAAGCTGGACCCCTTCCTTACACCATATACAAAAATTAACTCAAGATGGATTAAAGACTTACATGTAAAAATCAAAACTATAAAAACCCTGGAAGACAACCTAGGCAATACCATCCTGGATATAGGAATGGGCAAAGATTTTATGACAAAGACACCAAGAAGCAATTGCAACAAAAGCAAGTATTAACAACAGTGATCTAATTAAACTTAAGAGCTTCTGCACAGCAAAAGAAACTATCCACAGAGCAAACAGACAACCTATAGAATGGGAGAAAATATTTGCAAACTAGGCATCTGACAAAGGTCTAATATCCAGGATCTATAAGGAACTTCAACAGATTTACAAGAGAAAGACAAACAACCCCATTAAAAAGTGAGCAAAGGACATGAACAGACACTTTGCAAAAGAAGACATACATGAAGCCAACAAGCATATGAGAAAAGCTCAAAATCACTGATCATTTGAGAAATGCAAATCAAAACCACAATGGGATACTATTATCATTTTTTGACTTTTTAATAAAATCAAAAAACAACATGCTGGCAATGTTGCAGAGAAAAGGGAACACTCAGACACTGTTGGTGGAAGTGTAAATTAGTTCAACCATTGTGGAAAGCAGTGTGGCGATTCCTCAGTGAGCTAAAAATGAACTATCATTTGACCAGGCAGTCCTATTACTGGGTATATACCCAGAGAAATGTAAATCATTCTACCATAAAGACACATGCACATGTATTCACAGCATGTGAATTATTCACGCAGCAGCATTATTCACAATAGCAAAGACATGGAACCAACCTACATGCCCATCAATGACAGAATGGATAAAGAAAATGTGGTATACATACGCCATGGAATATCATGCAGTCATAAAAAAGAATGAGATTGTGTCTTTTGTGGGAACATGAATGGAGGAAAAGGCCATTATTCTTAGCAAACTAATGCAGGAACAGAAAACCAAATACTGCATGCTGTCACCTATCAGTGGGAGCTAAATGATGAGAACACGTGGACACGAACGAAGGGAACAACAGACACTGGGGCCTACTTGAGGGTGGAGGGTGGAAAAAAGGAGAGGAGCAGAAAAAATAACTATTGTACCTGAGTGATGAAATAATCTGTACAACAAACTCCTGTGACACAAGTCTGCCTATATAACAAACCTGCACAGGTACCCCTGAACCTAAAATGAAAGTTAAAAAGGAAATGTTAAAGTACAGTGGCACGATCTTGGCTCACTGCAACTCTGCCTCCTGTCTTCAAGCGATTCTTCTGCCTCAGCATCCTGAGTAGCGGGGACTACAGGCACGCGTCACCACGCCCGGCTAATTTTTGTATTTCTAGTATAGACGGGGTTTCACCATATTGGCCACACTGGTCTCGAACTCCTGACCTCCTGATTTGCCTGCCTCAGCCTCCCAAAGTGCTAGGATTACAGGCGTAAGCCACCGTGCCTGGCCAAGAGTTCCTTTTTTTAAGGAGTCCAATTTTTTTAAAAAAGAAAATTAAAAAAGGAATTTCTTCAGGCTAAAGGCTAAAAGGAATACCTGATGGAAACTTGGATCTACAGTAAAAATTAAGAGTCCCAAATATACTAAATAAGTGAGCATATATTTTTAAAACTTTTCTTCTGTTTTAACTTTTTCAAAAGATGGCTGGGCATCATGGCTGGAACTGGAACCCAGGAGGCAGAGGTTGCAGTGAGCTGAGATTGCGCCACTGCAGTCCAGCCTGGGTGACAGAGCGAGACTCCATCTAAAAAAAAAAAAAAAAAAAAAAAAAAAAATGAATGTGTGTGTATATATATATATACACATATATATATTTTTATATTTTATATAAATATAAATTTATATAAATATATATTTATATATTTATATAAATATTTATATATATTTGTTTAAAGCAAAAAATAAATATTTTTATAGTTATTATATGCATAAATAGAAGTAAACTGTATGACAATCATAATACAAAGGGTGTTATTTTTAATATCCTTTATGAAGATGATTGTTATGGTTTGAATTGTGTCCCTGACAAAATTCATATATTGAATCCCTAAGCCCCACTGTGACTGTATTTGGAGATAGGCCTTTAAAGAGGTAATTAAGGTTAAATGAGATCCTACAGGTGGGGCCCTAATTCAATATGACTGATTTCCCTATAAGAACAGAGACTAAAGAGAGAGAGAGACATTTGATATGTGCATGCACAAACCAAAGACCATGTGAGGATACAGCAAGAAAGTGGTCATCTGCAAGCTAAGGAGAGAGGCCTGTAGAGAAACCAGATGTATTACCTCGATCTTGGACTTCCAGCCTTCAGTACTGTGAGAAAATAAATTTCTGTTGTTTAAGCCACCTGGTCTGTTGTAGTGATCATGTAGTTTTTTAGTTGTGCCAGAACAAACCAAAAGCATTTCCACTGGTCAAATTTACAATAATTTGATCATCAAATGTAATGTTAATTAAATGTTAAACTTTGTATGCTGTGTAACCAACTACTCCCTAATTTAGTGGTTTAAAATAGCAACCATTTGATAATGTAATGTTCCATGGCTTTGTGAGTCAGGAATTCAGAGGACTCATCTGGGTAATTCTCCTGCTCCATGTGGCATCAAGTGGGGTGGCCCAGTAATATTCAGCAGGCAGCATAGCTAGTCTGGAGTGCCAAAGACAGGTTTACTAACACACCTTGGAGGGCATGACCAGAAGTATGGGCTGAGGCGGAACTCTCCCTCTACATGTAGTTTCAGGGCCTTTCCATACCGTTTCTTCAACAGGGTCCAGACATCTTACATTATGGCTTAGGGCTCCAAGAATAAATGTCCCAAGAGATAGTTGAAGATAACAGTCTCTTAAGGTTGGACCTAGAAACTTGCACAATGTCATTTCTATCATATTTTATTGGTCAAAACTTCACAGAGCCCATCCAGCTTTAAGAGGGGAGGCCGTACCCTCCATCTCTGATGGGTAAAAGTGTCAAAGAACTAGTTGTGTCCACTTAAAATCTACCACAGTCCATCCTCTGTCCATAAATTATTTATGTTTCTCTTACATATAAAATAAACTCCCTCCTTATAAAACTCTAGTAGTTTCATCCTACTACATCATCAGGACATTAGGACCAGACTCAAGCCTCAGGATCCCCATTATTTAAATCAGGTCCAAGTATCTATTAGGCTTTTTTTTTTTTGAGACTCAGTCTCAACGCCCAAGCTGGAGTGCAGTGGTGGGATCTCGGCTCACTGCAACCTCTGCCTCCTGGGTTCAAGCGATTCTCCTATCTCAGCCTCCTGAGTAGCTGGAATTACAGGTGCCCGCTACCACGCCTGGCTAATTTTTGTATTTTCGTAGAGATGGGGTTTCGCCAAGTTGGCCAGACTGGTGTCGAACTCCTCACCTCAAGTAATCCGCCCACCTTGGCCTGCCAAAGTGCTGGGATTGCAGGCCTAAGCCACTGTGCCCGGCCTCTACTAGGCTTCTTAAGTGAGGTTTTAAAAGTATGATACCTTTCATTCTGAAGACCGGTGAACTAAAGAGACAAATTGTGTGCCTCCTACACACCAAGCATACAGTGATGAAACAAAGAAGAGCTCTCTCCCATTCAAAAAGAAGGAAACATTAGAATTACATAGCAGTCCCTGGTCCATAGAGATTCTAAAATTTAGATAGGCACTTGTTGCCAGTTCCTTAAATAACCCTTTTCCCTGGGAGTTACTCTCCACAGATCTTGGCTCCTCCCTCTGGGCTTCCCACCACCCTATCCCCACTCCCAGTCATTCTTCCTTTTCCATAAAAGTGGACCACGGTTTCAACTGATTAGTCTTCTCAGCTTGATTTCTGGCCATAGAAGTTTGAAGGTTGAAAGGCTTCTTTAAATTTTATGTGGTTCCTGTGTTTTACAGTTCAATCTAGTAAAATTCTTTTTAAAACTTTGTGGATTTCTTATATACTGAATTATAAACCACTCCACTTGACAAAAGCCACACCAGTATTTTTTTTTTTCTGAGACAGGCTATTCTTTACCTTGGGCCACCTGTGAGATTGCTGTGGTGTACCACCTTCAGATTCTTAGAAATCCTAGTGTCTCACAGAAAAGGTCTACATGGCACACCCTTAAATCCTTCTGAGATCTTAACAAAGGGAATAACAACTAAAATCTCGGCTATATTTTTACTTTGAGATCTTTTTTTTGTGGAGACGGAGTCTCGCTCTGTCACCCAGGCTGGAGTGCAGTGGGCGCGATCTCGGCTGACTGCAAGCTCCAGCCTCCCAGGTTCACGCCATTCTTCTCAGCCTCCTGAGTAGCTGGGACTACAGGCGCCCACCACCATGCCCAGCTAATTTTTTGTATTTTTAGTAGAGACGGGGTTTCACTGTGTTAGCCAGGATGGTCTCGATCTCCTGACCTTGGGATCCGCCTGCCTCGGCCTCCCAAAGTGCTGGGATTACAGGCGTGAGCCACCGTGCCTGGCTGAGGTAATTTTTAATCCACAACGATGTTGAATAAATTTTTTAAGTCCAGGAGACCATTGCTATGAAGAGTGAGAACTCATACATGATAGTAAGCAGTATACCAACTCTTTACCCTGAGGATTGGTATTTATAATGAAAGAAGTAAGGCTATTGAAGGAGAACAACATGGAAGTCAAAATCTACTAGGTAAGGGTGCTGTGCTTGAAGCAATACAGGACTAAGATGGGAACTTGTCTTGTTTAAAATCAAGTAGAGCATTCCCAACGTGGACTAGCATTTGGTGAGTAGAGGTATACAAGATAGCTCTGTCAATAGAGCCAGGACTTTAAGCTATATTTATTTATTTTAAAAGGCCTTAAAAGGAGCTGAAAAAGTAAAATTGTGTCTTCAAGAACAAGACAAAACAAAACTGGTCATTGTGGTATTTGGGATAGATTCACATGAGATTTGAGACGGTCCAAAAGGAGAAAATAGTTCAGGTGGGGAAGAACCCACGCAGAGAAACTAATGGTGCAATCATAGAAAAATAAGGATTCCGGCTAGAGACAACACTATAATTCCTAAGAATGTCTTAAGGGGTGGCCAATTAGAAACACACAAAGAACTTGGTTTCATGGGGAGTGTGGCTGACCCAATTGGGGACAGTTGTAGATAAAGTCACATTTTGAAGCAGCCTATAGTCTAGCAAGCTTTCTTTGGAAGAGATGTGTTTTTGTGCCCACGTTATCATAGGAGGTAAATAATTCTGCTTAAAGAGTGAAAAATACTCTAAAATGGAGGTACAGTCACTAGTGATATGTAATAGCCATGAGAGGCGATTGAGGTCTATTAAAGCAATGGGAAAAGATCACTATCTTAAAACCTTGATTCTTATTCTATCCCAGAGTTTCTATTATTTAATAGAAAAAAAAACTATACTCTTCATCTCACTCATCTGGTTACTTTGAGGACAAGATAAGATTTTATGATAATCCTCCAAAAATAAATAGGACTTGAAAGATAGAGTTGAAACAGTGGACAATTAAAGAGTAATTTGGAAGAATGGTGAAATTACAGCCATGCTTTGAATCAGGCGGGTTCACTGGCACATTCCCACAAAGATGTGGTTAAGGCACAAAGGCTACATAAACCTTTATGTGGGCTGCATTTAAGTTGCACATCTTTGCTTCAGTACTTTGCAGCTTGCTGGAAAATGTTAAACCTATCTTTCCCTTTTCTCTTACTTTTGCCCATAGTATCCTCCTCTGCTTGGCGAACTCCAGTTCATCCTTTTAACTCAAATGGATGGAACCTCCTTTGTGAAATCTTCCCCATTTTCCCAGGGAATGTGAGCTACTTCTTTTCTCTCCTCCCAGACTATTTGTGCATACATTTTTTATTGCATGTATCACAGTGCCACACAATTATTTCCTTACACTCAAAAAGAAGATGCTTTCTTCTGAGTAAGCAGAGTAGGGGCTTGGAGGAAAAGAGAAGAGTACACAAGAAAACTGGGTTAGAAGATTTTTTAAAACTTCACAACTTTCTCTGGAGTTAGTTTCCTTACCTTCAGCTGGGCAGAAACAAAAATAGAAGGCATGCACAGAGGTATTTTTGGCATGCAGCTACAGTAACAGCTATCTCTACTTCATGTGATTTATGGAGTTTGGGGGTTTTTGGGTCCGGGAGGATTCATCAATTTAGATGTAGCTACAATTATTTTAGAATATATTTAGCCATTGAGTAATGGACTAGTTATTAGGAGCTTCTAGATTCCAATGTGTTTTATTGGCCCCAAATTGGAAACATGCAAGAGATAGCTTGAAAAGGAAATGACCCAATTATCTATTGGCCCAAATAAGACAGCAAAGTTAGTTATCTTGCTAATTTCTAAACATCATCACACTATGAAATAAGGCAGAGAGGAAAAAAAGCCCTATTCAATTTCATTAGTAACAAAATGATGAATTGATTTTCAATGCAAAGGACCCCAGGGTTGCAAGTCACATAACCTGAGCATGCCCACATAAACCAAGTGTTCCCAATTCATGACCCCGGAGCCAACCACAGCAGAATGTAAGTACTCAGATTGAAGAATGGGAATGGAATTAAGAAGTGAGGGGTACTGTGTTTTGCTGCAGTATGGATTTAAGAGCCAAGGACCCAGCATCACCTCTTTGCATGACCCAATCAGATCATGCCTCCTTGCATTGTTCTGTCTCTCTCACAGTTATCCTCTGCCTATAAACCCTCCCTCCAGACCCCAGCCTGGGGAGACAGATTTGAGCATTGCATCCTATCACCTTGCCAGTCAACTTGCAATAAAGCTTTCTCATTTTTCAAAAGCCAGTGCCATAGAATTGTTTTCTAAACACATTGGGCGGTGAGCTCACTGATAGGATGCAAGTTGCCTAAGATTTCAGGGGTGCCCCACTCTCCATTCCTCCCCAAAAGTAAACACTGAGACAGTGGTCACTCTGCATTGTTTCTACCATTAGAGTCTCTCGTCTCTTAAGTTTAGATGGTTCTAGAAAGTGGATCATGCTGAGAGAGTGGGACCTCCATGTAGAATTTTAAATTTTGTATTATTTTTTAAATTTTAGCATTTTTATGTTTTGCAGGGGAAGTACAGAAATGAAAGATTGAGGATAAAAGTGAATGAATAGTTAATGGATATGGCCTCTGTAGATAGAAGAAAGTGATCATCGAGGACCCAGAGAACTGCTGAATGAGTTTGCTCTGATCCATTGAGACAAGAAGAAAGGAAGTCAAGATGAATGTGGATGCAGAGAGCATTTTGGGTGGCTGGGGCATGATGTCAAGAAACTTCTCTATTGATGATCTCTAAATTTCCTATGAACTAGGAAGTGAAATCATATATCAAGAGAGTGGGAAAAATGTCTTGAGGACATGGTAAAAAGATTAAACCCCTTCTCCTTCCCATCCATGATGCTGGAGGATATGCAGGCTGCAGGATGGCTTAGTGGAGACTTGAGGTCATAAATCTGTAGTGGTACCAAGTTTCACACTTTTTGGTTGTTAAGTAGTCCATATAAAAAATGTGGATGGCTAAAAAGATTTGCCAGGTGGGTACAGGGAAAGGACAATGGGATAAAGCAAGGGAGTGACTGATGTGTTGACTCTCGGAGTTAGGCTGGATAGGAAAAGAGGCTGAGTGGAAGAAATGCAAATCTAGATCAGATAAAAGAAGATTGTGGGGATCAAGGGTGGGAGGTTGTAGTTGGGGTATAGAATGTCAGAGATACAGATAATAAAGGTAGAGGTGGCTCTGAGGGTGCTGCTACAGAGTGCAGCCGGGGACAAGGGAGACTAAAATCAAGCAATGGTGAAAGTTACTGGGGTTGAGGTTTCAAACACCATGACATCCTGGGTGACTCTCACAGCAATCATGCAGATGGAGCTTCTCCTTCTATCTCACACAGTAGAAGCTAAGTCTCATTAAGGTTTTGGGCTTTGCCCAGAGTCATCCAGCTTACACAAGGCAGTTCCAGTATTAGAATTCTCAATTGGTGGTAACAAATATCACTATCCATGGGCATTCAGAGATAGTTTCTGATTATTTGGGGATGGGAGAGGTTGGGTGTCTACAAACCCTTTTAATCCTTTAAATTCTAGTTTAGTTGCATTACTGCAGAATCCAGAGGTATTTAGAAAGTACCTATCTTTGTCCTTCTTTCCACTGAATGACACCACCAACGACTGACCCTGCCAGTCCTGAAACCCTTTAAATCTACCTACATGACTCACCTTCCTTCACTCCCTCCATCCCCTCAATCTCCAGGCTTTTATAAGTCTTGAATGCATATTCTCCTTTCCATCCACATAGTTTAGGCCCTCAGCATCTGTATTAGTTTTCTACTATTGCCATAGCAAATGATCACAAATTTAGGGGTTTAAAATAACACAAATGTATTACTTTACAGTTCTGTAGGCCATAAATCAGTATTAGTCTCACCAGGATAAAATTAAGGTGTCAGTAGAGCTCAATCACTTTCTGAAGACTCTAAGGGAGGATCCATTTCCTTGCTCATTTAGGTTATTGGCAGAATTCAGTTTCTGCTGTTGTAGGACTGTGGAAGAAAAACAAGTCTAGACCAGATAAAGAAAGTGAATTTTTTGTTGGCTGTCAGCTAAGGTCCTTTCCCAGCTCCTGGAGGTTATCCACAGTCCTTGGTTCGTGGTTCAGGTTGAGTCCCTCTCACACTTTGAATCTCTTTGACCCACTCTTCTTCCATTTTAGGGGATTCATGTGATTAGATTGGGCTCACTGAAATAATCCAGGATAATCCCCCATCTCAATGGCATCAATCTTAATCACACCTGCAAAATTTCTTTATTCTTTTTTTTCCCATGACCGAATGAGAAGGTAACACCTGCAAAAATTCTTTTGCCATGTAAGATAACATATTTACAGGTTCCAGGGATTAAGAAGTGGACCTCTTTCTGTAACTCTACTCATTCTGCCTACTGAAGTATCTCACCGACATATTTCAATATTTCCTAAGCAAGTTTCTTGGTTCTGGGATCTTCTATGTTTCCAGATTAAACTTTCTAGAACCACACCTGACATATCTCCTGTGCTTAAAACCCTTCTGGCTTCCTACCAATCAAAGGTCAAATTAATGTTGTTTAGTTTCTATAGGAAAACAGCCCTTGAGTTTGGTCCTGTTTTACTGTTTTAGCTTTATTCCGGCCACCATTCCACTTCTCCTCCATCCTTATTCAGGCTTGAAAAAGTTTACTGTGATTCTTCTTCACTTATAAGCTGCCTTTGAAGCTCCCATTTCTTCTTCCAAACCCAGCTCAGACATCACCTACACCAGGAAGATCTCCCTGACGCCCTTCCCCAAAGTTATAACCACAGGACAAGGTCCTCTTTTAAAAACCTCCGTACCTTGTGTATGTTTCTATCTTTTGCATTAAACCCAAATGTGTTGTGATTTTGTCTATTTCACCTATCAAGAGTTTACTTTCCTCTCTCCAAGCCAAACTCAGCCATTTCCCAAACGTGTAACTTTCTTTGGGAAGGCTATTTACTTCACGATGTCTCCCTTTCCCTTTGTAAAACAGGGATAGCGACAGGATCTATATCATAGATTGTTGTAAGGAGTAGAACGGTGACCTACACATATTAAGTTTTACTAGTATTATTAATATTTCCAGCCCTCTGCCCCCCGCTGCCATGTACTAGGTGCTTAATGGATGTTTATTGTATGGATGGATTCATCGTACTCCCACCAAGGTCCCTCGCCCTTGAAAATGGCTACCCCGGGCCAGGGCTCCTCAACAGACTGAAGGTCCAGATCCTACTCCATCCTGGCGGTCTCGGGTGGCCCCTGAGGAGGGCAAGCCTTCTGCTCCACAGGCAAGGACAGTCACAGCTAAGTCCGCGGGGGGCGGCAGAGAGCGAGGGCTTTCCAGGAGCCAATGAGTCTTTAACTCCAAGAGGAAGCCCTGCATTCTCCGCAAATGGAAACCAGGAATCGGGAGCGCGTCAGCTATCGTAGGGTAGACTTAAGGCCCGCAGAAAATTAAAAGCAAAAGAGCAGGCGGAATTCAGGGGCTTTCACGGATCATCATCATAATAGTCAATAATGATGGCAGCAGACACTAACATTCACGCGTTCTTGTTAAGTGCAAGGCACAGTGCAAATGTGTATGGCCCCATTTAACCATCTCAACACACTACGAGGTTGGCGTCTCATTTTTACAACGGAAGAAACTGAGAGGCTCAGGAATACCGTATCCTATGCACATCTCCCAAGAGGGTCCTGTTCTCCAGCGCCCAGCGATCTGGGCCTCGCGGTCCGAGTCCGGCTCCCGGGCCGCCGCCCAGCCCTTCTCCGCGCTCTCCTGCGCCTGGGCCACTTCCGACTCCTGCTGTCCGGTCCCCAGCTCCTCCTCACCCACTCCGCCCCGCCATGCCCCGCCCCAGCCGCTCGGCTCCTCCTTCCCTGCACGCTCCGCCCCCGACCTCCCGGCTCCTCCCCGGCCTGCCCGCCACACCCTTGGTCCCTCCTGCAAGTTCCGCCCCTGGCCTCTGCCTCCTTTTCTCCCGCCGGCTCTAACCCGCGCTTGGCTAAGGTCCGCGGGAACCCGTGAGCCACCGAGAGAGCAGAGAACTCGGCGCCGCCAAACAGCCCAGCTCGCGCTTCAGCGTCCCGGCGCCGTCGCGCCACTCCTCCGAGTAAGTGGCTCCTGGGCGCGCCCGTCCCGCGCACACTCCAGCGCGCCTCTCCCGCCGCTGGGCTGCGGGCTGCTCTCGGGGAGCGCCTCCGGCTCAGAGAGTTTCTGAAGCGAGTGTGAGTGAGTGTGAGTGGGTGCGTTTGAACAACTTGTTTAGGTGGGTGTGCGTACGAGTGTGTGCAGGAGCGCACAGCCTCGGAAACTCCGCGAAATTTTACTCGGTTCCAGTGCCGCACTGAGGATCCAAGACCCCTTTTAGGAACCCTTACCTATTCAGGGCGACCTCTTAACCACCTCCTGCCGTGAGCCTCATTCCTTCCCTCCCTTTGTAACTGGGTTCCCGCTATTTGTCACGTCCTCCTGTAACCGCACATACTGGCGAAAGCACTGCCCGGGTTATCAGGGTGCCCCAGATTGCAGACTGAGATGCTGGCCTGAGATTGTAATCCAACCTTGCATTGTAAAACGGGCAGAGACCAGAGCCCTGCTTTGAGATCATTCGGTGGAGACTTCCTTTGAGGAAGAAAATGTGTGTGTGTGTGTGTATGTGTGTGTGTGTACATGACTGCACATGTCGCACTGGAGCCCTCAGCACCTGCTGCAAAGACACCTGATGAGCGCCCAGGCTCCACGGACTCCTCGCGACTGATAGGCACGTTCAAGACCAGGCTGACCCAACAGGCTTAGGCACCTTGAATATGTTTATTGCTTCAGTGACACTGTATTTCTAAACCAACAGATTTTCGAAAACACAGAAGCTCTAAGTAGAAAAAGCAGTATCCCTAGAGGAATCATGGAAGGAATCAAACAGTAGTTCAGTGCCCAGTGTTGAAACAAGAAAATCCTTGGATTGCTTAAGACTGATAATTCCATCCCTACATAATTATTTTTATGGGGGGAGGTGGGGGTCAGTACTCCCTCAATGCAGGACATATTTCTACATTTAAAAAGTTAATTGGAAGCTATGGTATCATAACAGCAGTATTGTACAAATAGTTTCTTCATCTATAAAATGATTGCCTGGTTGCTGGGGTCCTATCTAATTTTAATAGTCTCTCTGAGTTCTACATTTCAGTTTATTCTTGCTACTTTCTTGCTATGAAAGTAAAATATTCTCCTACTTCCTTGATAATAATCCATTTATGAAATGTTCAAAATCACATTCTGAGTAGAAATTATTCTTCGAGGGTAAGGATAACAAAGCTGTGTGGCCAAAGGAAATAACCAAAAAGGGTAGGCTTTAAGAAGCCATTGTGCATTGGCACATGAAAGGTAAGAGTTGATAAATCACTGTAAGTGCTGCTTATCGCAGCCGATATTTTTATCCTGGTTTGAATCCTGTATTACACAGAAGTGTTTCCACACTGTTTTAACTAAGGAAACATTATACTTTGCAGTGTAAACATATGACTCCATCTCTCTTTAAGGAAAGAAATAATTATCACGTTTGATGAAACACTTAGACACGTTTATTGCCACCGTCTAATTAGATCTGTCATGAGCAGTTAAGTCAGCAAGCTATGGTTGTTGTTGTTTTTAGAGACAGGGTCTTGCTATGTTGTCCAAGGTGGTCTTGAACTCCTGGGCTCAAGTGATCCTCCTGCCTCAGCCTCCTGAGTAACTGGGACTACAGGGGCCCACAAGTAATTGTTAATATTCTAGCTAGTAACACAATTTGCTTTTTTGCAGATTTTTTGGATGCCTTTTGTCCTCCATACACATTAATTGCCTCTGGCATTCACTGCCCATCTTTTCAGTTTTTACTTGTAATCTGAGTAAATAAAGTTTAGGGAAGTAGACTACCACCTACTCCTCTGTAAAATATGAATCCCTTAGATATTGAATGTGTTGTGTTAAGCTCTTTGGATTGACATATGTAGACTTTATAAACCATTATATTAATCTAGATTATGTGATGATTTAAGAATTATTAATAAATCAGTGAATAAAACAAGGTTCTACCAAAAGCATAGTGATCCTGCACAAATGGGCCTTTTAAACACTTTCTTTAAGGGCAACTTTTACTCCGTGTACCTTTTGTTCCAGTGTGTTTAAACTCACCAAGAAAAGTTGGTGTGAGTTGAGAAATCTCATGTTTGTTGTCTCTTAATTTTCTATTTCAGACTATATTGCTAGACATAGTCTTTGTTTACGTGTTGAGCTGTCGTGAGGACAGGCTGTCCTGGGATCCTAAACAGAATAGCAGAAACCTGGGGGTGAACACACTGCAGAGGCCAGGAACAGAGTATTTTATGAGGCCAGTTCTTTGCAATTCTCATTCTGTTGAAATGGAGGAAAGGGTGTGTGGAGAGGAATGATTGCATCCAAACAGTACTAATTAGGAAATGCTGAGTTGGGGGAGGAGTGGATTTCTATGTGACTTACGGCTTGGAGAACTTCACAGAGGTGATCTTTAAAGTTGAGTCTGCCACAGTGCCAGGCACTGCAGAGGTCTCATATTTAATTGATCCAATTAATCCTCTTTTGCAGAAGATAGCCCAATGTGGTAGTAACACCCTTCCTGGAGATTTCATTCATTCTCAGAATTGAGCTTTGATCTACCTCATGTAGAATGGTCCATTCCTCACTGCCTCCATTTATGCGTGATAGCAGTTGAAGGGGCTGAAAATGGGATAACCTCCAGGAGACGGGAGAAGCAGTGATGATAAATAAGGGCCACCTGCTTTTTCACAGAGGGGAAGGGCATAGGGGCTATTAGTACAATTCCAGTGCCAGGGGCATTGACTTTGGCAATGGCGACATGCACAGGGGCCAATCTGGATAACAAAGTGGACAATTTTCCCTGCTTTGGCATTCTCAGGGATCTCTGGCTCTGATACAGAAGTTAAGGGAAGGAGTTGTGTGGTGCCAGATTAACTTTTATCACCTCACCCCTCCTCACACTGCCCACATCCTGCATTTAATACCAAATGCACACAGCAAGAACTCAACAAACACTGAAAAGGCCCTCGTAACACCCAACCTTTATGTTTCCCTCTGGCTAAGAATTTTCTTCCCATACTCTTGTCTCTGGTTTTGATGACTGTGGCCCTGGAGTCTGAGCCAACTGCAGTTTCTAGGCTTCTATACTTCAGTTGTGCTGCCCAGTAGCTGAAAATGAATAATTTGTAGAGGGTAAAAAACAAAAACAGAGAACCATGTTGCAAAATGTAAAGGAGGTCAGTTCATTTTTAGCCTACATTTTGGCCTGAAGAGGAGGAAATGAGCTACAAGTGGAGGGTAGATAATTCTAGAATAGCAGAGCCAAGGGGTATCTTGGAAACCACCTGGTCTATGGCCTTACACCATATGGTTGCTATTCCTCAACTTTGGAGGTGTCCATCTCCTTAAGTCCAGCTTGCAGGAGGAGAGCACCATTCATTCACACAGCAGGCATTTATTGAGCTCCTGCTATGTGCCTGGTACAGCACACCCTTCTCATGTTTACATGAAATCCTTGGGATTTGAGAAGGCAGGTAACTTGCGTAAAGATGTCTGTTGATAAGAAGGAGTCCCTGAAGGTAAGTTGCTAGTGGCAAAAATGGGTTTGGAATTCTGTTGTGTTTCACAAGGGCAGTAGAATGATATTCAAAATATTTGTCTTTCTCAACAATAAGAAACTCAAAAGAAGCACATTTCTGCCAACATCTGTTTCAAATAACCAGTGGTATTACTGAAACAAACCTGATTCCATAGGATTTTGTTTTACATCAGACATAAGTTACCTGAGAATTGTTTGAAAATGTCACAGGCTCAGCAATAATCAAATAATACCCAGCCCATCCTTTTAGACAGCAGTTGTTTTTTCTCTGGAAGCAAGTGTTTATGGTTCAGAACTAAGGTAGCTGAGGTTCAGAACCAGCTGCAAAGCTGGGTGTGTGCCAAAAAGGTTGTTTTCCTAGGCTTGCCCTTTTCCGTATAGGACAAGGGGGATTAAAAACCAACATGGTGATGTTTCTGTCAAGGTGACGGGGGGCTAGGTGTACAGATCTTTTCCACTAAAAACAAGGGTTGCGGGCAGGTGGTCACAGGATTGAGACTCCAGGCTAACTCGTAAACACCTCTGGGTTCGTTTCTTTAATAACAGAATGGAATTAAGTTCAAAATTCCACTTGTAGTTTCCTTAAACATTGGGAATAAAGATGACTTTAGTCAAGAAGTAGTTGGTCCAAATGACTTTGCTGGAATCAGCAGCTCATGTCTCAGCCCCTGCTGGCTGTGTGGCTTTGGACAATCTACTTAGCTCTCTGAGCCTGTTTCTTCACCAGAGTAAAAACTGGGGATAGTATTTATATTATAGGATTGTTGTGCAGATTAAGCCAGATGTTCCTCTCCTGTATCAGTGTGCAGAAGGCACCCATTAAGTGGAGGACTTAGTTAGATTGGCCAAATAGGTCTCATTCCAGTAAGTGTTAGTACTGAGCCACAGTGGAGTAGAGAGGGAAAGTAGTAACTTGTGTCATATGTGATTTTAGCATGAATTCTTTTTTCCTTTAACAATGCCAGAGGAGCCCAGAGAATGGGGTGAATGTAGCACAACTTCAGTGATTGCTAGCTGCAGGGTCACATGATTATATAAGGGAAATGTCACCGCTGCTGCCAAAGATAAGTGAGCCAGAGCAGGGCATTCGAGTTTTATGTGCCTGAGAACGAAGACGAGCCATAGTACCCATTAAGCTTCTCTGCATGAGGGAAGCTTTCAAAAGACCTATTACAGTTAAATTGTGAGCAGTGGGTTGGCCTTTCACAACTCCCATGTTTAAAACAGGTAGTGAATGAAACCAGATTATTTAAGACAGACAGCTGCCCTTGGTGTTGCAAAGGGAATCGGGCTGGCATGTCTTCAGGGGAAGTTGCGTGAGGTCCGGGAGGCCCAGGGCAGGGACCGCATCTGCAGGATTAGGCACCGGGGCAAGGTCTTTTGGGAACACAGTACTCAGCAAGGCACACAGTAGACTCTTGGATATTTTAAAGGAGCCAAAAAGTAAGCAACAGCTCACTCTGTCAATACCCTCTCTAAGCCTGGCTCTTACTCCTTCAACCCAAATTCATTTAGCTCAAGCCTTCCTCATTCCTAACTCTTATTTATTACTCTTATTTATCATTTGTTTAACAAAATGAGGTTTTTTGTTTGTTTGTTTGTTTGGTTTTACAACATGGCTGTCAACAAAAATAGGGGAGACAGAGATTGTGGTGTGTGCTATGTAGACCTAACTACACTCGTCTTTCCTGTCCTGAGCTCTCTTCTGACTGTGTTCAGACCCTCACACACATGCAGACACGAAAAAAAATGCCAGTCTTCTGAGAAAAAAATGCATGGACAGTGTTGGCAACAGTGCAAGTTTCAGAACAAACTTTGGTCACGTAAATCTTTGGGAAGTAAGTCCAGTACCTCATTCCATCATTCTGTGGTCAGGAAACTACTCTTTTATTTTTCCTTCTTCACTCTTTAAAGGGTTGAGATTGTTTTCTGGAAAATGGCAGGTGTTTGGTTAAATACTGTTTTGCTACACTTGAAGGGCAGAGCAGTCCTCACTTAGTGATGGAATTCCTTTTGCCTTGAGGCAGAATTAGGCTGCTAGTGACTCATGAGGTATACCTGGAAGAGGTGAGTGAACTCAGGCCTTCCCAACATCCGGTGATGACCTCTGTTTGCACACACGTAGCCACTTTGCTCCTTTGCTTTTATGACCTGGAATGACTGATAGTGCCTGAAGGAACAGGCTGCTATTACTTTTCAAGGTAAGAGACCCTGTGTAAATAGGGAGCCTCCTGAGGAAGCAAGGATTCCCTGCCCTGTGTACCTGTGGTGCTTATCACCTCCCTGGCAGGGAAGCTCTGCCCAGGTAGGGTAGTTTGAGAACATCATTATCTGGGCAGCTACAAAAGTGATACACCAAATGAAACTTTGAACTTATCCAATGTGCTGTATTTTAGGGCTCATCTGGGACTATTCCTGTGAACCTGACTGTTAAGTCAGAATCACCAGTGAAGCTTGATGCAAATTGAGAACCCCTAGCCTGGGAGACTTATGTGACTCATTTTCCTGTCTTGTTCTAGAAAGAAGCTTATTCAGGCAGCAGCTAGCTGTAGGGATTTTTTTTTAATTTTTTTTTTTTTTTTGGCAGTGGAAAGAGCTCTTGAAAGTACAGAGTGGCTTTAAAGTTTAAAGAAGATTAAAATGAACACAACATATAAAATAAACACAACATATAAAATGAACACCTATGTACCCATCTTAAGAAATAACAAAGTTGTTTTTATAGGTCTTCACTGGGTGGAAAAATATTAACAAGCAACCAGGTCAAGAACAAAAAATAACAACCAAAACAATTAGTGGTGTCCCACAAATAGATCCAGAAATTGAAGGCCATGAAACAGAGACATTGGAGAGTCTGCCCAGTGTTCATTAGTTGAAAATCTAGACTTGAGTCACCAACAATGCTGACATCATAAATCCAGTATGCCAGCTGACTTAAGGATAACTCAGGTGGTTTGTAGATACTGAACTGGGATGGGCATCCTTATTTCAACAGCGGCGCATGTTTGGAAGAGCACGGGCCCAACTCAGGACTCGGAGTTGCCAAGCGGACCGTTTCCCCTAACCCAGGCCTGTTTCCTGTCCTGAGGTCCTGGTACCTCCAGGAATCTATTCTGTTCTCAGAGTGTCCCTCTCATTTTGTAATGGTAGAAAATGAGAAAATGAAAAACAGACCATTTTTTTCTTTGAAGCCATGTTCTGTAACTTCCTCCTGCTTCTTTTGCATTTTGGGTTTTGCCAGTACTTGAGACTTCCCTTTTTCTGAATTTTAGTCAGTTTTTAATTTATCATTCTAATAGGGGCCATGGAAATTAGAATAATAAAGGTTTGCTACTGATCATAACATAGTATTAATTTTAGTAGATTGACAGCTTTTTTTTTCCCCTCTAGATTTAAATATTTGAACAGAGAATAACAGGTTATGAAACTGACTAATTCAGGTCTGGCCTCTGCCTTCCTCTGTAGTCAGCCATCCCCCAGGTTTGCTGCCCTGGAGTTGAGCACACCAGGGCCTTTCAGCCTTACCATTAGGGAAATGAGGCAGATAGAGGAGGTTGGGCAGTGACTTGCGGAGACAGGTGGCAGGGGCAGAGGATTAACCACCCAAGCCCAACAAGCATATCCACACTGAATTTTACGCTTTAATCAGTCTTTCGTTAAGTTCTGTTTTTTTTTTTTTCTTTTTTTTGAGTTGGAGTCTTGCTCTGTCTCCCAGGCTGAAGTGCAGTGGTGCAAACTTGGCTCACTGCAACCTCTAACTCCCGGGTTCAAGCGAAGCTCCTACCTCAGCCTCCCGAGTAGCTGGGATTACAGGCAAACACCACCACATCTGGCTAATTTTTGTATTTTTAGTAGAGACAGGGTTTCACCATGTTGGCCAGGCTGGTCTCGAACTCCTGACCTCAAGTGATCCACCTGCCTTGGCCTCCCAAAGTGTTGGGATTACAGGCTTGAGCCACCGCACCTGGCCTGTAAGTTCTGTTTTTTTTATGGTTGCCTTTAGTGATGATAGTGTTCTATATAAGTGTATTAGTTTTTAAGGGCTGCCATAACAAAATACCACAGACTGGTGGCTTAAACAACAGAAATTTATATTCTCACAGTTCTGGAGACTGGAAGTTCAAGATCAAGACGTCAACAGGTTTGATTTCCCTGAGGCCTCCCTCCTTGCCTTTCAGATGGCCACATTTCTGCTGTATTCTCACAAGAACATTTCTCTGTGCACAACCCTGGTGTCTCTCCCTCTTCATAGAGTGCCAGTCATATTAGATTAGGGTCCCACCCTTATGATCTTATTTAACCTTAATTGTTTATTAAAGCCTGTCTCCAAACACAGCCATACTAGAGATCAGGGTTTCAGTATATGAATTTGGGTGGTACATTTCAGTCTATAACAATCGCCTTTATAAAGGATATTAGTTGTCCTCCTTTACACAGGGAGGATCTTTTCAGGACCTGCAGTCTATGCCTGAAACTGCACATAGTACTGAACCCTATATAAGCTATATTTTTTCCTATACATATGTACCTATGATAAAATTTAATTTATAATTTAAGCACAGTAAGAGATTAACCATAATACCGAATAATAAAATAGAACAATTATAACAATATATTGTAATAAGATTTATATAAAAATGATCTTTCTGTCTTCACTTTCTCTCAAAATATCTTGTATACTGCACTCACCTGTTTTCAGACTGCATGGTCTGTGGTCACACTGCAACTGTGGAAACCGAGACCATAGATACGGGGGACTACTGAGGAGACCACACCGTTTGTGTTGTGATTGTCATATGGTTTATTTCTGTATCTATGTATAATCCCTACAAATTATAGTTACTTTTTTCTTTAAACAATGATCTTTTGAAGAAATTAAAACAGGAGAAAAATACGCATTTACTGTGTGTGGGGCTTTTGATTTTTTAGTGTAGACACAAGTTTCCATCAGGGATTTTTTTTTTGTCCTTCAGCCTGAAGAATAAAAATTTTTAATATTATAGCTCACGTCTACTGGCCACAGATCCTCTCAGCTTGTTGTTTGTGCGCACACTTGGCGTCTGTGTGTCCAGCTCTCCTCTTATAAGGATACCAATCAAATTGGATTGGGGACCACCTTAAGACTAATTTTAACTGAGTCACCTCTTTAAACATTCTGTTTCCAAATGCAGTTGCTTTCTGAGATATTGGGAGTTAAGTCTTCAGCATATGAACTTTTTGGTGTTTCTTAGTCTGTTTGTACTGCTGTAACAAAATATCTGAGACTGGGTAATTTGTAAAGAACAGAAATTTATTTTCCACAGTTCTGGGGGCTGGGAATTCAAGATCAGGGCACCCACAGATTCAGTGTCTGGTGAGGGCAGCTCTGGGCTTCCAAGAGGGTGCTTTCTTGCTGTGTCCTCACATGGTAGATGAGATGGGAGGTGGAGGGGCAAAAGGCACTGGGGTACACCTTTCAACATCTTTTGTAAAAGCACTAATCCACTCATAAGGGTGGAGCCCTTATGACTTAATCACTTCTAACCACCTCTTAATACCACCACCTTGGGGTTTAGGTTTCAACATATGAATTTTGAGGGGAGATACACCTTCAGACCATAGCAGGAGGGACACAATTCAGATCATAACAATCGGGATGTTTTAGACTGCAATTAAGCAAATGCCAATGAACAGTGATTTGAATAGTAAAGACATTAAATTGTCTTATATGAAGGGCAGTCTGGGATTGGGTAGATTCAGGATTGGATCCTTGGCTAAACAGTGTCATCAGGGACCAGTTCTATCTATTCTCATCCTTAGCATGTTACATTTTTATCTGCAGACTTGCCTCTTTGTGGGCGGAAATAGCTTTCTCAGCAACAGGTATCACAGGTTCCTGCCAACCTCTTTTTAAGACAGGAAGGGGGAGAGAGAGAGAGAGAGAGAGAGAGTGTGTGTGTGTGTGTGTGTGTGTGTGTGTGTGTGTGTGTGTGTGAAGGGTGGACACAGAGGGCAGCAATAAATTGCTTCTCTAGTAGTGTCTATCCCTTTTCATCCGGGAGTAAAATCTTTCCTGGAGCCTCTTTAAGCCTCATTGGCCAGAACTGAGTCACAGCCTTAAGGGAAGCTGTGAAAGTGAGTATTGGGCATTGAGGGAGAACCTCTATTGTGGGAGGTTGGCTGTGCCCATAGGGGAAGGGGAGGGGCATGGTTACAGGGTGGACAAGAAGCATCTGTACTAACCCTGGGCTCCCATTCCCTAAAGGCCAGTTACAGCCATCAGTATTCCTGATACTAATAATCCCAGGTTTCATTGGAGTTAAAACTAACCACCCATGATGGTAGTTGGGAGGAGAAAACCAAATAATAATATGGAAGGTGTTGAAAATCACATATACATAATTACTACTAGCAGTGACTTTTTCTTATTCTTTTTCATTTTAAAACTGACTGGAAGTATCTTGAAGCAGTGATTTTTTGATGTTAAAGGTCATGGGTTTATAAAATAGCACTACTTACTTTGGGGAAAGCATCCTACATTCCAGCCAGAAAGGTATCCATCATATAGAGAATTCCTTAATTTTCCAGAAATGTTTACCATCCCAGTAATCATGGCAAACACTTGTTGAGTACGTAGGGTGGGCCAGCAGGCACTGTGCTGAGTGCTTTATACACATTATTTAATTTCATCTTCAGGAGGAATCTATGAGAAAGATACTATTGTTAAGCCTTGTTTGCAGATAAGGAATTGAGGCTTAAGGAGGTTAAGTAACATGCTGTGAATGCCTGGCCACGCTGGGATTTACACTCTGGTGGCTCAGCTGCCCTCCCATACTTGTGCTACAGGGTGTTACTCTTCAATAATACTGCCACAAACACCCTCTTTTTCTGTGAACTCTCAAAGGCTGTTGCCTCTCCAACCAGTCTGGTTCTGCTACAAAGCTTGTCTCCATGTTTCATTCTTCACATTTTGTTGTTTTTAATAGTAGAAGGATGAACCATGGTGGTGTGCAGAGCTGGTCATGCCATACCTCATGGAGTGTGAGATGTGTCATCTTGTATTTGTGAGAACCCAATGCCCGACTGTTCATTGCAATTCTGGTAGATATCTAAGAGGTTATTTTGTTATTTTATTTTTTTTATTTATTATATGTGTTTGTTAGAGATAGGGTCTTGCTCTGTTGCCCAGGCTGGAGTGCAATGGCTATTCACAGGCACAATCATAGCACACTACAACCTCAAACTCTTGGCTTCAAGCAGTTCTCTCGCCTCAACCTTTTGTGTAGCTGGGACTACAGGTGCATGCCACCACACCCAACTCTAGGAAGTCATTTTGAATTGAGATTGCTCTTGAGGTATTTTGGAGCATGTCATTTGTTATATGCTTTTAAAAATAATTTAAAGTGTTATAAGGCAAATTTTAATTAAACAGTGTACATTCAGTTATTTACCTTCAAAGTGAAAAGTTCATTGAAACAGTGTTCGTAAGATGCTGGTTCCTGTCTGATTTATTACTGGGTCCCTACACTTTTCCACCTAGCACTGAGAGACACGTTGCAATTTTTTCCGTCAGTTGGCTACTGTGCTGATATGCCTAGATTTTCTTAATGCTTTTTTAATACTTTTATTGTAAAACATAAATATCAAAAAGCCACACAAAACAAATGTACACAACTTAGTGAATTATTACAAAGCAAACACCCATATATATCACTAGCATTTAGGTCAAGAAATAGAACTTTGCCAGAGGGACCAAAATTTTACATCCCATCCTGATCACATTTCCCTCTGTTCCTCCAAAAATAAATGCCATCCTGACTTTATAGTAATTACTTCCTTGCATCTCTTTATGGTTTTATTACCCAAATGAGCAGCCTGACCCACTGAGTTTTAGTCTTACCCATTAAAAAAAAAAAAAGATGTTTAAGTCTCTTTTAATCTACAGACCCCTCTACCAGAGTCTCCTTCCTTTAAATTTTTTTTTTTAATTTGTTGCAGGACCTGGGCTGTTTAATTTGTAGAGTTTCCCACAGTGTTGATAACAAGAAAGATTCACACTCACGGTACAGTTTAACTTACTGCTTTTCCCTCTGTTTCCTGTATCTGGATCCAGAGACTTGATCAGATTCAGGTCTCATCCCTTTGGCAAGATTACAGATGGTGGTGTATTCTTTCACTGGGAGACACATGGGGTCTGGTTTTTCCACTCTTTTGATGTTAGCAGCTGTTGATCCTCAGTGTCTCGATCTGTTAATTCAGTGGGGGCAATTGCAGAATGGTGATACTCTAATTCTATCATTTTGATTTTATTTATTAGCTGGAATAATTTTATAAGGATAGACGCCTTTTCAATCTGTTATTTGATTGCCCAGTGGTACAATTCACATAGGAAAGGGATGATAAATGCTTGATTCTTTCCTTTGATTTACTCAGTTTTCAAGAATTGATTTCATGTCATTCTCAGAAGATCACTGATTAGGGTTTTTTTTTAATTGTTATGAGCTCATGGAATTAAATCTTTTTTATAGGTTTTAGTCTATTGAAATTTTAGTTTTTACTGAGACTCAAATTGTCCCATCTTTGACCAATGGGAGCCTCTTCAGTTGGCCCCTAAGTCCTCCTGACCTGACCTTAGTATTCTTGTTAGTTTCCTGCTCTTTGATTTGTTAAGGTGATCCATGCTTGTCTTGTACATTTCTTGCCTATACCTGGAGTCAACCATTTTCCCAAGAAACCCTGGTTATTTTTTAGCGAGAAATGGTATTTCAAGACTATAGTCCAGACGCTGGGAATCCTCATTCACTGGAATGGTTAGTATTTATAGGCCTTTCCTCGGTCAGAGCTGGGAAACACACACACATACACACACACACACACACACTCTCTCTCTCTCACACTTACATGCAAACATAAATACTCATATAAAGATAAAATACTTTGTGAGTTCATAATGCTATTTCCAATTAAAGTTCAAGACTATAGGGTTTCTGTTTAACCTCTTATATATTACATTTTTATTCCTTTTCTTCCACACTTAGAATCCTGGTTTTTTGGTCACAAGGGAAATAGACTATTGTGTAATTACCTATTTGATTACCCCATATTACACACAAATCGTCTCCAAATAATGACATTAATACTACCATTACCAGCTATGATTACTGAAAACAATAAAAATAATTTCTTTGGCATATGCCATACTAATTCTTTCCCACCTTAAAAAAATGGTTTAGTACTTCTGCATCATCAGATCTTATTATTGTTATATATTAAAATATCTCCCTTTTAATACTCATTTAGTCTTATTTGTACAGGTTGTTGTATATATCATGCTTATCACTTGTCCTCATATCAGTGTCTCTAGACATTTTGATTGAAGCTCTTTCTCTAGTAGATTTAATAGGAGGGGATCATGAGAACAATATTCCCTAATTTCAAGTTGATAAAACTTGGTCTGTGACCTTTATAATTAAGGGTCACTGTTGTCTGATATAAAATCCTTGGCTCAAATTTTCTTTCCTTGAGAATCTTAAATATGTCACTCCATTTTCTTCTGACGTAAACTATTGTTGTCCGAAAGAGTCTAATGATGATGATCTCAATGTTTTCCTGCTATACGTGCTACTCTTTTAGCACTTTTCAGAGTATCAACTATATATCATTTCATTCAGTCAACAGAGTATGAGCATTCCAGTACTGTAACTAGTGAGCTGTTATGTTACCAAATCTGAGTGTGTGACTTGGTCAACCCTGTTCCCAAATAATCTCTTTCTGCTCTTGACCCAGAATAAGCCACTTACTCTCAGTAGCTGTAGGTTTTTTATCTTTGTAACATCTGCTGGACCTTGTAAAGAGTTCAGTTAACACTAAATATATATTTGTTTATGAAATAAATGCTGTGGAAGGATGTGGGCTTTTTTCTTTTTCTTATTAGCCTGTTGGGAACTGTCCCATCCCTTTGCCTCTTTTCCTCTGATCTGGTGAGGCTTTGCCTTTGTGCTCCTTGAAACGGGCCCTTCCCCTGAGCAGAAGGTATGTGGGTGCAGCACCCATTGGTTCTGGGTTGTCCCATGGATTCAGTGTCAGGTTTTCAGACTGTGTTCTTGTTGTATTGCATTTTCAGGACTAGCATGTTGGGAACTCCTGGCGCACAGAGTGTCTGACTCCACAGTAAGGCCACTGTGGTCCCCACGCCTGCTTGCCCTTTTCTTTGTCTACACCCTGATCTGTTCCTTCCTGGGTTTCACAGCCTAGGCCCCTGGCATGTGGGGCATAGACCCCAGCCTCTCTGTGACCTTCCTTTTCTGACCACTGCATCAGTGGGTGCCAGGGATTCCACCTGCCCAGACAGGCCCTTTCTTCCTTCCTGCCCTTTCCTTTCTTGACTGATCTTTTTGGTCTTCATTTCTTGCCCATCACAACCTTTTGCAGGGCACTACAAAATGGGACCCTTGGCCAAGATGTGACCCAGATGCATTTTGCTCAACTTATACACTGTGTTCAGCTTTTAAAATTTTCATCTCACTTAGTGGGGCATTTGTGCGAGTTTGGCCAAAGACTCTGCTGCTCCCTATTGTGTTCCTCCTGGTCGGTCATACATTTCATTTATCTGCCTGGCTTCTAGAGACAGGTGAGTTGGTGACCTCTGAACTTTGGTATCTCTTGCTTCTCAAAGCATTCACCATGTGGTGATGACCTTGGGCTGCCCTATTTTATTCATGACCTGCACTAGTTCAGCAAGACATTCTTGCCCTGGTTCACTCACCCTGTTAGGTCCTGGCCTGTGGGCCATTCCGACTTTTTCTTTCATCCTCTTGAGGATCCCAATCACATGTAATAATAGGAAAAAAACAATCTTATGACACTTAGCTTTTAAAAGCATTCATTCTACAAAAACAATGATGAAAATGATCAAGGAGTGATAGGCTAGGCATAGTGGCCCAAACCTGAAGTCCCAGCTACTCTGGAGGCTGAGGTGGAAGGATCCCTTGAGCCCAGGAGTTTGAGACCAGCCTGGCAACATAGCAAGACCCTGTTTGTATTAATTAAAAAAAAGTAATGGAATAATGGTTCTTCCCTGATGGATGTGAATGCTTAGGTGATCTCTTATTGCAGGTATAAAGAAAAAGGGAAACTCTTAGCCTTGGTCACACCAGGGAGAGCTTGCTGTAAGAGAGTCGGTGATATGGAAAAGCTGCCTGTGACTTGAGAAATTGCTCTTACTCCCTCCTTTTCTGTTCCTTGTCAGTGCCCTGAAGTAAGGAGTTGTAGAGTTGGGCTCTTCTCTGCTGTGGCTGGGCCTGTGGGAGGCAGCTCATGAGCCTGACTGCCCTAGTGAATTTCTTCCCAGGTGTAGTTTTTCAGGTCACAATTGAAGCAGTACTGGAAATGACTCTTTGCTCCTAAGAATCTTCGAGACAAATAAGGACTTGGGTTAAAAAAACAAAACAAAACAAAACTGTTTCTATTCCATTTTATTAATTCAGCAGAAGTCATACTGAAGACTTGTTCTTCGCCTGTTCTCAGCTGCCTGTCTTTTTGCCTTTTGCCTCTGGTTAGCCCATGTATGTGCCAAGTGTGGCAGTAAAGGCTGAGTAGTTTTTGACCACTTACTATGTGCCAGGCACTGTGCTAAGATCTCTCTGTACATTGCCACATTCTTCAATGGCAGTTTGAAATAAGTTCTATCATTATTATCCCCATTTTAAAGATGGGAAAACAGACTGCAAGAACTTAAGTTGTTACCCAAGGTCAGAGGCAATCTGATGTTCAAATCCGGTGGTTTCTAACCATATTGCCATAGTTCCTCTTGCAGGAACTATGCCACCTAGCCAGCTTGCAGGGGCTTGCTGGAGGGCAGTAACAGAGCTGGGTTCCAGAGGCTGCAGGATGGAGATCTTGAATATTGTAGAACAGTTCTTCAACAGAAAAAAAAAATCTTTTGAACAGATTTTTCTCAGAGCTATTTAAAAATCCCTGATTTAGGCCAGGCACCTATAATCCCAGCACTTTGGGAGGCTGAGATGGGTGGATCACTTGAGGCCAGGAGTTCAAGACCAGCTTGACCAACATGGCAAAACCCCCTCTCTAATAAAAATACAAAAATTAGCCCGGCATGGTGGTGCACGCCTGTAGTCCCAGCTCCTTGGGAGGCTGAGGCAGGAGAATCGCTTGAACCCAGGATGAGGAGGTTGCAGTGAGCCAAGATTGCATCGCTGCACTCCAGCCTGGGTGACAGAGCGAGGCTCCATCTAGAAAAAAAAAAAAAATTCTGTAGCATAAAAACATGACTCTAAGTCTCACAGCCTGAGTAGCCCCAGGTTTATAAATCCATTGTCAGGGCTGCAAACAACTTGAGAGCAACCTGCCTTGCTGATAACAAGTCAGCAGTGTTACTAGCATTTGCTTGTTAACAATACCTCAATAAGGGACAAGAAGAAGGGAGGTGAAACTTAAATGTGCCAATTTTGAAACTTGCTAGGCATTCTAGTAGTGAGTTTGGTGGAGAAAGAAGTTAAAATTATCTAAAAATAACGTTTTTGAATTTCTTACTATCTGTGCCATCTCTCCATATGTTGTCAGAATCTTTTTTTTTCTAATTTAAAGCATCATTTATACCCAGAGGAATATCATAGAGAAATTTTGCTTACATGGTCTTTTTGAAATAGTTAAGCAAAGGACGCAGCCATTATTTGGTACTAGGTAATGGGAAAAGCTCTGGACAGGCGAGCAGGAGGAGGCGAGCAGGCGAGCAGACTGGGTATATAATATTGCTGAGATGCTCAACCCCTCTGGGCCATAATTGGTATATCTAAGAAATGTGAGTTGTCAACTATAAATCATCTCTAATCCCTCAGTGTGAAAATTCTGTATTCTGATAATTGTCACATGTACTTTTCATTCTCATTTTAAGCATGGGAACCAGGGAGTCCAAAGCTACTGGTAGAGCCAGAGGGGTAGTATCCTGGGTCCCTGTGGGAAGGAGTGCTGACTGCCCCAGTGTGGAATGAGGAATTCTGCACAAGTGGCTTTGGGTGGGAAGTCAGGAAGAACTCTGGCCCCAGAGGCTTCCCAGGAGGCTCCAGAACTACAAAATGTTGCCTTGAGATAATCTTGTGAGTAGATTTATTTTTAGGCTATATTTGTGTTCCCTCTCATTGCTAAGATAAGTGACTGTTAACTATACTAACATACAAGGAAACTTTGCTAAATTATCTTTTACACAAGAGAGCCTATCTGTGAAAGTATCCAAGAAGCTGATACAAGTGACCACAAGTGAATTAATTTTGATACAAAAAGCGTTCATTACAGCATTGTTCTTAAGAATGAACAAAACAAAAACTCAAACCACTTAAATATGCATCAGCTGCTTACATACATGAGGGTGCTTCCTTGAGATGAAACACTGTGCAGCTTTAGAACAAGGTTGGTCTCTATGCACTGATATGGAAAGATCTCCAAGACAGATTAACTTAAAAAACAAAATACTGATCTCATTATGTGTAAAAAGGCATATTGTAAGTTTATGAGTACATACGCTTTTTTTTTAGAAGAATGAACAACATACTGTTAGTAGTAGAACTATGAGTTGAAAGAAAAAGTTTAACTTTTTATTTTATACTGTCTGTGTGTTTAAATTGTGTAATAAAAATATATTTGGCAAAGGAGGGAATTTAGATTTCAGTTCAGGTTTTGAGGCATTCTAGTACTTCCTTAGAAAAATCTGTGTAAAAAGTGCATGCTGAGAAAAGGTGGGCATTGTCTGGAAACTCTTCAGGCTCCCAATGTTGGGTAACTCCCTCACTGCACTTCCCCAGCCTTTACTATCCTCTTCTCAAAACAGAAATCTCTGGTTATTGATTCCTCTAACCCAGAATAGTCAATGGCTCCTAGTGTCTATTAAAAAAAAGTCCCGGTTGGCACGGTGGCTCACGCCTGTAATCCCAGCACTTTTGGAGGCCGAGGTGGGTGGATCACGAGGTCAGGAGATCGAGACCATCCTGGCTAACACGGTGAAACCCCGTCTCTACTAAAAATGCAAAAAAATTATCTGGGCATAGTGGCGGGCGCCTGTAATTCCAGCTACTCTGGAGGCTGAGGCAGGAGAATGGCGAGAACCCGGGAGGCAGAGCTTGCAGAGAGCCAAGAATGAGCCCCTGTGCTCCAGCCAGGGCGACAGAGCAAGACTCCCTCTCAAAAAAAAAAAAAAAAAGTCCCAAAGAGCATCATGGCAGAGCAGACAGGGTATGGGCCTGCCCTGTGAGTTTGTCATCTTGCATTTGGGCAATGTTTGTGGTGGCTCTGCCATGCCCCAGTCACAGTGTTAGTGCGGGAATACAAAGGTGAACTGCATGCTGTGAAACTGTATGCAACTTCCTCTAGCCTCAGTCTTCCCACTTACAAGACAAGTTGTCAGGATTAAATAGAACAACAAATGCACAGAGCCCAGAGGACAATATTTGCTCGCTTGCCCCATCCTTCTCTCCATGTCCAAGGCCAGATGTGATGCCTACTCCTCCTCTGAGTGTCTCCTTTGGTTCCCATTTCTAAACCCTGCATTGTTCCAGAACGCATCGCAAGCATCCCTTCCTTTGCCTGGTTGTATTGCCCCTTTCCTGCACTGCCCATTGCTTCTCTTTCCTGGACATCATTAGCCTACCCTTTAGGAGCCAGTTCAGATGCTGCCTCCTCCAGGAAACCTTTTCTGGTCCAGAAGTCATCTCTTCCTCTTAAGGTTTTGTGTAGTTCTTTCTAGTCTCCTTTCTTTATATTGATTCTATCACTTACAGCATTCCTCCTTAGTTTGCAGCTTTCTGTGCCTTACTAGGATAGCTTCCAGGGGACAGTAACCAAGTTTTTTTTTTTTTTTTTTTTGCTTTTTTTCCCCAGCTTTACTGAGATATAATTGACACATAAAAATTGTATATATTCAAGGGGTAGAATGTGATGATTTGATGTGTAATGATTACCACAGTCAAGTTAATTAACACATCCTTCATCACACATAGTTACCGTGTGTGTGTATGTGTGGTGGGAACACTTAAAATCTGCTCTATTAGTAAATTTCAAGTAAACAATACAGAATTATTAACTATAGTCGCCGTGCTGTATATTAGATCTCCAGAACTTACTCATCTTATAACTGAAGGTTTGTATCAACAACTCCCCATTCCCCACCCTCCAAACCCAGCCCCTGGCAGCTGCTGTTCTGCTGTCTGCTTCTAGGAAGTAACTCAGTTTTGTTATCTCTAGAACTCATCTTTGTGCCCGTGTTCTCAGTAAATATGTGTTAACGAATGACTTCATTTTTAGGATTTGCCTAAATATCATTTTTACTTTCACTTAAGGGATTATTTTAGTTTCAACTAAAAATTAGAACATTTCCTTGAAATCCACTCTGTTTAGCAGGCTAGACACAGTTTCTTTCCCCATGCAGGGATTAAACTTGAAAATTGTGGCTTTACTAACCCTGAGGAATTTTTAGGAGGAGACCAGGCAGGCATCTTATCTCAGTTGGTCTAGACAGTCACCACCTTGTACGTGAGTAATTGGCCCATAAGCTCTTGTCTGATGAGGTGAGATGTTATCCTGATAATTTAAAAAGCAAACATACTACCCCCATTACTAAGACAACTCCCAGCAAAAGTAAAGGAAATGTATAAAGAAAAAACAGTAAGGTTATAGAGGTGTGTGTGAAAACATCTGTTTCATTTCTCATATTCCTTTCCATCCTCATCTGTGGTTATATATAGCTGTGACCATAGAATATACACAGTTTAATGTTCTGTTTCCTCTTAACATTATTTTGTACACAGTTTTTCATGTTTTTATGGACACTTGATATGTTTCTAAATGAAACAATTGGAGTTCAGTTGATTGTTGCCTTTCCTGAGAGAGAAATGGAGAGTGTGAAACAAAGGTGTACCTTGAGGGAATGTCAGCATCATCTATTCCTAAAAGGCACGGTCTTATTCTGATGTTGCTAAATTTTACTGGAGCAAAAACATTAACAAATGATTTGATTGATGTTTGCAGCACAATCAATGGGATTAAGGTCTTGAGCCACTGGAAAAAAGTTTTCTTTAATTAAATACACATCTTTAAGAGATTAGACAGAGTTTTGCTCAAGCAATGGCTCTTTATTTAGAAAAGCTGTTGGGAACAGCTGGAAGGCAGCCTTTCCTTATCAACAGGCTTGTATAACTAACCCCAAGTTGTTTGCTAATAAATTTCAGGTCCCTAACACTAATAGGATGAAATAATTTTACATAGAAGGATCAATCTCTAACCTCTTTTTTCAGAAGAAACTAATCTGACTGGTGCCTATAGGCAATGAGGTGTGTTTAACATATGGAAAGAATTAGACTAAATACCAGAATCTCTTTGAAGTTTGTGGATGTAGTCTCCAAAGAGAGAGAAGGGCATTTAAAATTAAACTGCACAGAATTATAACAAGCACTTACTACTCATTCTTGGAATGAATCTTGCTTTGGCCCTAGGCTAAATTGTCTAGATTTGTGCTCCTTTTGTTGGCTTAAAGCCACATTCACTCCTTTTTACAGTGAGAACCAACTGCTTCCTAGCACGGTTTTGTAGCTTTCTTTTATGGAGGTTCTTAATTATTTTGCTATTTCTTTCATCATGCAGAGTCATTAATACAAATGTTGATTCAAAGTAAATTTACCTGCTGGGCCAGCTTACCTGTTAGGAATTAGTGTATTTTATATCATGATCACACCTTACTATACTTATTGTATACAATCAAATCTCCTATAATTTCGCAAAGGGATACTTATCAGACTTGTGTTCCCAATAGTGTGTATCTTTGTGTGGTATCTGTGGTTTTATTTGTGAAAGAACTGCCAAAAGATTGGTCCAGGTTTGTTTCTGTTTTTATTTATGACTTAAAGAGAGGCATTCGGTCTTACTAGTCACCCAGAGCAGTTTCACTGGATCCCAAGAAGACCTAAGAGGACTGTTAGGTTTGTAAGAGAAGGACTGTGCTAGGCTGTACTTAGCCATAACTTCAAGAGAAGACCTGTATTGGGCTGGAAACCTCTTTTAAAGATTGGAGAATTCAGAAGAAATCTTGTCAAATAAAAACTTATGAAATGCTATCAGTTTCTGGGGCTGAGGCAGGGTGCCTGGCACAAGGGGATTCTACCAGGTTCAAGCTGCTTAGACATGGCTGACTGACACCAAATCCTGTACATGGCTGCTGTTTATTATTGCCAGCCTCTTCCTCCTGTTCCCATCACTAATTCTTGCCTTGCTCCAATGCCCATTTACCACCTCTGACACTTTGAAGCTGCTCTTGCCCTGGGATAAGTTAGGAAAGCCAGAGTGGGAGAAAAGTCCGAGGTAGAAGTGAGGCGAGATCTCTCTATATTTTTGGCAGTATTTTCTAAAAGCCAGGGCTGGGATCAGAATTCAGGCTGCCAGCTGTTACTACTTTCACACTACTAAGTCCTTAAAGTTAAAAATAAATTACAAAATCATTCAAAACCATTATGAAGTCAGTCCAAGACACAGCTTCACCAACGATTTCATTAAGTTTAAAAATTCTCTCATCATTCAGTCAACTAATGATTACTAAATGTCTTACTAAAGCATGCAGAGTTGAAAAATGTTAAAGAAAGAAATTCTCTGCCCTCTAGGACTTATTAATCTAGTTGTAAGAAAAATGTTAGGACAGAAATAATTGGAATGCAATACAGCATACATAAGTGAAGTGTAGTAGTTGTCTGTTGCTGCATAACAGATTACTAAAACTTAGTAGCTAAAAACAACAAAAAACATTTATGGTTACATACACTTTCTGTGGGTCAGGAATTTGAGAGCTACTTAGCTGGTTGGTTCTGGCTTGAGGTCTCCCATAGGATTGTAGTCGGTGAGCTGGCCAGGTCAACAGATATCTGAACATTCTCTGCGGCTGGAGAATCCAGTTCTAAGCTGGTTCACTTATGCAGCTGGCAAGTGGTAGTCGCTCTAGGCAGGAAATCTCACTTCCTCAATATGTAAACCTCTTCACAGGTTTATTGGAGTGTCCTCATGACATGGTGGATGACTCTTCTTAGAGTGAGTGATCCAAGGGAACATAAGGTGGAAGCCTCAGATGTCTCCTATGATCAAGCTTTGCTTGATCTCCATTGCTGTTGGTGTGTGACTTATTGGTTACACAGGTCATATGGGAGGGGATTACACAAAAGAATGAATATCAGGAGGTGGGAATCATTGGGGGCATCTTGGAGACTGGCTGTATGAAGAGGCGAAGATCTGCATAATAATGGAAAGAAGTGTTGGGATGCCTCAAAGGAAGGAGGCAGAATGTAAAATTGATGGATTTTCAGTAGCTGAGGTTGAGGGAAAGGGTGTTGGCTGAGATAGGGCATCAGGAGCAAAGCAGGGCGGACAGCAGCTGGTGTCAGTGTGTTCAAGGGACATTAATGGAGCAGTGTGGCTGGAGTAAAGCCTGGTCAGGTAGGAAGGGGTCAGGGCCTGTAGGGTCTTGCATGCCAAGCTAAGGAGTTTGGACTTTCTTTGATTATTAGTGATGGGTCTTTGAAGGTTTTTGAGCAGGCAACTGACATAATCATTGGCATATTTTAGCTTTAGTTTGTGTATGACCTTTAGGGTTTTGGTGCCCTTCTCGTTTGTTTCCAGTATTATCCAGGTAGTCAGCTCTCTAATTTCTAAAATTGTGTAACACTTTTGCCCATGTCCCTTGATCACATACTACCTTGTACTATTTAACTTTTCGTGTATTTATCTTGTTATCACAAGTAGATAGCAAGGGCTATAGGGCCATGTCTTTATCTGTTTCTATTTCCCCTGCTGTATCTAGCACACTGGGTGCCCAATAACTACCTGCTAGCTGCTTGGATAATAGCAGCCAATTGCTACATGTGTGTACAGCCACTGTTTTCGGCCTGTCATGCATAATTTACAGTTAAGCATTTTTCAAAAGAGGGAGCAATTGCAGTGGATTCGATTTACGTAAGTGGAAAAAAGTGTTCAGAATCAGTTCTGCGTGCTTGGCATTTGCCATAACATTTTTAGGAAATTTGGAATAATAATTTTATTTTTAAAAACTCATGGATTATTTTTAGCTTCAAAGAGTGTTCTTATTTTGCGTAAGTTAAACTAATGAGGCAGTACCAGCCACGGAGTGCAGGAAGGGCTGCTTTCATCTTTGAATAGTGAAAGGCAGCCTCTTTCATGCATATGTTTATGGGATAAAATTCCTTTTTAGGATTTGGGGCAGAGTTTTTTCCCTCTTATGCCCCTTAGTTTGAATGGAATAGTCATTCATTGTCCTTGTATTTTCGTTGCCCGGGTAAGTATTTCACTCAAGAGATAGTTTCAAGAAAGTTGGAGATTTCTTCTTTCAAACTAGCAAAGACATTTTTGCTTTTGTCTCTTGAAAATCTCCCTCAAACTAAAAGAATGAAAATCAGGAATGCAGACTGTATCCTTATAAACCTTGGAGACATCTGTAACCCTGACCCATACAGGACCTAAAGATAGAAAGCAGATGAAGTGATGGCAAATGCATTTGCAGAGAGGAGAAGTGAAGTCAAGAATAAAATGCCTGCAGGGCTCACCGGGAGAGGACCGGAAGCGATTGATTTGCTCACAGAATGCCAGGAAGGCTCAGAAATGAGAGTTCCCCAGTTCCCCAGAGGCATAGGTGAAGCAGAGGCTTTAGGATGGGAGTAGGGGTGGGAAAGTCTGCAGGAGGTAAAGGGGAGCCCCAGAAGGACTTGAGAAGGGAAGTTCCCTATTGCAGCTCTGGCCCAAGGAGAAGAGCCCATCTAGAATAGAGCTGAAGGAGGAGGGCTCCAGGAGGAGTGTTTCTGGGAGGAGCAGGAATGAAACTGATTAGAAAAGAAGAAAAAAAGAAGAATGGGCCGTACTGGGTTTGAATTCTTTCTCTGTCACCAATGAACTGTGAGTATGAGGAAATTAGTTAATGTCTTTGGACTTTTCATTTCCTTATTTATTAAATAAAACATTATATCATATGGTATTTTGTTATTCTGTTGGGTAAAAGACAGTACAAAACCCAGCAAGTCTACTTCCAGATGTCTACCCCAAAAAATGAAAACATGTCCATACAAATACTTATAAGCAAGTGTTAATAGAAGATTATACATAAGAGCCAAAAACTGGAAACAGCTCAAATATCCACCAATTAGTGAATGAATAATCAATGTAGCATATATATATATATATATATATATATATATATATATATATACACACACACACAATGAAATACTATTTAGCAATAAAAAAGAACAAAGTACTGTACCTGCTACAGCATGGGTGAATCTCAAAAACATTGTGCCAGGTAAGATAAACCAGATGCAAAAGGCTACATACTGTGTGGTTCTGTTCATGTGAAATGCCTGGAAAAGGCGAATCTGTAAACAGCAAGTGATTAGTGGCTGCCTGAGGCTGAAGTAAGAATGGGAATTAACTAAAAATGGCTGCTGTGGGATGATGAAATGTTCTTCTTCTTTTTTTTAAAAAAATAGTATTTATCTTTATCTGTCTGACTTTTATTTCACTTAGCATTATTCCAGGTTCATCTGTG
Source organism: Homo sapiens (assembly GCF_000001405.40). NCBI lineage: Eukaryota > Metazoa > Chordata > Mammalia > Primates > Hominidae > Homo > Homo sapiens. The sequence continues at coordinate 119,293,026 of NC_000005.10, forward strand.
TTGTCACCAATGGCAGGAGTCCTTTTTAATTTTGTTTTTAAATTTTACTTTAATTGACAACTAAAAACTGTATATACATGTGTGTACAACATGATTTTTGATATATATGCATGTTGTGGAATGGCTAAATCAAGCCATTTAACACATGCATTACGTCACATCCCTTTTTTTTCATATGTGGTGCCAATACTGAAAAATCTACTCTTCTAGTAGTTTTCAAATGTACAATAGATTGTTATTAACTGCTGCTACTGTGATGTACAGTAGATCCTTTTGAACTTGTTCCTCCTGTCTAATTGAAATTTTATGTCTTTTGAGCAACATCTCCCCATCCCCCAACCTTCAACCTCTAGTCACCTCCATTTTACTCATTTCTGAGTTCAGCTTTTTTACTACACATACGAGTGAGATCATGTGGTGTTTGTCTTTCTGTGCCTGGCTTATTTCACTTAATATAATGTTCTCCAGGTTCATCCATGTTGTCATAAATGACAGGATTTCTTCTTTTTTAAGGCTGAACAGTATTCCATTGTGTATGTGTACTATATTGTCACTATTTATTCCGGATGAGGAAATGTTCTAAAAATTGGATTGTGGTAATGGTTACGCAACTGTATACATTTACTAAAAATCATTTAATTGTACACTTACAATGATAAATTATATCTCAATAAGGCTATGGGGAAAAATGGTAACAAAAGAAGAGTCAAGGGGTAGAGAGGTACAAATGAAACAAGATTGGCAAAATACTGGTTATTGTTGAAGGTGGGTTACAGATGAGAGTTTATTATACTCTTTCTACTTTCATGAATGCTTGAAAATTTGAATAATAAAAAGTTTTTAAAAGGGCAGTCACATGCATGTTATTGTATGGATGTCAGATAACACTTGCAGCGCTTTACAGTGGTGGATGTTCTAGGCACTCTTGGGACATAATTTTACCTTCATTGGAACCAAATCCATAGTATATCAATTCACTTTTAACGTGTTAGCTCTTCCCAATACCTTCTTTTTTTTCTTTTTTTTAAATTTTATTATACTTTAAGTTTTAGGGTACATGTGCACAGTGTGCAGGTTAGTTACATATGTATACATGTGCCATGCTGGTGCGCTGCACCCATTAACTCGTCATTTAGCATTAGGTATATCTCCTAATGCTATCCCTCCCCCCTCCCCCCAACCCACAACAGTCCCCAGAGTGTGATGTTCCCCTTCCCGTGTCCATGTGTTCTCATTGTTCAATTCCCACCTATGAGTGAGAACATGCGGTGTTTGGTTTTTTGTCCTTGCCATAGTTTACTGAGAATGATGATTTCCAATTTCATCCATGTCCCTACAAAGAACATGAACTCATCATTTTTTATGGCTGCATAGTATTCCCTGGTGTATATGTGCCACATTTTCTTAATCCAGTCTATCATTGTTGGACATTTGGGTTGGTTCCAAGTCTTTGCTATTCTGAATAGTGCCGCAATAAACATACGTGTGCATGTGTCTTTATAGCAGCATGATTTATAGTCCTTTGGGTATATACCCAGTAATGGATGGCTGGGTCAAATGGTATTTCTAGATCTAGATCTGAGGCATCTCCACACTGACTTCCACAATGGTAGAACTAGTTTACAGTCCCACCAACAGTGGGACTCCACATCCTCTCCACATCCTCTCCAGCACCTGTTGTTTCCTGACTTTTTAATGATTGCCATTCTAACTGGTGTGAGATGGTATCTCATTGTGGTTTTGATTTGCGTTTCTCTGATGGCCAGTGATGGTGAGCATTTTTTCATGTGTCTTTTGGCTGCATAAATGTCTTCTTTTGAGAAGTGTCTGTTCATGTCCTTTGCCCACTTTTTGATGGGGTTGATTGTTTTTCTCTTGTAAATTTGTTTGAGTTCATTGTAGATTCTGGATATTAGCCCTTTGTCAGATGAGTAGGTTGCGAAAATTTTCTCCCATTCTGTAGGTTGCCTGTTCACTCTAATGGTAGTTTCTTTTGCTGTGCAGAAGCTCTTTACTTTAATTAGATCCCATTTGTCAATTTTGAATTTTGTTGCCATTGCTTTTGGTGTTTTAGACATGAAGTCCTTGCCCGTGCCTATGTCCTCAATGGTAATGCCTAGGTTTTCTTCTAGGGATTTTATGGTTTTAGGTCTAACGTTTAGTCTAACGTTAGACCTATAGGTCTAACGTTTAGTCTAACGTTAGACCTATAGGTCTAACGTTTAGTCTAACGTTAGACCTATAGGTCTAACGTTTAATCCATCTTGAATTAATTTTTGTATAAGGTGTAAGGAAGGGATCCAGTTTCAGCTTTCTACATATGGCTAGCCAGTTTTCCCAGCACCATTTATTAAATAGGGAATCCTTTCCCCATTGCTTGTTTATCTCAGGTTTGTCAAAGATCAGATAGTTGTAGATATGCGGCGTTATTTCTGAGGGCTCTGTTCTGTTCTGTTGATCTATATCTCTGTTTTGGTACCAGTACCATGCTGTTTTGGTTACTGTAGCCTTGTAGTATAGTTTGAAGTCAGGTAGCGTGATGTCTCCAGCTTTGTTCTTTTGGCTTAGGATTGACTTGGCTATGCGGGCTCTTTTTTGGTTCCATATGAACTTTAAAGTAGTTTTTTCCAATTCTGTGAAGAAAGTCATTGCTAGCTTGATGGGGATGGCATTGAATCTATAAATTACCTTGGGCAGTATGGCCATTTTCACGATGTTGATTCTTCCTACCCATGAACATGGAATGTTCTTCCATTTGTTTGTATCCTCTTTTATTTCATTTAGCAGTGGTTTGTAGTTCTCCTTGAAGAGGTCCTTCACGTCCCTTGTAAGTTGGATTCCTAGGTATTTTATTCTCTTTGAAGCAATTGTGAATGGGAGTTCACTCATGATTTGGCTCTCTGTCTGTTGTTGGTGTATAAGAATGCTTGTGATTTTTGTACATTGATTTTGTATCCTGAGACTTTGCTGAAGTTGCTTATCAGCTTAAGGAGATTTTGGGCTGAGACAATGGGGTTTTCTAGATATACAATCATGTCATCTGCAAACAGGGACAATTTGACTTCCTCTTTTCCTAATTGAATACCCTTTATTTCCTTCTCCTGCCTAATTGCCCTGGCCAGAACTTCCAACACTATGTTGAATAGGAGTGGTGAGAGAGGGCATCCCTGTCTTGTGCCAGTTTTCAAAGGGAAAGCTTCCAGTTTTTGCCCATTCAGTATGATATTGGCTGTGGGTTTTTCATAGATAGCTCTTATTATTTGAGTTACGTCCCATCAATACCTAATTTATTGAGAGTTTTTAGCATGAAGCATTGTTGAATTTTGTCAAAGGCCTTTTCTGCATCTATTGAGATAATCATGTGGTTTTTGTCTTTGGTTCTGTTTATATGCTGGATTACATTTATTGATTTGCCTATATTGAACCAGGCTTTCATCCCAGGGATGAAGCCCACTTGATCTTGGTGGATAAGCTTTTTGATGTGCTGTTGGATTTGGTTTGCCAGTATTTTATTGAGGATTTTTGCATCAATGTTCATCAAGGATATTGGTCTAAAATTCTCTTTTTTGGTTGTGCCTGTGCCCGGCTTTGGTATCAGGATGATGCTGGCCTCATAAAACGAATTAGGGAGGATTCCCTCTTTTTCTATTGATTGGAATAGCTTCAGAAGGAATGGTACCAGTTCCTCCTTGTACCTCTGGTAGAATTCGGCTGTGAATCCATCTGGTCCTGGACTCTTTTTGGTTGGTAAGCTATTGATTATTGCCACAATTTCAGAGCCTGTTATTGGTCTATTCAGAGATTCAACTTCTTCCTGGTTTAGTCTTGGGAGGGTGTATGTGTTGAGGAATTTATCCATTTCTTCTAGATTTTCTAGTTTATTTGCGTAGAGGTGTTTGTAGTATTCTCTGATGGTAGTTTGTATTTCTGTGGGATCGGTGGTGATATCCCCTTTATCATTTTTTATTGCGTCTATTTGATTCTTCTCTCTTTTTTTCTTTATTAGTCTTGCTAGCAGTCTATCAATTTTGTTGATCCTTTCAGAAAACCAGCTCCTGGATTCATGTGTCTCTGTTTCCTTCAGTTCTGCTCTGATTTTAGTTATGTCTTGCCTTCTGCTAGCTTTTGAATGTGTTTGCTCTTGCTTTTCTAGTTCTTTTAATTGTGATGTTAGGGTGGCAATTTTGGATCTTTCCTGCTTTCTCTTGTGGGCATTTAGTGCTATAAATTTCCCTCTACACACTGCTTTGAAAGTGTCCCAGAGATTCTGGTATGTTGTGTCTTTGTTCTCGTTGGTTTCAAAGAACATCTTTATTTCTGCCTTCATTTTGTTATGTACCCAGTAGTCATTCAGGAGCAGGTTGTTCAGTTTCCATGTAGTTGAGCGGTTTTGAGTGAGTTTCTTAATCCTGAGTTCTAGTTTGATTGCAGTGTGGTCTGAGAGACAGTTTGTTATAATTTCTGTTCTTTTACATTTGCTGAGGAGAGCTTTACTTCCAACTATGTGGTCAATTTTGGAATAGGTGTGGTGTGGTGCTGAAAAAAATGTATATTCTGTTGATTCAGGGTGGAGAGTTCTGTAGATGTCTATTAGGTCCGCTTGGTGCAGAGCTGAGTTCAATTCCTGGGTATCCTTGTTAACTTTCTGTCTTGTTGATCTGTCTAATGTTGACAGTTGGGTGTTAAAGTCTCCCATTATTATTGTGTGGGAGTCTAAGTCTCTTTGTAGGTCACTCAGGACTTGCTTTATGAATGTGGGTGCTCCTGTATTGGGCACATATATATTTAGGATAGTTAGCTCTTCTTGTTGAATTGATCCCTTTACCATTGTGTAATGGCCTTCTTTGTCTCTTTTGATCTTTGTTGGTTTAAAGTCTGTTTTATCAGAGACTAGGATTGCAACCCCTGCCTTTTTTTGTTTTCCATTTGCTTGGTAGATCTTCCTCCATCCTTTTATTTTGAGCCTATGTGTGTCTCTGCACATGAGATGCATTTCCTGAATACAGCACACTGATGGGTCTTGACTCTTTATCCAATTTGCCAGTCTGTGTCTTTTAATTGGAGCATTTAGTCCATTTACATTTACGATTAATATTGTTATATGTGAATTTGATCCTGTCATTATGATGTTAGCTGGTTATTTTGCTCGTTAGTTGATGCAGTTTCTTCCTAGCCTCGATGGTCTTTACAATTTGGCATGATTTTGCAGTGGCTGGTACCGGTTGTTCCTTTCCATGTTTAGTGCTTCCTTCAGGAGCTCTTTTAGGGCAGGCCTGGTGGTGACAAAATCTCTCAGCATTTGCTTGTCTGTAAAGGATTTTATTTCTCCTTCACTTATGAAGCTTAGTTGGGCTGGATATGAAATTCTGGGTTGAAAATTCTTTTCTTTAAGAATGTTGAATATTGGCCCCCACTCTCTTCTGGCTTGTAGAGTTTCTGCCGAGAGATCAGCTGTTAGTCTGATGGGCTTCCCTTTGTGGGTAACCCGACCTTTCTCTCTGGCTGCCCTTAACATTTTTTCCTTCATTTCAACTTTGGTGAATCTGACAATTATGTGTCTTGGAGTTGCTCTTCTCGAGGAGTATCTTTGTGGCATTCTCTGTATTTCCTGAATCTGAATGTTGGCCTGCCTTGCTGGATTGGGGAAGTTCTCCTGGATACTATCCTGCAGAGTGTTTTCCAACTAGGTTCCATTCTCCCCGTCACTTTCAGGTACACCAATCTGACATAGATTTGGTCTTTTCACATAGTCCCATATTTCTTAGAGGCTTTGTTCGTTTCTTTTTATTCTTTTTTCTCTAAACTTCCCTTCTCACTTCATTTCATTCATTTCATCTTCCATCACTGATACCCTTTCTTCCAGTTGATCTCATCGGCTCCTGAGGCTTCTGCATTCTTCATGTAGTTCTCAAGCCTTGGCTTTCAGCTCCATCAGCTCCTTTAAGCACTTCTCTGTATTGGTTATTCTAGTTATACATTCTTCTAAATTTTTTTCAAAGTTTTTAACTTCTTTGCCTTTGGTTTGAATTTCCTCCTGTAGCTCAGAGGAGTTTGATGGTCTGAAGCTTTCTTCTCTCAACTCATCAAAGTCATTCTCCATCCAGCTTTGTTCCGTTCCTGGTGAGGAACTGCATTCCTTTGGAGGAGGAGAGGCGCTCTGCTTTTTAGAGTTTCCAGTTTTTCTGCTCTGTTTTTTCCCCATCTTTGTGGTTTTATCTACTTTTGGTCTTTGATGATGGTGATGTACAGATGGGTTTTTGGTGTGGATGTCCTTTCTGTTTGTTAGTTTTCCTTCTAACAGTCAGGACCCTCAGCTGCAGGTCTGTTGGAGTTTGCTAGAGGTCCACTCCAGACCCAGTTTGCCTGGGTATCAGCAGCGGTGGCTGCAGAACAGTGGATTTTCGTGAACCGCGAATGCTGCTGTCTGATCGTTCCTCTGGAAGTTTTGTCTCAGAGGAGTACCCGGCCGTGTGAGGTGTCAGTCTGCCTCTACTGGGGGGTGCCTCCCAGTTAGGCTGCTTGGGGGTCAGGGGTCAGGGACCCTCGTGAGGAGGCAGTCTGTCCGTTCTCAGATCTCCAGCTGTGTGCTGGGAGAACCACTGCTCTCTTCAAAGCTGTCAGACAGGGACTTTTAAGTCTGCAGAGGTTACTGCTGTCTTTTTGTTTGTTGTGCCCTGCCCCCAGAGGTGGAGTCTACAGAGGCAGGCAGGCCTCCTTGAGCTGTGGTGGGCTCCACCCAGTTCGAGCTTCCTGGCTGCTTTGTTTACCTAAGCAAGCCTGGGAAATGGCGGGCGCCCTTCCCCCAGCCTCGCTGCTGCCTTGCAGTTTGATCTCAGACTGCTGTGCTAGCAATCAGCAAGACTCCGTGGGCGTAGGACCCTCTGAGTCAGGTGCGGGTTATAATCTCTTGGTGCACCGTTTTTTAGGCCCGTCGGAAAAGCGCAGTATTAGCGTGGGAGTGACCCGATTTTCCAGGTGCCGTCTGTCACCCCTTTCTTTGCCTAGGAAGGGGAACTCCCTGACCCCTTGTGCTTCCCGAGTGAGGCAATGCCTTGCCCTGCTTCGGCTCGCGCACGGTGCGCTGCACCCACTGTCCTGTGCCCACTATCTGGCACTCCCTAATGAGATGAACCTGGTACCTCAGATGGAAATGCAGAAATCACCTGTCTTCTGTGTCGCTCACGCCGGGAGCTGTAGACTGGAGCTGTTCCTAATCAGCCATCTTGGCTGCCACCCCCAGTACCTTCTTAGCAGGAACTTGAGAAAATCATGGTAATCACATCCTCAGAAAGAAGGTTAAATTTGGTTCAGCGTATTCTCTTTAAGTGTGGTACATTTTAGAAAGGGTAAAATTACAATGAGCTTTACTGCTTTACAGGAGAATCTTCAATCTTTAAAAAGTAGACCATCTAAAACAAATGTTATTTGTAAAAGCACTGAGTAATGGAATTTTTTTGCATGTCCTTGCAACTTAGAAACGATATTGCATTCCTGACTCAGTCTATTATCAAAGCATATAAAAGAGTGATAGTTACCATTTTTTCTTGCTTACTATGTACTTCTCTAAGGATCTGTTTTCCAGTCTCATAATTAACATTCTTAAAAAGGTAGTTTTTTGTTCCCGTTTTGCAATGAGGAGGGTTGAGGCACAGAGAAACTGAATAACTTGCCTGAGATCCAGCAGCTAGTCACTGTTAGTGCTGGCTCTGCTTGACTCTACAGGCTATGCTGTTACCCCTTTATGGTTGCATTGGAACATATTTTTCATTAAAAGCCTTTTCCCCACAAATTTCAGTTTAACCTATGTGTTATGCTTTCTTTATGGAATCTATGTGAGGTAGGTGAGAAAGAGGAGGTGATATTTTCCTAGAGGGAAGAATTGCAGGTGCAGATGGGAGTTAAAGGCAGTGACCATCTCCGAGGCACAGTTTTAGGGTGCCTCACACTAAAAGCATTACAAGTGGGCCCCAAGCTTTGATTTGAAGGTAGTGGAAACAGTTGTTTGCAATTCAGAATTCAGATCCTTATTCATTGGCAAGATTATCATAAGTCTCCTAACCAGTCTCCCAGCTTCCGGTCCATTCCTGGACTTGCCACCCAGTTGCATTACTTCTTATGTAAAAACCCTCAATGAAATGGCCTTACGTTCCTACAGATTAAAATCTGAGCTTCGTAGTTTGGTGTTCAGAGCTCTTCATGTCTTCCTTCATGCTGTTTTTCTATCCTCCCTTCTATTGTTCCCCATTGGGCACTCTATGCTTATGCCATCTAGAATATTCCACAATTCTTACCCCTCTGTCAGTTGGCTTGTTCCCAGTGACTATAATTCCCTTGTCCGCCTTCTTTACTGGCCAGATCCTATTCAGTCTTCAAAGCCCCAAATAAAAAAAAATCATCTCCTATGGGAAGCCTTCTCCAGTCCTCTCTCAGCAGCAGCAGCTGCTTCTTTCCCTGGGTTTTCATGACACTTTCTGCACACCTTGATTATATGTGGTTTTGCCATTATTTATATGCCATAGCTCCTTCAGGCTGGAGACATTGGAGTCCCATCTGTATCTCATTACTCAGGTCTGAGTCTAGCACGAGGTAGGCCCTCAGGGAATATGGGTGGAATTAACTTTTTTGTAGAACTGTGATTTATGATTTTTGAAATGAACAATCTTAAAGATAGAAAATAAAAATACATTTAACAAGTCATCTTTATGTGAAAAAAACAACCAGGAATCAACCTGGAAGTATTAAGGCACATATTTGTAGTGGACCAGAAACGCAGTCCTATTTCTTAGGATAAAATATATTCCAAGTGCCAACCCAGATACTGAGGATATTCCCACTATACCTTCCCTACTCCAAGATCTCATTTAACTTTTTTGTATTGGGGAAGATATGGGAGAAATGAAAGTCTAGGAACTAGAGAGGTGTGAAACAGATGTTCCTAAGAATTTTCTAGTTTATCTTCAGGAATGAAGGTACCACTTTGATTACATAATTTCCAAGGTCCTGTCATGCTCTGAAATAGTTTTAGTTGTTTCAGTCCCCATCTCTTAGCAAATAAGGGAGGAGTTGGTTATTCACTCACCAGATATTTTGAATCATAGGACCATTATTTAGTTGTCCTAGTTGGGGTCAGGCTAACTGGCCAGTGCATTGAACTTGACCTTCAAACCACCTGTTGAATTTGGTTTTAAGGTATAGCTTCCCTGTAACTGCTCACTGGTACTTTATGAGATAGAAGATCTGTGCTCTCAAGGGTGACAACCTCAAGAAACTTACATTCCAAGAGAGAGAATCCAGAAATATGGACATCCTTTTATTAGAGAAAATGATTTCTAGAGAACACTAAATAGTTTTTTTCTCCTCTATTTTTAGTATGTTTCCTGCTAGAATCCCATTTTCTCCTCTGCTTCTAGTATGTTTTCAGCTAGTCACTGGGTAAATGTAAAAGTAAAAATTCACCTGTCTTTGGGAAGGATGTTTTGAAAATGATTTATTTTTCTCTTGAGAATTGGCTCTGCTGAACTGTCAAATTATTCACCTTTATCATATTGAATAACATCATCTTCTGCCACTCCTTTTACCCCACAGTCTTTCAGTGGACATTTCGTGAGCTCATCTGGAGGGTGTTGCTCACTTGACCATCATCTTTTCATTAGGTTAGCTGGATCAGTGCGTTAATTTCCATTCATAATTAACACTTAAAGCTTATGACCTAAGATCGTTCACCTGCCAAAACAAGCAAAAACACCAAACAGCAAACTCTCTTATCATATGCTGAGATGAAAAGGAGAATGCTTTTTATATATTCCTGGGCTTTCTCTCTGCCCTAATTTTGCATCATTGTTGAAGGAGAGATGCTTCCTAATTGAGATTTCCCATTCCTGAGTGGAGACATTATTGCGAATTGTTACGCAGTCAGCCATTAGAAGTACAATTTCTGCCGTCATTCATTTGATTTTATCATGTGTTAGAACTTTGCTTGGAAGGACCTTTCATGTCTGACACACTCTTCAGCTCCTCCTCCCTGTTAGAAAGACTCCCTTCATGTGCCTAGTGCCCTGAAAAAACCACACACTAGGAAATGAGGAAACCAGAGCCTGGTTTCCCCACAGATTCCTTTAGGGGAGCAGCTATGCAGCCAGTGTAAACATTCCAATTCAATTAGAGATAACTTCTTGGTTTTCCATTACCCATGCCAGTGAGGTCATGAAGAATATGCTTACTTTAATGAGTACTGTGTTTTGTTTAAAGTGTATGTCATCTAGAAAATGCTCAGAGTTTGGAAGTCAGAGGCTTGGGTCCCAGTTAATGTTTTGCCACTGACAACATGTTATGCAGAAGGTGTTTCACCTCCTTCCTTCTCCCTCTGCTGTCTCATTCCTGGTACAGTATGAGCAGTGCTGTGTGCTCTGTAATGGGCTCAGTTAGATGGACCTGTGCCTCTTGTGGGTCAGTAAAGCTACATACCTTGACTTGCACCTCAGAGCTCTCAAAGGTTGGTGACAGGGCTTTTGCTTCCCTTATCATTTGGGTAGAAGTGGGTGTAGTAGATCCAAAAAGATGTGTAATGGCATATTAACCGGAAAGGTTGAATGCTTGCTTCAGACAAGTAGAACATAAAATAAAAACAAGTTGAATTCAAGTAGAAGTTTCATGCAGTAACCATGAGCAGCAACACAAACAACAGGGAGACAGAGAGAGCCTCTTCCAAGCAGGGCCACACAGATTCATGAGATGGTTCCCCTTCCCAGTTCTTTAGTCACATTGTTTAAGTGAACCCTATAGTAAGAAGTAAATATGAAACAGCCACACTTAGTTTCTAGAACCTTGTGCGATAGCTCCCCACTATTGTAAAGGGGTGAAATATTTTACCTAAGTAAACATACCCGGTAAGTGAGTTCTAAATGTCAGTATTTGAATGGAGGTTTTCTCAGCCTTTTCTCCCTCTGTCTTCTGAGTATAAATGGAGTGACTGCCCTCCTGAGTCTCCTTTCTTATGGCTTGAGCGATCTTTCTACGATACAGATCGGATCCTGTCATTCCCCAGCTTGAAATTCTTTCTGATTTTCTTTTTTCCTTTTTTTCAAATTTAAGTTTAATTTTTATTTTTTGTAGAGATACGGTCTTGCTCTGTTGCCCAGGCTGGAGTGTAGTGGCATGATCATAGCTCACTGCAGCCCCAAATACCTGGCCTCAAGTGATCCTCCTGCCGCAGCCTCCTGTGTAGCTGGGATTACAGGTGGCTTGGCTAACCCAGCCTGAAATTCTTAAAAGTGCTCCTCCTGCTTTCAGAATCAAGTTCAAACTCCTTCACCAAACATATTAAAGGCCTCTTTATCTGGTTCCTGTCCAGCTTTGCAGCCTCATTTCCTCCTGCTTTTCCAAAGGCACTCACTCTGTGCTTTTGCCATTCTGAACTGTTTCTTACCTCTAAACTAAACACACAATTCCCTATAATGGTCCCTCAGTGACCCACAGGGAAACCTGATCCCCTTCCCTGATACCATGCACACACCATAGGCAAAGTCCTTAAAACTTGCACCTTAGAATTACCTGAATATGATGCCTAGTCCTCACAGTTACTCTCTGGTTGGGAATGTTGTGCAAAGACCACGATTGCATGAGCTCACTTCTATGAGATGAAAGTAACATAACTGTTCCTGTTTTCTTTCCAGAGGATAATTTCCTGTCAGTGAAACTGATACTATCCTTTTAGAAATTATTTTCAGTTATCTTCTATATCAACTGTGTAGCACAGGTTTCCCTTTTGGATGCATCAGGAAGCAAATCAGCATATTTCTGTTTAATACAAATTGATTGAAGTGATAAATTCTAACTCTGTGTTTGAAGCTGCATTGTACCAGAACAGAAAAGTCCCAAAAGAATGGTGAGGTGAAAATTATCTGAAAAATGATATATAATTAAAATCATTTATGAATGAGTCAGTGTAATCTGCATTCTGCTTGACATAAAGAGAAAATACCACATTCCTGGGAGGGAGGAGGGAGGTGAACGTCAATCTGTAAACTCCAAGCTGGAATAACAGAGGAAGAGCTATTGGAAGTGTAGATTCCAGTGCTGTGAACTCCCAGTTATAAGATCACTCTGTAAGCAGAATCTAAATAAGCTGATTTACAAAGGAAAATAAAAGGTTTCAGAAAATATGGGGTATCTTAAAAAACCTCTTTGATAGTCATTTTCGGGCTTTCTTCCCTCAAAAATGAACTGATTTTTCAAATGACTATTTTCTTAATTGAATATGTTGGGAAAGATACATATTTTCTAGTTCTCAAGGAGGAGATGAAATTTCCAAATATCTGTTTCAGTTTCTAACAACTATTAAAATGTATAGGCTTTAATCTGAGAATATGTAGATGCATTTTATTTGAGTGGTCATATCAATTCTAATTTTAAAGGTCATTTGGGCCTGGGTGTGGTGGTGTACACCTGTAGTCCCAGCTGCTCGGAAGGCTGAGGCAGGAGGATCACATGAGCCCAGGAGTTCAAGGCTGTAGTGCACTTGATCACACCTTTGAATAGCCATTGCACTGCAGCCTGGCAACACAGTGAGATCCCATCTGTTAAGAGTTTTTTTTTTAAGTCATTTGAAACAAAGTTTGTTAAACTCCATTGCCTCAAATCTACTTTTTGCACTTTATAAAGGTTATCTAAATTTCTAGACCTCGCTTTATAAATGACACATTACAAATACCCAAATCATGATAGCTCAGGTATACTGTTGGAATGTTTATGGAAATTACTTTGCTGAGGTATGGGTAGGCCAGAGGAACCTGCATGTTAATAAGGGTCCCTTGTTCATTCTTGGATGGAGGGCCACAGGGTGAGCAACACTGCCCTAAAATCTCCATCCTCTGAGGGCTCTTGAGGGTTCCCACTTACCTGTGCCGTGCACCTGGCTCCGGATCCTTCTGGCCACCCTCCAGTGTTGCGTGTGGTTGGCCTTGTAATGGACTGCCTGCGCCGCCCTGCCCTCAACCCCGCTGCCCACCACCTCCCAGATAAGGAGACTATATTGCTGTTTCACACCTCCATCCTTCCAGAAAACAGGACTTCCTATGAATTCCTCTGAATTACCAACCCCCTCTACCTCTAGCGTGGAGAACAAGCTATACCTTTTGGCAAAACTTGCCTAAATGATCAGAAAACAGAAAAGAAGCAGAAGAGCTAGGTGCTTAGGATCTCCTAGTGAATGTCTTCTTTCTTTGATCCTTACATTTCCTTCTTTGATCCTTGCTTTGCTTTGCTTTTCTCTTTTCTTTTTTCTTTCTTTCTTTCTTTTTCTTTTTTTTTTTTTTTTCCAAGATGGGGTGTCTCTATGTTTCCCAAACTGGAGAGCAGTGGCTGTTCATAGGCGCAATCCCACTACTGATCAGCACAGGATTTTGATCTGCTCTGTTTCTGACCTGGGCTGGTTCTACCCTCCTTAGGCAACCTGGTGGTCCCCTGCTCCTGGGAGGTCACCATATTGGTGCTGAACTTAGTGTGGACGCCTGATCGTCATACAGCCCAGAACTTCTGGGCTCAAGCGATCCTCCTGTCTTGGCCTCCCAAGTAGCTGGGACTATGGGCACATGCCACCGTGCCTGGCCTTGCTTTTCATTTTTTTTATGAAATATGTTTTTTAATGAATAAAAAATTTTCCTAGGAGTGATTTTCCCAAAAGGGATACCCTGTCCCAGTGATTATCCAAGCCATTACCTTTTAGGAGCCTAGAATGGTTTATACTTGGTTGGTTGGTTGGTTTGTTTCAGAAGTAATATGTATTCAAGGAAACACCTCATACTTAAATAAAGGCTATAGGGTAAAGTAAAATAAAACAAATAAGACATCTTTCTCTTTTTCTACTTTACAGTTAAAAGTAGCTTCCCAGAAATTTCCTATGCATATTAAGGCATGCACGTTTCATACATATATGTACAAATAGGATCAAACTACTGTTTTTTGTGGACTCTTAAGATGCTATTGATTGGTACAGCCCAATTTCAAATATGTTAAAATATGAAATGATGTACATTTTATAGTTGATGACATACAGAAAATTACTCTTTGGGACTCGCCTTTTTTCCACATTAAATACTTTGAACATCAGTTCATATTAGGAAGGAGAGAAATCTACTTCATTCTTTTTCTTTCGTAGTATTCCATATTCTAAATCCATATTAAGATATGTATTCTGTATTCCAAGTCCACAAATATACTATGGTTTAAGAATTCGCTTATTGTTGAACATTCTTGTTCTTTACTGATTTTTATGTTATAAATAATGCTGCAATAAACAACCACGTTTATATGTCATTACATACAAGCAATTATATTTATAAGTTTCTGGAAGTGTAATTGCTGAGTCAGAAGGTGTACATACAGTACTTTTTTTGTACAACTTAAAAAAATCTTTTGCTAGCTTCTGTGTTTTTCAGTGTTAGAAAGAACCAAACACACAAATGAGCAGCTTCTGCCAAGGTTCCTTGTAGAGAAAAATTTCTGGAAAGATGGATAGATGCATATAGTTAAGCATCTCTATGTATCCATTCATACCATCGTGTTTCAATTCTAAGGTGCATATTTTTCATTTTTTAACAATTCTCAATTGGAGATATGTTGTATAATGCAGGTGCACAGATAATACTACAGTCTTTTCCCCAAAAAATTCTGCGTTAAATTGTGCATCTTACAACCAATGGTATTTTAGAATCATGGAAATGCAAGTGTATTTTAGTAAGACTGTGTGTATATATGTATATGTCCTTCAAGATTTATTTGGAAATTATTCTAATTTAATAGTGAGAATGTAGTTTTAATTGTTTTCCCATTGGAGCAATCTTGGAAACAAGCCAGAGTTTTGCAGACACCCCATGTTTATCAGTAGCTAGTACTGTCCTTTGGAGTCTGCACATGTGATTTAAAAGCCAGCCTTCATTTGCTAAAGAGCCTCATTGCAAGGAAAAATCAAATCACAAACAGCACCTTGAAAAATACTAATATCATGTTACTTAGAGAAGTTAGAAGTTTATTCTAACCCCTGTAATTTACAGATGAGCAAACTTCTTGTGGTGCAACATGTGGCATTTTGCACCTCTTGCCCAACTGATAATTGATATTAAAATAATATTATTAGATAAATATTACAGGAAGGCACACTAGTTGTGAACTGATAGCGTTCTTGCAAATGACAGCATTCCCTCTTTCCTGCAGGTTTTCCAGAAGTCTGCCGCCTGTGAACTCTCCTAGGGGAATCTGTATCATTTCCCAAGGGCTTGGTGTTGGCAAGTTTTGTCCCTCACATCTGTTTCTCTCTTTCTGTTTAATTAGCTTTGAAATCTATATTTTTCTCTCTTCTACGTTTCCCACCTTTTTTTTTTTTTTTTTTTGGTTTCCCAGCTGTGTGTGCAGTGCATCATGTAGGCTGTGCCTTCCTGCCTCTTGGCACTGAAAGGTTTCCATTGCATCAGGGTTGGCCTTGGGAGGAGGTCTTAAACAGTTGGCACTTAATAAATGGTCTTGACTGTATAAGCTTTTTTGGTCTTTCTTAAGACCATTCTAGGCTGGGCACAGTGGCTCATGCCTGTAATCCACCACTTTGGGAGGCCGAGGCGGGTAGATCACGAGGTCAGGAGTTGAAGACCAGCCTTTCAGGACGGTGAAACCCCATCTCTACTAAAACTACAAAAATTAGCCAGGTGCAGTGGCAGGTGCCTGTAATCCCAGCTACTCGGGAGGCTGAGGCAGGAGAATCTTTTGAACCCAGGTGGCAGAGTGAGCCAAGATTGTGCCACTGCACTCCAGCCTGGGTTGCAGAGTGAGACTCCATCTCAAAAAAAAAAAAAAAAAAAAGACCATTCTGATATTGCACTGGAAGAGCATCTGAGCCAGCGTGCTCCTTGTTGCTCCATTTGACTCATGCTCTCTCCAGTTATCTATCATAGCCTGGTAAAAAGGCAAAAGCAGTTGTGCATGTATGTGATAAAATTGCTAAACTGTTTCTTGTTAACTGTCAAGTGGCATTGAAGGAGACAGTTATTTACATTTTCAGTTGCTTTTTGTGAAATACAAAGATCAAAGACCTTTACTGCAGTTTCCTCCTCTACTCAAACCACAACTTCCTTCCTCTGTGTTAAAAGCCTCTGCAACATGCATTGGTATTCTACTTTCTCACCTTCAGTGACAAATAATAATTTTATTGTGCCAAGATGAAATGTGGTCACTTGAGGGCTTTTCTGTGGGTGCCTCTGCATCTCTGAATGGACACCTTTGGAAGACACTTACCATACTTTCAGCAGCATTTTTAGTTTTTATTTGTTAAAGGAAAAAAAGACTGTAGAAGTGTTCCTGACTAGATTTCAATCCTTTTTTGGTTTCTGGACCCTTTTGAGAATCTGATGAAAGCTTGAGGGTGGTGATGCTTGTCACAGGGGCAGCTGCCACAGGGGCAGCTGTGGCTCGCTCCAGCACATTCTCCAAAAGGGATTCCCTTTCAACAGTTGTTTAAATAAGATGGCAAGAAGATGGCTCTCAAGACTATAATGAAAAGATAACAATAGAGGAAATGGCAGAAGAGCAGGGTGGGTAGTTCTGCACGTGATCGAAGCATCGGTGTTCAGACTATGGGAGGAGCAGGGGAGGCAATGTGGGAGCATTCAGAGTGACTCCCCACTCACAAAAGACACATCACCCCAGTCTCAGGACATTCTGATAACCCCAAAGCCCATCTAGGGGCTGCTAGGGAGTCTGTGGGCCTCAGGTTGGAAAATTCTGCTCTTGTCTTATTGGCATTTAACATGCGGGCTCAAGAAGTCTGGGGCGGACCATTACCTGAATTTCAGCTCTAATGCTTCCCAAGCGTGAGGCTTTGGCTAGTCAAGTCATTTGCTTCTTTAAGCCACTGTTTTCCCACTGAAAATGGGAAGAAATAAAACCAGACACACAGGACTGTGGAGGGCCAACTGGGATGACCTGAATAAAACATCTGGCACATTGTCACTTAGTAGGATCTCAAAAAGTGGCTGTTCTTTTCCCTTCTTCTGTCCATCTTTGATTTCTTTTATGGGGAGAGGTTTTCTTCCCCAAGGAGATGGTTTTTAGAGCTGTGGAAATCAGCTACATTGAGGCTAATTGTATCTGTCAGAACTCAGATGCATTTGCTGATGTAGAGGTTAGGAAACAGATGTCACTCTTTCGCTCCCTGGACTCCCTCCACAAGATGAGGTACTACGGCTGGTAGACACTGGGCTGAGGCTAGAAACATGGTAAGGTCGTCCTGGGAGAGCCCTGAGTGGAGGGAATTCTGTGCTAATTCCCAGAAATTGAACTTCTCCTAGGACAGTTACCCCAGCAGGGATACTTCGCTGGAGAAGGCCAAAGGCTGTAGGCCAAGGCAGCGCCCACTGGAGGACTACAGGGCACCTCTCACGGTAGGGACAAGGAAGAAGATCTCAGAAAACTTTGAGAGGAGAGAGAGCGAAACCTGGTCTGGGCCAAAGCCTAGTCCTGAAGGCTTATTAAAATGCTTTGAGGCCAGGTGCGGTGGCTCACACCTGTAATCCCAGCACTTTGGGAGGCCGAGGCAGGTAGATCACTTGAGGTCAGGAGTTTGACACCATCCTGGCTAATATGGTAAAACCCTGTCTCTACTAAGAATTAGCTGGGTGTGGTGGCACGTGCCTGTAATCCCAGTTACTTGAGAGGCTGAGGCGGGAGAATTGCTTGAACTGGGGAGGCGGAGGTTACAGTGAGTGGAGATTGCGCCACTGCACTCCAGCTTGGGTGACAGATCGAGACTCCACCAATCAATCAATCAATCAATCAATCAATACATTTCTCTGAGAGCAGGGGTTGGCCCTTCTCTCCCCTGTCTGGTCCCCTTCTCCTTCCCCATACTCTTAAAACCTACTTAAGAGTTTTCAAACAAAAGCATTATACTCCAAAGCCTTAAATATTCCTAGCTTTGTTTTGGTGTTCATTTTATCTGTTTTTTGTTTGTTTTGTTTTGTTTTATTTTTTGAGACAAGGTCTTGCTCTGTTGCCTAGGCTGGAGTGCAATGGCATGATTATACCTCACTGCAGCCTCAACCTCCTGGCCTTGAGCGATCCTCCCACTTCAGCCCCCAGTGTAGTTGGGACTATAGGTACACATCACCACACCTGGCTAATTTTTAAAATTTTTCATAGACATGGGGTCTTGCTATGATGCCCAAGCTGGTCTTGAACCCTTGGGCTCAAGTGATCTTCCTGCCTTGGCCTCCCAAAGTGCTGAGATTACAGGCATGAGTTACTGTGCCCGGCCTTGGTGTTCATTTTAAAGGAAACAAAAGGTTGAAATGGCACTGTGAATTTTGAACAGTCAAATAAATATTAAAAACCCAATGAATGGGCTGGGCGTGGTGGCTCACACCTGTAATCTCAGCACTTTGGGAGGCCAAGGCAGGTGGATCACAAGGTCAGGAGATTGAGACCATCCTGGCTAACATGGTGAAACCCCGTCTCTACTAAAAATACAAAAAATTAACTGGGTGTGGTGGCGCACCTGTGGTCCCAGCTACTTGGGAGGCTGAGGCAGGAGAATCACTTGAACCCAGAAGGTGGAGGTTGCAGTGAGCCAAAATTGCGCCACTGCACTCCAGCCTGGGTGACAGAGTGAGACTCCGTCTCAAAAAAAAAAAAAAAAAAAAATCAGTGAATGAACTCATATCAATGGAACGGGCAAATAAGGTGATTAGCAAGAGCAGAGTAAAATTATTAGGAAGTGCTGATGAAGGGACATTGTGGGTGTTCACCCGTGAAGGAGGGACAAAGCTCTGGTTTATAGAGTTTGAGTGTTAAGCAGAGGAATGAAAGTATCCATAGACCTGTGGTGCTTAACAGCCTAAATGTTCATCAAATTTAACCAAACCTAGTTTAACTAAGGTTAACTTTGTTGCAGTACTACCACAGGATGGACTAGTGTGGAACCATGACAGAAAGAAAAAAGAGCTTTATATATTGACTATGAAAGATACACTATAGTATTAACTTTTAAACTAATGTATATAATATGGTCCTGTTTAAGTAAGAAAGAAGGTGGTAGGGCAAAGGATAGGCATGCTTATTTGGTATTTAAAACTTTGGGAAAAAAAATAACCAAATTATTATCTGGGATTCTAGCTGGGAATGGATTGGGGAGGAGTCTGGTTTGACACAGCAGTTTGAGCCAGAGTTTGGAAACAGAGCTGGATTCAAATTCTGACTCTGCTCTTTCTGCTATTGTAACTTGGCAATTTGCTTAACTACTTTCTTACGTAAAATGGAACTCATCAAAGCACTGACCTCATATCACGAGGATGAAAATAAGATTAAAAAATACTTAGTTCAATGCCTGGCTCATAGTAAGTGGTAAGTGCTCACCATATTTTAATTTTTACATAGAACATGTCTTACTTTTTCATTAGAAAAAAAGAAAATAGAGTTATTTCAGTGGGAAGTAGTGGTTGAGGTTAAGAGGCTTAATGACATACACCGGGACTCAAATGACACCGCCAGAGGGGGCACATTTGTTTAAAGGGAAGAGTGTGAACTTGTAAAGTTTAGGAAATAAGAATGTAGCTGGGCTCGGTGGCTCACGTGTGAAATCCCAGCACACTGGGAGGCCAAGGCAGGGTGGATCCCTTGAGCTCAGGAGTTCGAGACTACCCTGAGCAATATGGTGAAACCCTGTCCCTGCAAAAAATACAAAAAAAAAAAAAAAAAAAAAAGAATATGAAGATCTACATTCAGAAGGAAAATGTTGGGTAACTACAGTGAAAGAATACCAAAGGGCAGAGGTTAGCTCTCAGATCATGCAGAATAGGCAAATGTGGTAATTAAAAGTTCTGTAGATTCTGAATAGAATGTACATTTTTAAAAGGGAAAATGAAGTTCACTAGGATAATCTGTACTTGGGAAAATAGGCTATCTAATAAAAACCGGGACAAATACTTGTTTTGATTATTATTATAATCCTTACTTGGCTTAATATTAAGAAGGGTTAAATTATATTAAAAGAACCTCAATGAAGATGGGGAAGAATTACACTGAGAAGATATTATATGCAGTGAAAATGGTTGACAGTGCTTCAGAAATTTCCAGAACAATTGGGTAAGAGTGGTCAGCTTCGTATTTGTCATTTTTGTTATAGATAATTAGTTCAAAGCCAAGAATCTATATTTGAGTTCAAGACTACTTAACAGCTCCAAAGAAAATTCTTCTGCTTATTTTAAAAGCCCACTTTTTGAAATCTGCCACAAGCTCAAAGGAGTTTTACAGAAACCTTAAAGGTACTTGGAAGTCTGAGGGCACTCAGCTTGTAATGAAACATGAGGCTTTGGGGGCCAGGGTGGAGGGAGAGAAGGAAGGGGAGTAGGTTTTGCTTTCACTTTCTTGAGACCACCATTGCCAGAGCTGCCAAACCCCCAAATCCAGAGATGTTATACTGTTCCTAAGGGTCTCATAATAGGCACGGGCTTTGACATTTTCTTTTATTTTAAAGATGCCCTACAACAGGGAAGATATGCATTTGCTAAAGTTTAGTACTTGCCAAAATATGATAGCCTCCTTTTTAACAAATGATGTTTATTAATAGAATTGTCAGTACCTTTAATAATTTCATGGAAGTACAAATTATGTGTGCTTATTTTAAATTCTGGGACTGGTATGTTGTGAAGCAGCCTTAAGATGGAATGCTTTTATTTGGTACATATAAACATAATGTGATCCTTGTGCTTAAGAAGTTTATACACTAGCTGGAGCAACAAGGCTCAAGCACATGAAACATTTTGCATCTCACTTAGCTTTTGAATTAAGTGCTAAAGTGTATGCTGCTGACCAATTCATTTATTCAGCAAATATTAAAGTGCTTATTATTCACTAGGCATTCATGTGTGGGTTTTGAGGTTAAAGGGACAAACAAAATTAAGTTAGTTTTCCTTGCTATAGACAGAGTAAATGCAACTAGCATAAAATCTAGTAGAGGCAGCATAATTACTGGTTAAGAATGACCTGTGTCATGACACATGCCTGGCATTACAATCCCAGCTACTTGGGTGGCTGAGGCAGGAGGATTACTTGAGCCCAGGAATTCGCATCTAGCCTAGGCAATATAGCGAGATGCTGTCTCTAAAAACAAACAAACAAACAAACAAACAAACAAACAAAAAAACCATGTCTGTCGTCTGTTTTGTTCATTTGTGAATCTCCAGCACATGGGACAGGGTCTGGCCAGTGGTAAGCACTCAGTATTAGTTGCTGACTGAATAAATGCTGATAGAAATAGTCCCTGTCCTCTTGGAACTTACAAACTAGTGGTAAGACCAGGTTTTCCCGGATATGTTCATATGTTCTGTGAAATGTTTCCTCTCTCTGTCATATACACATGCACACACACACAAAAACAGACAGATTCAAAGACATACACGGTGCCCTGTGGTCTTGTTGATGGAGTCTGGAACAAAATTTGTGTATCATGCATCCTCTCCATATCCACAAACTTTTCTTCTAACCTTGTCCAACCCAAATCAGTAAGAACTTGAAACACTCACAGGTGGTAGAGTTGAGTTCATATCACTGATTGGGATTTGTTTTTTTGTTTTTGAGAACCAGAGAGACAGTACTGTGTAGTGGTTAAAAGCATCAGCTTTGGAGCCAGAGAGAAATAGGTCCAGGTCCTGGCTTTGCCTTGGATAAATTTCTTAAGACTGCATAAGCCTCAATTACTTTATCTATAAAATGAGGACATTAATAGGACCTGCTTTTCAGTGCTGTCAGGAGTTAGTAAGATTAAAGCATGTATGGCGCATAGTAAAGTACTGTACTCATCCTAACCACTTACTACAAGTTACCAATTATTTATTTTTTTTCATTATTTTCTGTCACCTAGGCTGGAGTGCAGTGGCATGATTTCGGCTTACTGCAGCCTCCACCTCCCGGGTTCAAGCAGTTCTGCTGCTTCAGCCTCCCCAGTAGCTGGGATCACAGGCACTCACCACTACGCCCGGCTAATTTTTGTGTGTGTGTGGTTTTTTGTTTTGTTTTGTTTTGTGTTTTGTTTTTCGAGATGGAGTCTCTCTTTGTTGCCCAGGCTGGAGTGCAGTGGTGCGATCTCAGCTCACTACAAGCTCCGCCTCCGGGGTTCTCACCATTCTCCTGCTTCAGCCTCCTGAGTAGCTGGGACTACAGGTGCCCGCCACCAGGCCCAGCTTATTTTTTGTATTTTTAGTAGGGACAGGGTTTCACCATGTTGGCCAGGCTGGTCTTGAACCCCTGACCTCAAATGATCCACCTATCTTGGCCTCCCAAAGTGCTGGGATTACAGGTATTAGCCATCTCACCTGGCCATAAGTTACTGATAATTCTTATTCCTGAAATGGGAGAAGAATCCTTATTATGTGTGTATGCATGTGTGTGTCTCCTTACTTTTTTCTTATCAAAAAAACAACAGACAATGTGTGTTGGCATAACCAGTAGATTGGCACACATTTGATGAGAATACTGTAGCCACAGTCTAGCTCCCAGGGGAACAGTGCCTTTCAGGGGCAGTGCTGTGCCACTGTCTGCAGAAGTTGGAGTCAGGCCCAGTGTTGTTGAACACACTGAGGAAGCTGGCAGAAGACCCCGAGGTGTAATGGACAGGAGGGAAGCATGTGGGCTGTTCATGACCTTGGAGCTTTTTTACAGGAATCAAGCTTTGCTGTCAGCTCCTGACAGGTTCCTGGTAGTGTCGTCTATCTGAAGATGAACCCCACCTCCACCACCCACACACACAGAAGTCTTGATTGCAGTTCCTGTGTGGGTCCTCTGGGTGTCTTCACACACACAGATTTGTTTATTATTTTAAATGAACTTGGCATTTCTCTGAGGCTGGTTTAATGGTGCCCATTAAAGAGATGGCAGCTCCAGAGTTTCTTCATTGTAGAGCTGGCATTTTACCATGTGAGGAAGTAATTCTGTCTTCCTACCTGTGAGGCTTATTTTCTAAATCTCCAAAACTGGAGTGTTTTTAGTTGCAATGTTAAAGCTGAAATAAATTTTTATGCACTAGTTCCTGTTCACCTAAAAGGGTAAAGAACTTTGCAGATTAGAACTACAGTTGACCTTTTTCTAGTTCTTCCACTTTTTTTTTTTTTTTTTTGAGACAGGATCTTCCTGTGTCACCCAGGCTGAAGTGCAGTGGTGAGATCATAGCTCACTGCAGCCTCTAACTCCTGGGCTCAAGCGATCCTCCCACCTCAGTCTCCTGAGTAGCTGGAACCACAGGTATGTGTCACCATGCCCAGCTAAGTTTCATATTTTTTGTAAGAAACGGTTTCGCCATGTTGCCTAGGCTCTTTTCGAACCCCTGGGTTCAAGTGATCCTCGCATCTCGACCTCCCAAAGTGCTAGGATTACAGGCGTGAGCCGTCACACCTGGCCTTCTCCACTTCTTTCTATGTCCCCTAATCATGTTGATTCTGGTACCAAGATAAAGAAGACCCTAGTGTGGAGAGATACAATGCATTTTTGAGTTGGGTTAAATTGATTAAATGACTTACTTGATGGTATTGATAAACTCTAAGGCAGAGATTCTCACACTTGGCTGCACATTAGAATCTCTTTCAAAAATCCAGGTGCCTCAGGCCTACTCCAGACTAATTAAGTCAAAATCTCTGAGGGTGAGACTCAGGTATCAGTATTTTTAAAACCTCCTCAGATGCTTCCAACATGTAGCCAATTTAAGAACCAGTGCTCGAGAACATGGCTCTCAACTGGGGGCAGTTTTGCCCTGCCCGCAAGAGACATTTGGTAATATCCAAAGACAATTTTAGCAAACTGGGAGGGGTTTGCTGCTGGTATCTAGTGGGTAGAAGACAGAGATGCTTCAAAGCATCCCACAATGCACCCAAAAGCTCCCCATAACAATTATGTGGGCCAAAATATCAGTAGAACCAAGGCTGAGAAACAATGTTCTAGAAAAATCAGGCTGAAGAAATGCCAGAGCAATGTATATGCCTGTTGTGAGGAAATAATAGCATGTAGAACTTTACATTTTTAGCCACCCGGCAAGATAATAAAAAGGAAGTAGTTTTGCCTCTGCCCTTTGAGCCTCTTCTGCGTCTGCCATCATGGAGGCCTGTCCTTGTGGCTGGTGCACCTCCTGGTTCCGATTTCTTGGGTAGGACTTCTTCCTGTAGTCCATAAATTTATTGTACTTGAATGGCTTGGAAGAAGACCCAAGTTAAGAACATTAAACCAATAGAAATTAGCCAAAATAAATAATTTTTAAATATGCTTTTAAATTGTTTGGCCTGATATAAAGTTTTCTAAAATTACAGAATGAACCATTTGAAAGTGATTATATAAGAAATTATATAAGAAATCTGATTCTATGTGCTGTAGAGACTTTTTATTCTTTCTTCCTTTTGATTAGATAAGGGGAGGCTAAGAAAGGCATTTTTTAATTGTATCAAAATCAGTTTTCTTTAATTTTGAGATATTCAGGATGCTTTCATAGCAGGTTATATTGACCTATATTTATCATCAAATATTTACCTTATATGATAATAATAATAATAATTATTATTATTATTATTTGAGATGGAGTCTCACTCTCTTGCCCAGGCTGGAGTGCAGTGGCGCGATTTCGGCTCACTGCAACCTCCACCTCCCAGGTTCAAATGATTCTCCTGCGTCAGCCTCCCAAGTAGCTGGGATTATAGGCATAGGCCACCATGCTGGCTAATTTTTTAATTTTCGTAGAGACGGGGGTTTCACCATGTTGGCCAGGCTGGTCTTGAACTCCTGACCTCAAGTAATCTGCCCGCCTTGGCTCCCAAAGTGCTGGGATTACAGGCGTGAGCTCCTGCACCCAGCCCTACCTTATATAGTTGATATCATGATCTTTATTTCCTTTGGACACATCCACTTTTCCAGAGTGTGGGACACATAAAAGATCTTCGTCATAAATAAGTTGTGTTTTTTTCTTGTATGCAGTTGTCAAATTTAGTCTTTAATCAAGGTGGTGAATTTAATTGACTTACCACCTTGATTAATTATATTAATTAATTATAGTCAAACATTAATTATAGTCAAACTGTTTTCTTCCCCAAAACTGATCAAAGTAGTCACAGCTCTTGAAATGCTCTGAATTCATTGATCTTTTGCAGGTGATTGATTGACACTTCTTTTTTTTTTTCAGTTTGTCCCTTTAAACGGGGATTTCAAGTGGTACCTTTAGTGCTCTATATCAGCCTTTTGTTCTAGAATGGATTTCTTTTTGAGACAGGTCTCCCTCTGTTAGCCAGGCTGGAGTCTGGAGTGCAGTAATGTGATCACAGCTCACTGCAGCCTTGACCTCCTGGGCTCCAGCAATCCTCCCACGTCAGCTTCCTGTGTCGCTGGGACTATATGCATGTGCCATCATGCTTGGCTAATTTTTTTTATTTTTTATTTTTGTAGAGACGGGGTTCCCCTATGTTGCCCAGGCTGGTCTTGAACTCCTTGACTCAAGTGAACCTCGTGCTTCAGTCTCCCAAAATGCTGAGATTACAGACATGAGCCACTGTGCCTAGCCTAGAACTAAATTGATGTACATATGAATCTGGAGTGATACCTGTTATAGTTTTTCAGTTTTTTTTCTTCCTCCCCCCGCATCCTCCTGCCCCCTCCCCTCTCCTGTCCCTCTTCCTGCCCCTCCTCCCCTTCCTCCTCACCATCTCATGAACCCTTGACTCCAGCGTAATGCAGTTTATTAATTCAGAAAACATTTCAGAACCTACCATGTGCATTTTGCATTAATTACTATACTGGTTTTAAAAATTGTTTTAGCCTATTATAGGGTTATTTGAGACACTAAGCCAGTACTCTTACGTGTTTGGGTCCCTTTCACTTCCAGTGGTTGGAATGTTTTAAAATAAGACTAGAAGAATAACAGCTCATATGATATTTGGCATGAATACTCCTTCAGTTTTGGAACAACATACCTGTTTCTTCATTGAATATTAGCAGTGACTCCATAATTCAAGGGATACTTTAATTGTAGTCTAATCCTGGCTTTTGTAACTGTGCTTTTAACTTAATTTATAATTGCATTAAAAGTATTCTTGGCCAGGTGTGGTGGCTGACACCTATAATTCCAGCACTTTGGGAGGTGAAGGCGGGAGAGTCACTTGAACCCAGGAGTTCAAGGCTGCAGTGAGCTGTGATGGCACTACTACACTTCAGCCTGGGCAATGAAGTGAGACCCTGTCCCTGAAATAAGATAAGATGAAATAAAATAATCCGTTTGGATATGTAAACATTTAGGTTTTTCTTCTGGCTTTGGAGTTTGTATTCCAACATGAGGTTTCGAGAAAATAATCAGTTAATACTGTAGAGACCCTTTCCTAAAAACTTGATTTAATGAGAACATTCCAACGTGTGCTTAATAACACGGCAGCTGTTGATGGTCAAATTTTCTCCTATCTGAGAGTCTGAGTGAATGTGCATATGTTGAGTGTGTGGTGTGTATGCGTACACACATGTTGTGGGAGAGTTCTCTGCTAGAATTGGGGAACAAGATGGAGAGAGAGATAATTAAATGAGTGCTTAAGGATTGAGTGGATTAAGTCCAACTAGCCTGGAACCTCTCTGGTTTCTTGGTAACCAGGATTATTATGGGTTATTTCTATGTATATTGGTGCACCTTTTATTCTATTATGCTTGACAGTACCTTCTTTATGTTAAAGAACGCCGAGGTGGATTTGTAGCCCATGTCTAGATATTTTCTAGAATAGAATCTGTTTGTCCATACATGTGAAAAGAACTGGCTTGGTTTAGGAAGTACATAATTAACAAGGTGGGACAGGAGTTACTAGTTTTCGTTTGTTTGAAAGATGTGAAAGAGGGATTAGACATGTTCTGTGTATCCCGAAGGCACAGCACCAGAACCAGTGGATTGAAGCACAGGAAAACAGATTTCTGTTCAGTTCAAGGAGTGTCCGAAGAGATCATGAACCATGGGTTGGTGGTGGGGTGGATGGAGTGTAGAAATTGCCTTTCAGTGGAGGTTGTCAAGACGACTACTGGGAGGGGACACAGGGGATTCAAGTAGTGGACTGGGAGTAGACATTGGACTAGATGATTTTTAAGGTTGATTTCAATCTAGCGACTGTGATTTTTAGGACATATTACATCTCCCGGAAAATGAAAAATGAAGATACATCTGGCAGTTGGGGAATTTCAGATTCATTGGTTCAGGGTCCCTAAAGGCTTTTTCTCTCCAACTTCTTCAAGTCCTCCTGCAATTATATTCTTTCTCTTGCACATCAATTTCTTTCCAGTTATGGAAACATCCCTATCACCATCAGAACATGCCTTTTTATCACCCTTCTTAAAAAACAAGTTAAAGAAATTTCTCTATTCAATGTAGCCTTCCAGCTCTATGGCACTTCTCTCCTGCCCATTCTGGCAGAACTGCTAGAAGACTTGTCTCCTGGGGTGTGTACAATCTCCCCTTCCTGCTGCCCCTCCCCACTCCACTACTCCTCAAAAACCCTTTCTGTTAAGGTCACCAAAGACCTCCATTTTAACAAATCCCATGGCCTGTTCTAGTCCTCATCTTTTTCAGTCTCTCAGTAGTAGTTGGCATCATCCATCCCGGCCCCCTTCTTTTTCTTTTTGTAGTATGACCTTGTAACCACCCCCACCCCCTCACTTCCCTTTGAAGCACTGTCCTGACTTGACTTCCAGGGCATCACATCCCCTTTTTTTCTCCTACCTGAATAACTGTTCTCTCCAAGGGCCTCTACAGATGGAATTGCCCCAGGGCTTAGTCCTTGACTTTCTTCTTCATACTACACTGTCTCTAGGGTTCTTAACCTGCTAAAAAAAAAACAAAAAACGAAAAACAAAAAACTAAAAAAGACTAGACTTGGCTGGGCACGGTGGCTCATGCCTGTAATCCCAACACTCCGGGAGGCCGAGGTGGGCGGATCACAAGGTCAGGAGATTGAGGCCATCCTGTTTAACACGGTGAAACCCCGTCTCTACTAAAAACACAAAAAAACTAGGCGGGCGTGGTGGCCGGTGCCTGTAGTCCCAGCTACTCAGGAGGCTGAGGCAGGAGAATGGTGTGCACCCGGGAGGCGGAGCTTGCAGTGAGCCGAGATCGAGCCACTGCACTCCAGCCTGGGCAACACCGTGAGACTCCATCTCAAAAAAAAGACTAGACTTGGATACCAAGTCTAGTTAATTGAGAACCTTTGGGGAAGACTTGTGGGCATCAGTTTTTGTTTTGTTTTGGTTTGAATTGGTTTTTTTTGTTCATATTTTGTTACTGGGTATACCAGCATACAGCCAAGATTGAGAATCTGGATGATTTCTAGTCCTGGAGGATAAATACAATACTAATAACTTCCAAATTAATGTATTTAACACATTTTTCCCAAACTCCAGATGTGATTATTCTGTTGTCTGTTTTACATTTCCACTAGAAATAGGCATCTTGATTGCATGCCCTTTACCCCACACTGGCTCCTTCCTGGGTTTGCCTTTCGTGCATGCAGCTCTCAGGCCACAAGCCCAGGAGGCATCCTGATTCCTCTGTTCACTCATCACACAGCTCACCTGGCAGCAAGTTCTTTCCACTTGCCCTAGCAAATACGCACATCCTAAATCTCACTGCTTCTCCCACCATCACTTCTCTTCTGGGTAGCCTCAGAAGCCTCCTAACTCCCCTGTGCTCTTGCACTGTCACTCTCAGACAGTCCTTGTGCAATGAGAATGGTCTTATCGCTGATCACAGTCATTCCCTTGCTCCAACCCCCCACGGCTTTCCATTCCAACGGACAAACTCCCCACTCCTTACCAGGAGCTACAGGCTCCCCTTCATGTGGCCTCTGCCCAATTCTGCTACCTAATTTCCTCCCACTCCCTCCTTCCCTGCCTCAGTCAGGCCACACTGACCACCATGCTGTTCCTCAAACTTCCCAAGCTCTTTCCTCCTACTTCAGAGCCTTTGCACACACCCCTCCCTCTGCCTGGAAGCCCCTTCCCTATAGATTGTTCCTTGGCTCTCTCTCTAATTTTTCTCAGGTTTCTGCTCAGATGTTACCCCAGGAGAAAGCCTATCCAAAATGCTCCTCTCTCCCACCCACTCTCTAGCCCCTGCCTCTGGTTTGTTTTTTCCCTCCACAGCGTTTATCTCCACTCAAAATCCTGTTTTTCCAGCTATTTTGTTAGAACTTTTGTCACTGCTCTATCCCCAGCACCATCAGCAGTGCTCACACGCAGTAAATGACCTATACATACTTGTGGCTGAATGATGAAGTGCTACTCCTTGAGGAGTGGTCCCAGGACCTTGGCCCCTTTTCCAGCCTCTGAGCAGACCATGCTGGCTATGGCCAGGATCTCCTGCTAAGTTTATCTCAGAACCTGCTCTCTTCTTGCTGCCTCCCATTTGGCCCCCTGCTGTTTACCAATAACTCCAGAAATACACAGGCGTGGAGAAGTTGAGCAGCCTCTGGCATTTTAATGCTAGGTGGGGACCTTTCACTTCTCTTCCTGACCATTCCAAACGAGTCCATGCTGCTCCCATTTCTGTAGACAGACTGGTCCTCCATAATCCACTTTCCTGATTTTCCTCCCCGTTTTCTCTGTGCCCCTCCTTGGTCTTCTTTGCAGGCTTCTTCCTCTTTGTCCAATATCAAAACGTTGGTATTTCTTAGGCTCCACCTGGATTCTCTGCCCTTCTTATTCGACTCTCTCCCTGGTGATCCCGCCCATTTCTAGGGTTTCAGATTCTCTACATGCCGGTGCCTCCCAAACTTACATTCCAGGCCCAAGCTCTTGTCTAAGTTCTAGACCTGGGTGTCTAGCTAGAAAATGTTCTTTGATGTCTCATAGGCAACTCAAATTTGATGTGAAGAAAGCTGAACTTGCCTTCTCTTTCACTTTTCCCCTTAGTCAATGACCCAGGTAACTATCTCGAAACTTGGAAGGCTGCTGCTTCTGGCCTTACCCCTATGCCCAATCAGTTGTCAGTATAGTCAGTTCTCCCGTGAATAGCTGTACACTCTATATACTGCCTGTCACTGTGCACTGCCACCAACTAAGACCAAGCCACTGCTGCCATCTCTTTCCTAGGTTACTTAAAGGGCAGTTGCACCCCCTACACTTTCTCCAGTCTAACATCCTATGCTGCTATTGGCCTCATAAAATGTCCATCTGATTGCATCATCCTTTGCTTAAAATGCCTCATTAGAGTTTTGATAAAATCTAAACTTTTTAACAGGGCTTATAAGATCCTTAATAACCTGTTCCCAAGCTGGCTGCATTTCTTGGAGTTTCTCGGAAATATCTGCCTCCCTCAAGCACATTCCCACCCCACCCTGCATACATACACATCTCTGGCCACTTGTTTGTCATTTACCCTAGAGTCTAACATAGGGCACAGTAAGGCCTCAATAAATATTTGTTAAATAAAGGTAGGAAGGCAGTGGTCCTGGATTTTAATTGTATGTCCTCACATTTTAATTTAATTTACCTTAAAAATGTAAATGATTCCAGAGTCAAAAGTTGCTGTTTTGTTTTATAGTGCTCTGTATGTTTCCCTCCACTCTGTAGTTTCCAGAGGGTTATTAAAAATGGACTAAAAGAAGCATGTGGGCTTCTGTTAGCAAATCAGTTGTAATCTGTGTTCTTTGGCTGAGTGCTGAGCTTAGGAGGCTGCCAGATGGGGACACAGGAACCAAATCATCTTTGCTTCCCAGTGGGGAACAGGGGCATAAATTGGCTGAATGGGCTTCTGCAGTAAAACTCCTTCAATTTGAGCTTGTGTAAGCCAGGATCAAAATACCTGAGACTTGTTGAGACTTGTCTAGAATGTTTGTTAAACTTTCAAACCTGTTTGGGAAGAAGGCTTGGAACAACAGTGGGTTTGGGTCTTGTGAAGTAAATCTTATTTAAAGGAAATAGACAAAAGCTTAATCATGTTTAATTTGTAACATTATAGGTAAGACTGTTGGTTGCTGTTGTAATGACTCTAAAAAAGAATAGAGAATATTTTTTTCCTTAGAAGTTCCAGGTTCAATGATGAAACCCCATCTCTACCAAAAATTCAAAAATTAGCCAGGTGTGTTGGCCAGTGTCTATAATCCCAGCTACTCGAGAGGCTGAGGCAGGAAAATCACCTGAACCCAGGAGGTGGAGGCTGCAGTGAGCCGAGATCGCGCCACTGCACTCCAGCCTGAGCCACAAAGCAAGACGCCATCTCAAAAAAAAAAAAAAAAAAAAAAAAAAAAAAAAAAAAAAAAGAAGAAGTTCCAAGTTCAACATTCCCAACTTCCCCCTCGGGGCTGGGAGCTCCTGGGTGAGGTTTCTAAGTCTCCATCCTCTCAGAACTCCTATCTTTAACTTCTTCGTGCATGGATCAGAGGGGCCTCCAGTCACTGCTGAGTCACAGGGATAAGCAAAAAGGGAATGACACACTTCCTGCCCCAAGTTCTAGGGAGTTTTTATGGTTTGTTTTTCTGTTTCGCTTTGAAAATTCCCTGAAAAGACAGAAGATTGCCCCAGCCGCCTCCTGATTGGCAGCCTCTATTTATTTATATGATTTCATGGGATATCCTCTCTGCTATGCCTTGTAACTCACAGGGTTTTTGAAACCTTTTTTCCTTATCACAGCAGTATTACATGTTTGTGTAGTGTATTTATCAACTACAATTTGACCAATAAAAAAAAAAGAGGCACTCCTTATTGTCACTACCCAGAAAAAAATATATTGTGCATATCATCATTCCAGGCGCTTTTCTGTGTGCTTATAGTTTTCTCTTTAAAAATTATATATGGCTTAATATAATTTCTTTGCTTTTATATATTGTTTTGTAGCCTTTGTGAAGAGTTCTCATGTTATTAATACTCTGCAAGATCGGTTTTAAAGATTGCATTACTGGCCAGCCGCAGTGGCTCACACCTGTAATCCTAGCCCTTTGGGAGGCTGAGGCAGGAGAATTGCTTGAGGCCAATGGTTCAAGACCAACTTGGCCAACATAGCAAGACCCTGTCTCTTAAAAAATAAAAAATAAAAAAAAAAAGACTGCATTACATGCCATATATGGATGTGCCATAATTTACTTAATCAGTCCCCATGTGGATAGTTAGGCTCTAAAAGTTTTCATATGGGGTCATTGTCATAACCCCGCGCAGTTTCCTTGCACTTGTCCACACTTCTGTCTATTTCATGGGATGTATTCCTGTAAGTGGTTCAAAGGGCCTGTGGAGTTTTAAGGTTTTTGATCTTTATTGTCACTTTGCCTTCCAGATGTTTGTCCTGTTTTACATTCCTGTCATATAATATAAACTCCTTACCATGTCCTATATGGTCTACATATTCTGGCCTTTGCCTAACTCCCAGCTGCTCTATTTTATTTAATTACTTAATTTGTTTATTTATTTATTTATTTTTGAGACGGAGTCTCACTCTGTCGCCCAGGCTGGAGTGTAGTGGTGCGATCTCAGCTCACTGCAAGCTCTGCCTCCCGGGCTCACGCCATTCTCCTGCCTCAGCCTCCCGAGTAGCTGGGACTACAGGCGTCCGCCACCATACCCGGCTAATTTTTTTTGTATTTTAGTAGAGATGGGGTTTCACCATGTTAGCCAGGATGGTCTTGATCTCCTGACCTCGTGATCCGCCGGCCTCGGCCTCCCATAGTGCTGGGATTACAGGCGTGAGCCACCGTGCCTGGCCTCCCAGCTGCTTCTTACAGCTTTCCTCCCCTTGCTTCCGTCACTGTAGCCACACCAGCCCCTGTCCCCTCCTTCCCCTGAAGCATGCCTGGCTTGTCCTGTCTCGGGCTGTAGCACTTGCTCTTTCTGCTGCCCAGACCATTATTCCTGTGGCTTTCAGCATATACCTCCAATGCCACTTCTGCTAGAGTGGTCTCCGTCAGAACCTCCTGTTTATTTTTGCCCTAGCACCTTTCACAATCCGTCCTTCATTTATGTATGTGCTTACTGGTCTGCTGCCGCTTTTTCCCACTGAATGTCAGTTTTGTAACACAGGCAACCCCTTATGTTTCATTTCCCATGTCCCCAGCATCTAAGTCAATGCCTACCATTCAGTAGGTACTAGGTAAATGCAGGTGGATTCATTCATGCTGAATGAATGAAGAAATCACCCTGTCGTTTAGGAATGTGTGGTGTAATAGGGCTGATGAGGTGTGTATAGTGATGGTTACCTCTTGGAGCCAAACATGGCTATCTCTTGGAGCAAAATGTGGGAAATGCTGTAAGTGTCCAAATATCACGGAGATGCAGGAGTGGGAGCAGTGACTGGCTACAGTGTCATGAAAGGCTCCATCTGAGCTGAGCCTTGGGAGACTGGCAGTGTTTTGCAGCTGGTGATGATGGAAAGAATCCGAGGGGCTGAGGAAAGCAGGTGAGCAGAGGCCCAGAGGCAAAACAGTGAAGCACGGTGGGGGCAGGACTGGGGACTGCTTTAAGTCCTATGTTGACTCATGGACTCAGACCCCTGAGCAGCAGGGAAGCATTGCGTGCTCCTCATCAGAGGGTAACATGGTGAGAGAGGATATGGAAGTGCTTTTTAAACTTAATTCTAGGTACACATGGCAGTGTTAAGGGTGATCGGGCTGTGCTTTGAGAAAATGTATCATGAGGACAACTAAGTAAGAAGCACAGGAAGTTCAGGCCAGAGGATGAGCCTGAAGGAGGTTGGGGTGATGGGGCTGGAAATGAAGAGAAAGCAGAGGAGTGTTTTGAAGGTGAGGAAGAGGGAGAGTGGGACCCACGATGACACTGAGCCAGAGAGTTTTAGTTTGAATGACTGATGGGAAGATGAGATATGGAGCCCTAGAAGAGAAGCTGTTTGGAAGTAAGAACATTTATGAATTTAGTTTTGACCCATCCCTTTACTGAATTAGTGAGCCTCTTCCAGATTAAACCAGCCCGTGTGCCCTCCATTGTCCTGAAGGGGCTTGGGTGACAAGAAGATAGAGGAGACAGAAGTATATACCACAGGATAGGGGCTCGGGCTCCCATGGCCTCTTCCTCCTCTGTAAGAAAAGGACTGCATTTGTGGAAAGGGGAAATGAGGCTCCAACTCCTTTCCAGGAGATGAGATGTTGTTTCCTGGAAATGTCTGTTCCCAGACCCCCATTGGGAATGATTTGCTGCCAGCCCTGTCGTTGAGTAAATTTCTTCATTTTGTTAGGCTGAGGCGGATGGGGGCGGATGTGTGTTGACTGTGGAGTACATGAACATGTGGGCTCAGGGTACAGATGGGAAGAGGCCCAGAACTGGGTGACACATCATATTTTCCCCACAAACATTCAAAAATGATGTGTGCTTTTCTTAGGGGAAAAAATCAAAAGGAAAATACTCAAGACGTTATAATTCTGATTGCTCTCTAAATTGGAAAAGGTTTTATTGTTTTGGGTTTTTTTGTTTGTTTGTTTTTTGAGACAGAGTCTCGCTCTGTTACCCAGGCTAGAGTGCAGTGGCGCGATCTCTGCTCACTGCAACCTCTGCCTCCTGGGCTCAAGCGATTCTCCTGCCTTAGTCTCCCAAGTAGCTGGGACCACAGGTGCCCACTACCACGCCTGGCTAATTTTTGTATTTTTAGTAGATACGGGGTTTCACCATGTTGGCCAGGCTGGTCTCGAACTCCTGACCTCAGGTGATCCGCCTGCCTCAGCCTCCCAAAGTGCTGGGATTACACGTGTGAGCCACCGTGCCCGGCCGCGTTATCTTAAGCTTTACAGCAACCCTAGGAAGGAGGTTATTATTATATTCACTTTACAAATGAAGTGACTGAGGCACAGAGAAATTAAGTTACTATTTCAAGGTCATATAGTAAGTGGCAGAGATTAACTTGAACTCAGATATGTCCAACTCTAAGCTGTTACATTATAATACATGAGCTTAAGAAAAGAAGCTTCTGCTTGAAAGTATGGGAAGATCTAATAATGTCTAGCTAAGTGAAGTAAGATGAAAGAAAAGAAAGGGACCAGGTCTCCCTGCAGGGAAGAAACAGACCATAAGGAAGATCAACCCAGCTGGGCTTGAAATGGCTTCCAGGGAAGAACCTCAGCAGTTTATAAACATTTTAAAATATAATCTAAAATGACAATATACTTACATTGTTCAAAAGTCAGAATGTAAATTTATAGAGCAGAAACGCTCTTATCTTTGCCACCCACTGCAGTTCTGACCCTCAACCCTTGCCCTTGTTTCCAAGAGACAACTCGGCCTCCCAAAGTGCTGGGATTACAGGCATGAGCCACTGTGTCCAGCCTGGAAAAGTTTTTGAAACTTACTTCGCAAAAAAAATTTGGTTTGAAAATAGCCACATGGGTAAAACTACATAATGAGAAAGCTCTCTGTCCTCTAGAGAGGGAATGGAGAATAGAAGTGCTTGGCTAGCATTCTCTGGATTGTTGTCTTTTCAAGAAACCACCTTCTGCTACCTTAAAAACAAAAGGAGGTTTAACAGAATGCAAATGGAAGTGAGAATGGGAGACACACAGATGAGAAGACAGCAGAACTTGGTGAGTAAGTGACCACCCAAACCAAGGGAGGAATCAGTGATGACTGAGTGACAAGGTTGTGAAGGGAGCCAGAGAGGTTAAAACAGAGAGAAAAAAATAACAGGTTGGTGATGGAGGGAGGATGAGAAATTTAACTTGGGAAATATCATATGTTCCCTTATTAGCCAGAATTTCTAGAAATTTACAGAGAAACTTACCTTACAATTGGATAGTTTTTCTTGGCAAATTGAGAGTTTAATTAGTTTAGTATTTTATTACGAGGGATCATGTTCAGTTTTACATGAGGTTTTGCAATGGAAGAATGCTATAAAATGTCAGGCCTCTGTTTATATTCAGTTCAGTAGAGAATAAACCACATTCAAGTGCCAGCATATTTATTGCAGCCAGCACTCGGTGTTTCTTTGCTTTCTAAATGCTGATTTAGTGTTTTCATTGGTGCTGCAAGTGTGAAGAGAGACTTGAGCATGAATCATAGGAAGACAGACGTAGATGCTCATTCTGCAGGCCTAGGACCCAGCGAGTGCCGCAGCTGTGCTGCTCACAGCTAGTGGTGGGATTCTGGGCGTGCCTTTCAGCCTCCTTGGATGGCCCTGTTTTCCTCGCTTGTGAAATGAGGTTAGATGGTATCAGCGGTCTTGCCAACACCCAAGTTATCTGATTCTAAGAGAAATTAGAAGATAGTCTTCTTTTTTTGCTTCTAACAACATTTTTACACAATTTATACTTAAAACATAGAAACAAGTACTACATGATAAAAAGGCCTACCTTCCCACACTTACCTTTTGTGCAACCCATTTGGGCAGGCAACGTGAATGGCAGCTGTGGTGATGACAGACCTGAGCAGTCTCTGCCCCTGTGCTGGCCCTCAGCAGCAGCTGTTCACACTGCTTAACTCACTACTCTACCTGGCCTTGTGAGGTCTTTTGCCTTTCTGTTAAATAGAAAGGTGTTCTTCCTATTTTCCACACAGTTTGCTTTTTGTGCTTTCTGTCTGGTGAATCATGGATGCTTTTGCGATATGATATGAAGAGAAAAAAGCCAGCAGATGTAGGCTCATATCCCAGCATTCTGCTGAACAGATATGTTAACTTTATGGAGCTGGGTTTCCACACCTGTAATCCGAGGATAATGACGCCCACCTCCCAGGGTTTTGGCGAGGAGTGAGTGGACCACAGTGAGAGCACCATGCACACTGTGGACATCTCCAGGTGCTTAGCAGCAGGATTTCCCCAGCCTTGTCTAGACATGGACCATGCAAGTCCATGTCCAGACAAGGTTTGGGGAAATCCTGTGCTGTGCAAGGCCTCCTTTATGTGAGAAGTGAGTCTGACCATCCGCCGTCTCTGTTAGGCCATCTGGAAAACGCTTCTGAGCATATTGTTTATCTCAGTCCCTGAGTCTCCTGGAATAATTCCTTCTCAGCCTGCCTTCCTCCCTGCTTCACCAATGACTCTTTCCTCTTTGAAGAAGAGGAGAGAGACAAAGAGGAGTAAGTTGAATAGAGGAGGGGGAAGCTATAATTAGCGCCATGGTTTAGGCACGCCATTGAAAGAGTTAGCATGGGCAGGATTCAGCATACGAGGAGGGTACAGAGAGGACTGATGGGAAGAGAGGAAGGTTGAACAGAAAGAAAATGAAATTAATCTTGGCAGCCATGGCATTAAGCACTAGGGATTAGGGAACGTCCTGGGAATGCCAAAGCATAAAGGCCAAGGTGTTTTGTAGACATTTCCAGTTCTGTCTGAGGCTGTAGAATTAGATGAAATAAACAAATGAAAGTATCTTTTTATGCAGACACAAATGTCATCACTCTTTTGATGATTTTGTTGAATGTGCTTCTGATAAGGATGTGGGTAGCTATAAAGGAAATATTTTTCTTGGGGTATGTGATAAGCAGTTGATGAAACTAGGCCAGCGAGAGCATGTGTGTCTAGAGATTGTTCTGGGAGGGTAGGGGTTAGGCCTCATGGCCTCTCCTCTCAGCCCTGTCCTATTGTGCAGGGTCCTGCTGAATATGCTGCTTAACCTCTCTGCTCTGACACTCGCTTTGGAAACTGGGATTGCCACCCACTTTCGCAGGGTGTGGGGAGAGTGAAATGATGTAAGTGATAGTCTCTTGCTCTGAGATGCCGAGATAACGTGGAGTACACACACACGGAAGGGAAGGATCTCATTTTCTCATGGCCACCATCATGTGTTTGCAGAGAGATAGAGAAGAAGTACCAGATAAGGTGGCCGCAGACTTCCCTAATGACAGCTTATTTGGTATTACTGTGACACTCCAGGCTACCTCCATGACTGCCAATGCCAGTTGCACTCTCAGGGGCTGGGGGTTAGGGGTTAGGGTACAGATTAGCCCTGCGCTTCTGCTGCAGAGTTGTGCCCACCAAGAAAAAGGCCAAGAGCCAACTATATTCCTGAGCACAAATTGCTTTCACGAAGCTAGGCCTGGACAGATTCTTCAGCCACTAGGCCACCAGGCAGGGCTCCTAGGGCTGGAAGTCCTGGCTGCCTCCACTCTCCTCCTTGCCTTGAAGCATGGGTGATGCATCCACATTGGGCAATCATCACAATGTTGATCCCTGAACCTACCTAGAGTGTCTTAATTCACAAGTCCTAGGGAAGCATGGAAGTGCTGTGCATAGTCATATCTACAAAGAGATATTAGCTTTTTTTTTTTTTTTTAAACATAAGGCTATTCTGTAAGGTTTGACTGCTTCACAAATACTTACTTGAGAATCTCCCTGCTCTCTAGCCTATGTCTGTGATGACTCTTCTTTGTTCCCAAATCAAGTAGGATAAGCAGGATGCTAACTGCTGGGACTGGTTTAAACAGCACACTTTGAATAGATCCGGGGATATCTTGGGCATTCTAGTCTCAAGTGAGAGAAAAGGAGTGTCTTAGGGAAATGTCTGTGCAGATGCTTTGCTTTTTGTTCTCCTGTTTTTGGAGAGCTCTCTCCAAAACCAGGAGTTTCCTGCTGGGTGTAGAGGTGCCCACTGGATACATGAGGCTACCATGTCCTCTGCCCTTGCCTGGTGTTGGGACCTTGCTGGTGCCTCCCCGACTGGGCCTGGAGCATGTGTAAGGGCCCTGATGCCATGAAGGCAGTTGTTTTCACATAGGACTGCAGGATTCTTCCTCCAGCCTTGTCTTCCTGCAGCCTCACTGCACTGCCCCATCCTCCCCTAGCAGAACTGGAAAGAGTGGTTCCTAGTGACCACCTAGCCATGCAGCCACCACTGAGGTCACATTTTAGGGAAATGTGAGAGGCCTGTTCCACTGTTTAGATGCAGTATTTCTGCTCTTTGTAGCTTACCCTTGGAATTGCCAGTGAGTCACAGCCTGCGAAGTCCTTGTGATTTAGGGTCCTGCACTTCCAGGAAGAGCTTTCTCTTGACATCTTCTTTGACCCTTAGTCCCTGATGTTTTCATGGCATGAAGGGCCAGTCAGAATTTGGGGAGATAACACAAAAGAACACAAAAATATGGTTTCTAAGGTATAAGTGTCATATCGCTATGAGTTAGTCACATGATAATGTAGGCCAAAGAAAATAAGAAATACAGAGATATGTTTGTAAATTGATGTTGATTTGGTATCTCTTTTGGCCTCCTTCCCAAATTAGTATTGGGCATTTGATTTTAATTTAGGTCAATAATAATGCTCATTACTGCTTGAGAACTCTATGTGCATCAGGCAATATGTTATTTGCTTCACGTGGTTCTCGTTAAATCTTAATAGCAATTCTGTGACATTGATGATGTTATTCTCATCTTACGGAAGTGCAAAATTATTCAGGGGTGTTAAATAACTTGCACGTATACACAACCAGAAGGTGGCATAAATAGACTCTGAACCAGACCTTGGAGAGTTTGTCCATCACCTTCCACTTTTTTTGCTAGGTGCTTGGTAGTTTCAAGGTAGAGTGTTATTGCTACAGAGTATAGAAATAAAATCAAGAAGCTTACCATGTAGGGAGAGTAAGATAGATAAACAACTGAAGATAATATAAGGACAGCTGTGATAGATACCAAAAAGTGTTACCAAGAAAGGTCAACCAAGGTGCAGTAGGGGCTAAAGGAAGAGATTGAGATCATACATACCTAATAGGGATCACCAAAGAAAAGCCTTCTTAGAAGTGGTACACTTGAATCTTACTTGGGGGAGTGGATAAGGAAAGATTTGTGGGTGGCAATGACTGCCAAATGCCCACGTAAATAAACAGGCTCCTAAAGAAACTATTAGATTGTATAAATGCATGTATGTGTATGTGTACATGTGTGTATTGTGTATGCCTGGATACACTCACACTTACATTCATTATGAAAACCTTATATACTCTTCCAAAGCAAAAGGCTGATGATTTTAAGTAGCAACATTGTCCAAACTCTATTCTTAGTTCTCCTGAGAACAGAAACACCTCTGAGCAATACGTATTATTAATAGACGTTCATGTTTATACAGGTAGGAATGAGGTGTTTTTTT
Organism: Homo sapiens; assembly: GCF_000001405.40. NCBI lineage: Eukaryota > Metazoa > Chordata > Mammalia > Primates > Hominidae > Homo > Homo sapiens. The sequence goes on from NC_000005.10 coordinate 119,333,053, forward strand.
TATTTTCTTTTTTTCAGGCATCTGTGAATGGGGCCTCTCCCTTTTTTTTAGTTTTTTTTTTTTTCTAAGTATCTGTTTCTATTTTCTAGCATGTTGAAACGTTAGACTTCCTGTTTCTGCTTGATTTTGAATATACTCCTGTTTGCTTGTCACAGGTAATCTTGCATTTCTATGTAGTTGTAGTTTACAGGGAGCAAGTGCAGGCAGCAACCAGTCCATCCCTGTTGTGAATGTGGAGACCTCTCTGGACTCACAATTAAAGGCTACCTAATGCATTCCACTACAAGTGACGAAACCTAGCTCCCAGAATAACAAGCAAGACAACTTTCAAAGTGACTGTAGTTGACCAGTGCCTTCTGTGCATTTATGTGGTAAGCTTATGGTAGATTTTTCAAAAGAATAGTATAAATTATTTTGAATTATTCTTGAGAAGGACTGAGTCTCCCCGAGGGTGATGCAGGTTCCATAGTGTACACGTCAACAGGGTGGTTGCATGCATTCCTCAAGTCTGTATGACTCTACCAAGATACTGTGAAGTTGTCCTTCTGATTGCACACGGGGAGAAAATGCTGAAACTAGGTGAGTTAAAACGGCCTTCAGAATATGTTTAGATATAATGTCTTTGTTGAAATCTGGTAAAATGTTCAGATGACTAACATAGTATTGCTGTCTTCAAGGAAATAATGTTTGGTCGTGGCTTTAGAGCTACTGTGTTCAACAAATCACTGTTTTGTTTTGTTTTGCTATGGCTCTGGGTGTGGGGAACCAGTGTTAAGCAGGGAGAGGTATGAGTATTGTGGGTGGAAAAATGACATTTAAAGTTTGCATGTAGACAGTTTCATTTGTAAACAGATAAAGATTTGAAATGTTTCAGAGATGGGACTCTGAAAAGATTGGATGGCTTTTTCACTCAGAGTTTCTCTTTTACATTTTCCATGCGTTTATTAACTGTAGGACACCTCTGGTTCCCAGTGGTCTGGTAGCAGTGGTAACACCGTGGGGCAACCCGTAAACACAAGGCTGTTTATTTCTATTCTCTTATTGGATAATTGTTTGAATATTGCTGTTGCCATTTTCTCTAACAACCAAAAAAAAAAAAAAACGGTTTACCTTACATATAAAGCATTTTGTACTTTTAAAATAACACCTTAGGTTTGTTTTTAGCCATACTTAATGCTCCCACAAGTAGACTTAATTTTATTTTTAAAGTAAATTGAAAAAGTTATCAAGGATTAGAATAGAGTGTTTTAAATAGCCCTTAAAGTTATATTGGTATTTATACACTTTTGTTCAAGTTGATATATAATATTTGCTTAGGTTTACTTAAAATTGTTCTGCTCAACAGATTTTTTGGAGCTTAAATTTAATACTAGGGAAAAACTAGAATTTGGAAGACATAGGTGGGTGTTGGTATAGCTAATCTTTTGGTCCATTATTGAACCCTTGGCAGCCAATAAATATTATTTCATAGAGTCCTGACTTCTCTTGTATGGAATGTGGTCACCTGCATATCATTTATAGTAAATGTACATTCGTCTACTAGATGCCTAGAGCTGTGCATGTGATCCTTTCGTGTGTGTGTGTGTGTGTGTGTGTGTGTGTGTGTGTATACCTGGGAGTCTGAGGCAGGAGAATTGCTTGAACCTGGGAGGTGGAGATTTCAGTGAGCCGAGAATCGCACCACTGCACTCCAGCCTGGTGACAGAGTGAGACTCCGTCTCAAAAAAAATGGTTATGTGTCTGTGACTGTATGTCATTGCATATATAGAGTTGAGATCAGAGCCAGCTTTGCTTGGGAGGATTTTGTGGAAGAAGTGAGTTTTGGGTAGAGTTCCAAAGGGAGGGTAGGTAGCGTACTTTGGCAGAAAGACGTGTACATAAAGCTTCCAAGGCTGGAGTGATTAAGTCATAAGCATTCAAGGGTAAGCATGAACCATTTGAGAACGAACTGTAAATTCGTGGTTGAAAATAGCCAGGCTAGAAGTGAAGGGGAGGCAAGGTTGTGCGTGCCAAGCTGAGAACCGTAGTGGCAGAGTGGCGCGTAGGAGCTTGTCTACTCTGTTCCTGGTAAATTTCACTCTTGGATATCAGCACATCCTGACCATGTTGCCATCTAGTGGAACTGGCTGAATTGCCTGTGGGAGCATCACCACCTTTTCCCAATTCAGGATAAACTCTAGTGTGATATCCTGGCAATAGGGAAACGTACTTCTCTTTTGCCTAGGAATTTTAAATGAACGAGAGAGAGGAGGTGAGTGCTCTCCCCAAATCACATTAATTTAAGGAATTTCTCATAGACAGTGTCTGGAGTCCATGGCATGACTGCTGAGAATGCTGGGTGTAAATGTCCATCAGCTTAAGGTATGGAGCGAGCAGGAAGCAGTGCTTGGGAGGTTCTGCAGTGGAGTGAAAGCATACCGCATCTCGCTCTGGGCCCTTTATGTTTCACCTGGGCTGGCTTGTTTTTGTCATGTGGTTACAGAGTCCATCCCAATGGCAGAGAGAGCCCTCTGACCATAAGCACCACACCCCACAGACCCCAGACCAAAGACATTGTAAAGGTCTGTAATCCTTCTGCCCTCCCTTCCAGCCATCCATGGACATATCTATTCAGCAAATACTTCTTGAATTATGTCCCAGGCACCTTCCAGGTACTAAGGCAGTGAACAAAGCAGATAGAAATCCCTGCTCTTGGAGAGCTGATATTCTAGGTGTGGGCAATAAACATCAACAAAATAAATAAGTAAAATATATAATAAGTGGAGAACCGAGTGCTAAGTAGAAAAAGATATTTTCAAGCTGAAGAGGGAAATAGGGATTGTTGCAGGGGGTGAGGGGGTGGAGGTGGGTAATTGTGGTTGCAATTGTGAGTGAATCCTCACTGAGAATGTGATTGATATTAGACTCACCTGAGAAGTGTGAGGAAGCCAGATGTGGATATCCTGGGGGAAGAACTTTCCAAACAGAGGGCAAGCGGCTGCAAAGGCCCTGAGGTGAGAATGGGCTGATGTGTTCCAGAAACAGTACAGAGGCTTAAGGGAGGGGGAGAGATGAGTCAGAGAGGTGGTGAGGGGCTAGATGGTGGGACCTTGTGGACAGTTATAATGAATTTGACTTGTACTGGGCATGAGATGAGAAGCCATTTGATTTAGTCCAATCTTCTCATTTACAAATGCAACGTAGGCCAAAGAAATCAAGGCAGGTGTCCCTGATCATCCAGCCTCATGGTGTGAGAGCTGGGATGAAAACCTGCCTCCTGCCTCTGGCACTCTTCCGGCCACCCTGCCTGCCCTGGGGGATACATAACCACATGCAGCTGTAGACTTCCAAGTACAGTGGTCTGAGAGGAAGAAAAGTGCTGTGGGCTCCTCCAGCACCTGTGTTTCAACCTGGTTCATCTTAGATATTCCCCTGCTGTGTCTCTGTCTACCTATAGAGGCCTCATAACAAACACAGAAAGCCTTAGACTTCTTATACTTCTTATTTCAGAGAAATACTCTGCTGAATATTGCCTTGCTTTGTTTTGCTATGGAGATAAATCCTTCAGGTTTTCCCAATGGTATTCTGCCCATTAGCTGTGAAGCACAAGAACCTACAGTCTCATAAAGCCTCCCCTATTTCTTATTTGCATTCATTTTTAAGCTATTTGGATATAATAAATATAAAATTTCTACAGTCCTAAGAAGTTTGATCACCCCATTCTCAGTATCACCCCCTCACCCTGAAAGTTGGTAAGACTGAATATTAAATGTTATTTAAAATGAATTTGAAAACAGGATTACTAGTTGAGGAGAGAATGTGAACTCGCCACCAAGTACAGCTTAACATGGACCATTTTGGCCCAATACTCATTGTCTTCTTGTTTTACTTTGAAAAAGCTCAAGCCTTTTTTTCCCCTTCTATCTCCTTTAGATCTTATGACCATTGTCCTCTGGACACAGGCCAAATCCTCTAATATCACTTTATGATGAAAGTCTGGCCAGTGCTAAGTATAGAAGAAAATGACTTTGTGCTGTCATCGGCATTGTCTCCTGTTTAATTGTCTCCTAGCCTGTATCCAGTGGACAAAGTGACATGAAATATTTGCTTGTGGAGAGAACTCATCCTGAATTCTCTTGCCTCATTCTTTCCCTTCCTGTTATAGCAGAGCTCCCATTCTAGACTATATGAGATTTACCTCATCATCATATCTTGCACTTGCATTTGTTTGTATAGCACTATTTCTTTTTTGCCAACCAAGGTGATTTCATGTTTATTTGTATATGTTGTCTATAAATGAGCTTGACATCCCACCAGCTTGAGCCATTAGGGTTAGCATTGATTTGCTTCCTTTGGTATCATTTCTCCTTTCAGTAAAATTGCCTGTCACTAGAACCTGAGGGCATAGACCTCTGTGGTCTTTTGGTTTCTATTTTTAGGAGAGTGGTGCTCCTCAGGGAGCTATCTGAGCTGGATTTGATGAGAAGCTAAGAATGAGTGCTTGCTGGAGGTAATTTCGTTATCAAAACTCAGGGTCATGTGCTTGGAAGTTAGCAGCCAGAAAAAAAAATAAAATAAAAAATGCCAAGGCTAATAGGACAACAAAGTACATGCAGAAATGCAGATATTAATGCGGGGCTGCCGTGAGCAGTAGGCCGTAAGAAAGCTTGACAAGAAGCATTTCTCCAGTTCCTGTTTACCATCTAAACTGGAGCATTACAGCATTTGCTGCATGTGGGAGATGGAGAATGAGAGTGCTCAGTTAAAGTTGCCACCAAAGAAAGCCTCATTAACACCCTAACTGATTTCCCCAGCTTCCAGAAAATCTTTCTGTTGGAATTCAGCATCTCAGCTGTAAGACTGCCAAGTAGAAGTGCAGAAATGCAGTTTGCTGTCTGCGGAGCCGCAGGTGGACTTTGAGCACATTCTAAGACAAAAATCTGGCCAGACCTTAATAGGCCAGGGCTTTCCGCTGATTTGCCCCTCTCCTGCTAACTGCTGAATAATGTTCCTCCCCTTCACCACATGTGCCCCTGAGCTCCTCACCACACCTTCAGCTCCTGGGAGAGATCCCAGGGCAGACCTGACATCCTCATTCCTGGCTCCTTATTCCAGATTGGAATCTGGAACTTTGACACACACACACACACACACACACACACACACACACACACACACACCTTCTCAGCACCTAGTCACACCCTACAAGTCTTGTCCTTTTTGCTCCTGTCAGGCAGGCAGCCACCCCCAGTATGACAAGGATATTCTCACATGGGGATTATCAGGAAGCCCCGTCAGGAAGGGTAGGGCAGCATCAAGCTGTGAGTCGGAGAGGAAGATCAGGGACCCAGGTCCTACCTTACAGACCCCCTACCCCATCTGTGCCTCTGTGGTGTCTTAGCATCCACCCATTTTTCCCCAGCCTTAGGACTCTGCTCTCTGCTATCAGTCACCAGACAGGCCAGACATGGCCCTGCTGGAGAGGAGGCTTTCGGGCTACCCTCTGGCCTTTGTTGGACAGCAGGCTTGAGGAAATGGGCAAAAGCATTGATCAGTTGTGCATCCTTGGGCTCCTTCACTCACTGTCCTTCAGGTGTTGGGAATGTTGTAAAGCCAGCAGCAAGATTAGAAATTTTCATGCACTATTCCTCCTTAGCTGCCCAGGATGTTACATCCGTTGTGGCTTTTACTGTACAAGAAAGAGAAACCCCAAGTTAGACTTGTTCATACAAAAGAGATTTTTTTGTTGGCTCACATAACTGGAACAAAGTTTTGATTTAGCAGTTCAGTGATGTCAAGAACCTATTTTCTAGCTTGGGCAACATCGTGAGACTGAGACTCTATATATACAAAAAGTAAAAAAGAATTAGCCTGGCATGGTGGTGTGTACCTGTAGTCCCAGCTACTCAGGAGGCTTAGGCGGGAGGATGTCTTGAGCCCAGGAATTTGAGGCTGCATTGAGCTATGATTGTGCTACTGCACTTCAGCCTGGAAATAGAGCAAGACTTTGTCTCTTAAAACAAAAAAAAAAGGCCCCATTTTCTGCCTTCTGTGATTGAGCTTCATCCTGAATTGGCGTCTCTGATGTTGATAAAATTCTACAGCAATTCTAGACTTCATATCCACCATACACTGTCCAGAAGGAGAGAGAGAACTGGCTTCTTGTAGTTGTGTCAGAGAAGCAAGTGACTTTTTCCAGAAGCCCCCAACACATTTCTGATGCCTCAGTGACCAGCTTATTGGCTATGGCATCTGCTGTGATGATTGGCTTAGGCTTGGGTTGCCTAAACTCGTCACTCTGTGGCAAGGGGGTATGGGATTTCTGTGATTTATTTAAAATGATCAGGATTGCTACCCAGGGAGAGAGAAATGGACATGCTGTTGGGTCAGCCACGATGTCTACTACACAGGTCTCCTCTTGTGGTGTTTTTTTTTTTTTTTTTTTTTTTAAACTGAGTTTCTCTAATTTGGTGACTGGCTATGGTATGTAGTAAATGGGGCCCTGTATATGGGATTGCCAACCCCTGATGACAAATGTCAGATGCTATCAGGGAGAGCAAGAACACAGATTTTGTGAACCACAGTAGCACTGCAGATCACAAAGGGATTCTCAGAGGTCGATAAAGCATCACCAAGGTACTAGAAGGTTTGGTAAGTTGAACAATGAGAATAAGAAGTAGAGCAAATTAATTATAGACAGCTCTTCAATCTATGGTAATTACATGCTCCGATAAAACACTGAAGTCCAATATAATTTGTATTTAAAAACTGTTTAATAAGGCCATATGTTTCTGCAAAGAATGGCCTTACATTTCATAACTATGACCTTAATCACCATATTTGATTAATTATTTTATCTATTTTAATGGAAATAAATGGGCTGTGGATAATGTAAAGCTTTGGAAGCTGCACACAAATAAATGAAATGGGGCAATCAGTCATAGAGAGTTTCATTTAGTTTTCTCTAGATGAGTGCTCCAGGAGGATGGCTGTCTAGAGCAGGGGAAGGGTCTGGGGCAACATTCAGAAGGCTGGTGAAAATGAAAGTCACAGTGACACAAGAAAACACCATCTTGTGGTAAGTCAGTTGGAGCAGAAGAGGTAGCCATTTATCTTTTAGATGAAATCTGTGGCTGGAGTATCGGATTCCAAACTCCACAGCGTTGTCCCTAGCCAGCCAATCTTCCCCACCACATGAAATGTGTGGAAATATACGCACAGGGGGCCAGCCAGAGCAGAGGAACCCTTTATTACCAGGGGGGCTTTCACCCAGACCCTAACAAGGAACTTGAGTGAGCTAGACTGCCCATGTGGGTCACAGAAATTCGATTCAGGAACATTGGGCTAGGCTGCAGAGGACCACTGTGCCCAAAGGCATGCCCTGCTCCCGGGAGGCTGGTTGCAGAAAGGAGCTCTGAGCTCCTGAGGCCACCATGGAGGTCCTGGAGATTTAATTCTATTAATAGTTCCTCTTAAGATACTCACCATATCAACTTGCTGGGCCTGTTTTCTCATTTGTGAACAAGTTTGAGGAATGGGGAGATTGAATAAGACAACCTCGAAACCTTCCTTTGAGCATTAGCTTTCCGATTCTTGGGTTCTGGGCAGGGTGTGGCAGGAAGTGTCATGGAGAGCTGAGGTGGGGGTAGGGGTGGGGACTTTGGTCCTCCATATCCGGACATATGAACAGACAGGTGATGGCACAGTTTCTGTGGTATGTGCTGCAGATGTCTTAAATAGCCACCAAGTGGCTGGACTGGCTGAGTGGCGGTTTGAATTGCACCAAGTTGAGTATTTTTAGTTGGATACCACAGATAGTGCATTTATGGCCTTAGTTCACCGAATAGAGGGGTCGTTTCCTTTGCCGAACCAGAATTGGATGTTGGCTGCCAGGCTTGTGTTCTGGGACATCCAGATGTCGGGGTATTGTGGGAGCGGTGCACATGAAGGAAGCTCAGTGACTCCTGGCAGGTACTTCTGTTATAAAGCGGTTTCAAAGCCGTAGACACCTTTTATTCAGGGCTGGTAAGCTTCACTGGTGTTTTTGGTCTCCTGCTTTTTTTTTTTTTTTTTTAAATCTGATTACAATGGTGTTGCACACTGTTGTGGTTTATCGTTTTTTAGTGATCCTGTTGCTCAATAACCCTCCAGTGCTCTGCTCTGAAACAGCACCAGAACTCCACCTAAGCGAGAGATTGCTTATTTGTTTTTAATGTTAGTCTATATAAGTCAATGGTCCCAAACTCAAATGTCCACAGGAACCAGGCAAGTAATATGAATGTGTAAATAGTGCTCTATGTGAACAATCTCAAGTCGTGAGACCTGTGGTAAATTTAGAAACAACAGGTCTCATCTAAAGGCATTGAAGTTCAGTTAAAAAACTTAAAACAAACAAAGAAACAAAAAACTACATGAGGTGGGTTCGGTCCCAAGGCTACCAGCTTACGATCCTTGGGCTATAAGCCATCTGACTTCAACTATCACTGCTGTGTTTGCTCAGTCTCAGAGGTACCGTATTTATGGATGTGAGCCTTTTATAGTTTCATTTATATACTTGATTTCAGCTTTTGCCTTAGATGAGAAGACTGGCTAACTCTGGGATAAGAGTGCCACCAAAATTTTCACCCACAGATTGGAAGCACATCAAAAGAAATCATATCTTCACGGAAGTCATTTTTTTTTGGTTCCTGGCCTTTAGGGGCTGAATCTGTTTAGAGAAGTAGAGATGGAAATCTCAATCAAAACAGTTCTGAGTATTTTACATCATTTAAAAAAATTTGCATCACTGAAGAGAAGGAACCCTAATCATTTGAAACTCTCACTTCTGCTTTGCAAGTTGTCTGCTGGCTATATTCAGTCCTCTTTGTCTTCTTGGTCTTAGGCAGGCATGGGGTTAGTGGCCAGGGCAGAACTGGGAATGGGACAAGTTTGTGTTCATTCTTCTCCCTACCCTTGTAACAGCCTTAATTTCTGTATCTCTGTTTCCTATCTGGGGTGCCCTCTAGTCCTCATCTCTGAAGGGAAGGAACAAAGAGATGAGTGAATTCTTTACTCTTAGCTGTTAGTCATCCACCGGCTTTTCCTCCAAGGGATGTTTAGTGTTTTTAAAAGAACCTGATGGTAGAACAGAAAATCAGAGTTTAACCCAAGGTATCACCCTTCTAATGATAGTATTTCCTGTACTGCTAAGAGCATAATCTGGGGCTTGGTAGCCTCTCAGAGATAGCACCTTGTGTTGTCCCCTTTAGGTTAGAGCTGCGGAACCAGCACCAGCCACTGAACATGAAGAAGGTTTTGACTTTATCTTTTTAAATTTGCATTATTCAGACCCATGTCAGAGTCCACGAAAATTCTTGCAAATGTGTTTTTGTAAGAGCTGGGTGTCACCCTGCTTCCCCGTATTTGGTGTTGGCCAATGGGAGAGTTATGGGAATGTCATATTCCTTCCTCAAAGCCACTTAAAGCTGTGCTAAATTTGCAGGGTTTTTTTTTGATAATGCTTTCTCCTCAGGGTACTCTCTCAACTTACTCCCTTCAGGAAAATTTCTTGAATGAATAGTCCACCAGTGCTGTCTCTGCTTTCTCAACACCAGATCATTCTGCAACCTCTTGCAATTTGGCTGCTATCTCTAGTCATGTTACTAAGTTATCTTTCTCAAAGAATCTCCATTGGTCACCCAACCATCATAGCCATTGGTCTTCAGCCTTCACTTCTGACTGGTTATTCTCTACCTGGGGGCATTTTTCTTTCTTTTCTCCCTCTCTTCCTCTTCTTTGGCTGGCGTTACTTTTTTCAGTCTCTGAAGGGAAGCTCACTCCTAGGAGACTTGCTTAATAGAATGTTTATCGCCTGCATGTCTTTAGCAAAGAGGTGTCTGGAATTCCCATCTGGGATTTATTAGTCTAAATATTCAGGTGGTCCAGTGCCGGATGTTAGTTCTTAACTTAAAGGAAACAAAGTTTCCAATCCGAGGATGGTGAGATTGCTGCTGTTCTACAGTGGGCAGCCGCTGCTGGTGTCTTGCTTGCCCTGGAAATGCCATCAACTGAAATGGAATTTTGTTCAATCCATCTTATTAATAGTTCCTAAAGCAATTGTGGTGGGGTTGATAGGTGGCTAGTAAGGTTGCCTCTGTAAAGATAAGCACAATCCATTAATTAAGTCTGGAGTCCACTGGACTTCTACCGGGGATGTTTGCATTTGCTCGGCACTCTGTTTATAAGGATGTCGAAGGAAGTGCGTCCATTCTGTGCATGTTGTAAAACAGAAGGTTTGCAGCTGTCAGATTTATTTTTTTCTTGGCTCCTTTTCTGACAGAACTTTTGTAAACTTGATAGTTTTATAGATTGTCGAAAATTACTAACCTCGGTTCTGCAGATGCCATGCAGATTTTCTTGTCTTGTTTTCTTTCTTTGAAGATAGCAGATATTTATGTACATAGTTTCTTGTAAGGTACTTTTTGGGGAAGAGGAGATTAAGATTATTCTTATATGCTATCATAATTCAGTATTATGAAATTATTAAATGATTATTTTATTAGTTATATAGTGCTTTGAAAGTGTCCAGCATGCATTGTATGCTCTAGAAAGGAGAACAAACAAATGCAAGGTATAATCTTGTGTTTTAAATAGCTTATGGAGCTGCCTCAAAGACAACTAACATCAAGATTATCAACTTTAAGTATAGCACAAGTTCACTGTAGAAGTATAGGTCCACTGTGGGCTTCAGTAGGCTTTTAAGAGGAGTTGGGACCTGAGTATGGCTTTGGGTAGGGTAAAAAGCGGATATAACAGCTGAAAAAATAGACCAGCAGCAGCTGCCCCCGCTGTGTGACCACACAGGGTGTCATGATTCATCATAAGGTTTGTCTCAAGTAATTTCCAGTTAATGAAAACAAGTGTCAAAAATTTCTGAATGATTCCTTTTCAAACCACTCATATCTATGTGTGTGTGGGCGCACATTCATGATTTTGCCTCAAGTAGCATCATTCACACTCACTTGCATTGCCATTGCTTTCTTTGAGAGTGAGAAGTTGGTACTTCAGCTGGTGTATTAGTCTGTTTTGCATTGCCAAAAAGAAGAACCTGAGTAATTTATAAAGAAAAGAGGTTTATTTGGCTCCTGATTCTGCAGGCTATGCAAGCATGGCACCAGCATCTGCTCAGTTTCTGTTGAGGCTTCAGGAAGTTTTTCCTCATGGCAGAGGTGAAGAAGGAGCAGATGTGTCACACAGAGAGGGAGCAAGAGAGAGGGGAGGAGGTACCAGGCTCTTTTAAAGAACCAGCTCTCGCATGAACTCATAGAGCAAGGACTCACTCGTTACCATGGGGAGGGCACCAAGCCATTCATTAAGGATCCACCTCCATGACCCAAACACCTCCTATCAGGCCCCACCTCCATCACATTTCAACATGAGGCTTGGAAGGGACAAACATCCACACTGTAATAGCTGGCATCCTGGGAATGGGGCCTCACCCACAGCCTGTCCTATTGGTGTTGCCTTCATGGGTGCAAGGACTGAGGCAGCCAATTCTTGTGTGGCAGGTATGAATTAACATATTTCTAGCCTCAGTGAGCATTTGAATTTTCAACCCACTGTCTTGTTTAAGGGAAACTAGCTTAAAATCTGTTAGGCAACGCTAACTAGAGATGATGGCTTTACTGACTGCTGCAGGAATGGAGAGAAAAAAAGGCCAATCCAGGAAACATTTTGATGTGAGATTAGAAATAAGGGGAGACAGAGCAGCATAAGTCAAAGATAATTGTAAGGTTTGTAGCCCCCAGTGCCTAAGTGAGAAAAATTTATAAAGAAATATAATATTAAGTACGGTTAATATTAAGGCTCCATCTGTGCCTTCAGGGATACCCCTAGATAGGGCGAGCCTAAGGAACCATTCAAGCAGACAGGTCCTAATGGCAGCTGGAAACATGTAGGCTAGAGCAGAGCCTTCCAAATGTTCTTGGCTCATGCACCCTTAGTGGTCTCAGTAATTTTTTTCATGCCATTTCTAGGACAAAAGAAATACTTAGCAGTTTCATTTGTTAAGTACTTAGTTCCAAACAACTTAGTATTTCTGTATTGATAACTTTGTAGTTGTACAAAATAATACATATATATTGAAATATTTAAAAATAATGTTTTTACGTTACTCTTCATTTCTTAATGGAATGTATGTACCTGTTGGGCATTGCATATATTGGTCAGGGTCTAATGAGAATATAAAGTACACAGTAATTTAAAGGAAAGTTTAAAATAAACAAGTATTAGCTAGGAAAACAATATGACAGTTCCTTTAAAAATGAAAAATAGAATTACCATATGATTTAGCAATTTTACTTCTGGGTATATACTCAAAAGAATTGAAAAGGCATCTCAAAGAGATATTTGTAAACCAAAACCCAAAAGGTGGTAGCAATCCAGGTATCCATCTACAGAAGGATGTATAAACAAAATGTGATATACACATACAATGGAATATCACCCAGCCTTAAAAAGGAAGAAAGGAAGGAAAGTCTGACCTGCTACCATGTGGATGAATCTTGAGGATGTTAAGTGAGATAAGCCATCACAAAAAGACAAATACTCTTTAATTCCACTGAATGTAAGTTACCTGGAGTAGTCAAATTTATAGAGACAAAAAGTAGAATGGTGGTTGCCAGGGGCTGACAGGAGCAGAGAATGGCGAATTAGTCTTCAGTGGGTACAGAGTTTCAGTTTTGCAAGATGAAAAAAGTTCTAGAGATGGATAGTGGTGATGATTGTACAACAATGTGAATGTACTTAATTCTCCTGAACTGTATATTTAAAATTATTAAGATGGTAAATTTTATACTATATGTATTTTGCCACAATTTTTAAAAAATACAAAAGAAAACTGTTAAGAAAAAGAGAAGTAGTTCACTATAATGGGGACTAGCTAACAGGAAGTAAAGAGAACTTTAAATAACAGAGGAATAGCAGATATAAGGAGCAGCCCCTACCCGTGGGCCGTGGGTCTGATAGAGCACCCAAACACATGCTTCTCTCTGCTCCAGACCTTGCTGGAGAGGTCATGGCCTGCTGTGGCTCCTGGGCTGGCAGAGAAGTCACTGGGGTGCTATGCTGGCAGAACTTGCTAGAAATCTACCCTCTAAGATGCTAAGGAAAGCTATTCATGTGGAGGTCTTTCACTGGATGCATTCTGCTGCAAAATCAACCGAGAGGGATGCCAGTGGAAGCTGCTGGAGGCTGGGAGGTGCTGACCATCATGTTCAGCAGGAGCCAGTTGCTGAAGAAGGTGTGGATACTCTAGGAGCCATGCGTGTTTGCAGCAGCCTGCAGAAAGAGTGTACCGGAACCAGGAAGGAAAACTGCTTCTTTCTGTAATGTCTCTACAGTACTCTCCACTGATGAAGCTTAGAATGGTACCAGCTAACAAAAGAAAAAATATGTAAAGGTCCCTTCTGTGTCTTCACATAGTGAGTAATGAAGGGTGAATTTCGAGCTGTGAGGCAGTAAACTTATTGCAGTTCCTCAAACTTAGAAATTGGGTTGAATCCCAATACCCTAATTTCCTGTTCCACATCACATTTCAACTAATACTTGCCTTTTATCACAGCAACCACCAACAACCTAGCTTTGCAAAGAAATGACATCATCAAAAGGAAAATAACACAATATGTTAAACTGTGAATTCGCTTGAAATAGTCATTCATGCAAGCATCTGAGAAATGTTGTGTATTGCTTTGTTTCCCTCAAAGACAAAATATCCTGCACACCTCTGTGAATTTGCTGTAGTGCCCTGAGGTACACTGGCACATAATTTGGGGACCTCAGAACTAAAATCATGTCTTTTTCAGCAACTCTTGACCGCATCACTGTAACATATGAGATTGTAAGATGCCAATTTGGTTAAGACTACGAGTAATGTGTAAAGTGAAAATTGTATGGGGTCAGTATTATTTTAAAAATCCTCTTAGGAAGTTACCAGGTTGGAGGCTGATATACCATCTCCTATTAAGTATAAGACTTACTGCCACTGTTTCCTTAGCATTGAAACAGGTTGCTATTTCTTTAAGACCAGATACTAGAGTTAGCTTGTCTTTGAGGCATTTTGCTAAGAAACAATACCTTGCCTTAAACACAACATTCATTATCAGTGTGTGAGATGCTCACAGTGTAAAAGTCCATGCAGAGACTAGAGGGAGAAGAGGGAACAGCAAATTCCCAGCTCCTTCTCATGCTTACTCTGCAGCATAAAATCATTAGGGGGAATGGTAGCCAATGTACCCATTTAGATCATTTCTTTCTATCTGATATGGGCTGATTATATATCACTGAAATTGAGAAAATTAAATGGCATATGATGGGGCTTTGCTAAGTTCAGTAGTAAAATGTCTGTTGAAACAGACTTCAGATTGAAAAGGTTGGTGAATTTTAGATCTCCTGTTTGTACTAGGAAATTTATGGACTTAATATCATCTTTTTTAGGTAGGCTAGCACATTGTTCAGGTGAGCAGTTTCTCAGAAAATGCATTCATTTTCATGATGCCTACAACTTTGTGAATCATAACTAGTATATATTTCTGCAGCTCTTCTTTAAGGAGAGGCTGAGTAACTTAAATTTTGTAACCTGACCTATTCAAGAGGAAAAACTTCTGATGCATGCCTTTCACTGCTACCTGCAAAAATAACCTCCCATTTTTCCTGAAGCCCTGTTTGGGTAAGTTCTGCTTCAGTTCACATTTTCACCACCTGCTGAGTTTTTCTGTTGAGTGTCAGCCTTGGCTACTCGCAACTGCAAGCCTATGTCAGCCTTTTCTGTCTCCTAAGCAGTCATCAGTTGGCACAATTGTTAATAGATTCTACCCATGTCAGAAACTCAATGCCAAAATCAAATTATGGCAACTAGAAGTGGGTTAGACTTTCAAATAGATCTCAGACCAGGAGTCTGTGGTCCAGATTCCACAAATGGAGTACTACATTTGTCTTCTTTGTGCATTTCACATTTCAAATTTTGTTCAGAAACTTGAATAAAGCTCTTAACTGCTCAAATACAGTCAAGTAGGGCCCCTTACTCAACCTGTCTTGGCATTGTTTTCTGCCCCCTTGGAGTGAGCACACTGAGGAGAAAGATTATCACTGGGTGTCTTGAGCAGAGCTGCTTGCTTCTGAATGCTCACGATAATCAATAGCAGATGTGTGGTAAGCACTGGAAAGTTGCATAACTGTCTCACACTGAATTCAGCTACATCAGCCAGGCAATGTGAGGGGTCTCCACTAGGTTGTTGAAAATAAAATTTAGTTTAAAACCTATGTTTATCTCATCACAAAATTATTTCCTTGCCATAAGGAGTAAAGGCAGTGGTTAGAGTGGAAATAATTTGACAATTACTGCCCTTAGACTTGAATTTTAGTTTAGTATACACAGGAACTTTCTAACGGTTAGGATGGAAATGGAGTTGTTTTTTCAAGGAGGCTGTCTCTGGTAATAAAGTTTGTCAAGGCAATTCTGGATGAATGTCTGTTGCCGGTGATGTGATAGGAGATTGCTTCACCAGCCAGGTAGAGGATTAAACAATCTCTGGCTGGGCACGGAGTCTCACGCTTGTAATCCCAGCACTTTGGGAGGCTGAGGTGGGTGGATCACCTGAGGTCAGGAGTTCAAGACCAGCCTGGCCAACATGGTGAAACCTTGTCTCTACTAAAAATACAAAATTAGCCAGGCAGGGTGGCACATGCCTGTAATCTCAGCTACTCGGGAGATTGAGGCAGGAGAATTGCTTGAACCTGGGAGGCAGACGTTGCAGTGAGCTGAGATTGCACCACTGCACTCTAGACTAGGCAACCAAAGCAAAACTCCATCTCAAAAAAAAAAAAAAAAAAAAAAAAAAAGAATAGACAACATCTAAGGTTTCTTTCAAGCCTGAGTTCCACACTGTGATTTTTGATACCTTTTTCCTTCTGCTGCTTTTCTGAAGGAAGGCTGAGGATGCCTTGGTCAGATGTGATGTCGTGCTGTCCTGGCCACCTCAGCCCCACCTTTCCTCTTCTTCCTGGTGAATCCCTTCTGTGGCCCCTCTCATGCTGTTTCCATTTTGACCCCATTCACCTGAGCACAGGAAAGAAATTCAGCCCTTTTGTTTTCCTTTTCCATTGCTAGACCACACACATTAAATTGCCACACCTATCTGGAATATTTACAGAGCCAGCATTTAGGGCCTCCATATAGACACTCTTAAACAATCTGGGACAATCTGGCCTTAATCATGATTATATTTGGAAAAGTGAAGAGGGGAACCTCATGATTTTCAGTGTTCCATCATGTTCTTTACTCATTTCATCATTATAACAACCCTGTTAAATAAGTGACTTCATTCTTATTGTACAGATGTGCAAACAAAAGCACAGAGAGGTTAAATGACTTTGCCTATTTTTAGAGGAAAAATGAAGAAATAATGAATAGGAAGAAAACCCATCTTAATGCAAATGAGGCACAGCCAGTGCTTGCTCCGCTGATGCGGGTGTCAGTAATCAGGGCCAGGTCTCCCAAATTGAGTCTGGTGTTCTTTTCCTTGCTCCTGGCAGCCCATATCCGATGAGGCTTACTGAACTTTTAATTAAGGTCCTTACTGAACTTTTGATTTAAAAAAAAGATTCATAGTTTCAGGCAGCTGAATAAATAGAAGCTATTGAATTTATAGCATATTTAAAGCATTGAATATCAGGAATTGAATGGCTTCAGTTTAAAGCTGTGATCAAGTCATTTGAACAGAGAGATTTGACGATGGTTCAATGCTAGAACCATGGCCAGCCATAAACTCTATGGGGACCTCCCAATATTAGCAATCTTTGAGTTACTCCTCTGCAAAATAAGGGACTTGGATTTTATAGGAACAGTTTAATACAGTGAGAAAGTCTGGATATAGGAGACAGGAGGCTTAGATTGCATTCATTGTGGTCTAAAGAACATTATTACTTAGTTTTGTGACCTTGAGCAAATCATGTAACCTCCATTTCTTTAATTACATATCTGTAAAATGAGTATGATGACCCAAGGGGGCTAATTTGGGAGTCTAAATAAAACCTAATACAAGACATTACTGCTAAGTACATCCAGCCCTCCATATCTGTGCGTTCCATATTCATGGATTTGGCATCTGTGGATTCAATCAACAGCAGATCAATAATATTCTGAGGGAAAAAAAATTCCACTAAGTTCCAAAAAGCCAAACTTGAATGTGCCGCTACTATGTTGAATTTACGTGAATGAAGTGCTATGTAGCCATTGTATTAGGAATTATAAGCAATCTAGAGATAATTTAAAGCATATGGGATGATATATGTAAGTTATATGCAAATACTTCACCATTTTATATGAGACTTGAGCATCTTCGGATTTTGGTATCCTCAAGGGTCTTGGAACCAATCTCCCACAGATGCTGAGAAATGACTGTGTTATAAAAGAAGGACCGTGGGTCATAAATTGTTCAGATAATATTTTCTGACCTGATTTGGAGAGTATGCTTGTGTTTTATCATCTGCTAAAAGCTTTTTAACAAGGAAGATTTCTTAGAAGAGAAATACACCTAGAAAGCCTAGGAAACAAGCACATCCCAGATGTATTATTGTCTCTCTGTGTGTGCTCATCTCCGATGTCAGCAATTCTTCCCATTCTCTCAGAATTAGGCACTCACATCCAGAGCATTAGTGAATGTGTAGAATTTATGGGAGAAGTCACTGGGCAGACTGAGGAGAGGGATTACCCATAACTTCAAACTCCCAGGACTGGCCACCAGTGGCTTTCTCCTTCCCTCATCTCCACACTCATCCTCAGCATCTTCCTCTCACATGGTTCTGCCCCAGCCCACATCAGCCTCCCCAGTCTTATCCCAGTGCAGATGGTCCCTGACTTACAATTTTTTAACTCTATGTGTATTTGTGTGTGTGTGTGTGTGTGTGTGTGTAGAGAGAGGGGTCTCACTCTGTGTGTGTGTGTGTGTGTGTGTGTGTGTGTGTGTGTAGAGAGAGAGAGGGGTCTCACTCTGTTGCCCAGGCTGGAATTCAGTGTATGATCATAGCTCACTGTAGCCTTGAACTCCTGGGCAAGAGTGATCCTCCTGCCTCAGTCTCCCAAGTGGCTAGGACTACAGGCATGCACCACCATACTCGGTTAACCTTTTAAAAATTTTTTTGTAGAGTTAGGGTCTCTCTATGTTGTCCAAGCTGGTCTCAAACTTCTGGCCACAAACAATCCTTGCACCTCAGCCTCCCAAAGTGCTGGGATTAAATTCATGAGCCAGTGTGCCCAGCCTTACTCTATTTGTATTGTACTAAAAGTGATACACATTCAGTAGAAACTATACTTTGAACACCCATACAACCATTCTGCTTTTTTTGCTTTCAGTGCAGTGTTAAAAAGTTACCTGAGATAGTCAACATTTTATTATAAAATAGGCTTTGTACTAGATAATTTAGCCTAACTGTAGGCTAATGTAAGTGTTCCGAACACATTTTAGGTGGGCTAGGCTAAGCTATGGTGTTGAGTATGTTAGGTGTATTAAATATATTTTCAGCTTATGATGGTTTTATCCTGATGTAGCCCCATCGCTAAGTTGAGGAGCATCTGTACTCAGCACTTAAGGCTACTTGAGGCACAGAGCTTGATCTTCTGCAAAAGTGTATAAATGACTCCACTGTCATTTTAGCATTCCCTTTTTCAATTCTAGTATATACAATTTTCTTTTTTCTTTTTCTTTTCTTTCTTTTCTTTTTCTTTTTTTCTTTTTTTTTTTGAGATGGTGTCTCACTCTGTTGCCCAGGCTAGAGTGCAGTGGCACGATCTCAGCTTGCTGCAACCTCCACCTCCTGGGTTCAAGCGATTCTTCTGCCTCAGCCTCACAAGTAGCTGGGATTACAGGAGCCTGCCACTGTGCTCAGTTAATTTTTGTATTTTTAGTAGAGATGAGATTTCACTGTCTTGGCCAGGCTGGTCTCGAACTCCTGACCTTGTGATCCACCTGCCTCGGCCTCCCAAAGTGCTGGGATTACAGGGGTGAGCCACTGTGCCCGGCCATAAATACCATTTTCTTAAGGCTAAGAGAGCCAAATAACCTGGGCCAGGGAGAGGCCATGGAGAGATACCCACTTAGGCTTACTTGTGTTATGGAAGGGTAAATGTAAATGTGTCTGAGGATAATAGGAAGAACTCAAAGCCTACAGGCCTAACCAGGTGAGACCAAGACACAGATCTCTCCCGCATATGGGGAAACAGGAGTGACAGCCAACTTTTTATATAGATCACGGAAGCCTTCGAAGGCTTTCAAGGGTGTAGACAAAAATGATACAAGAGAAGTTGAAGAAGGTCTCAAAGTGAAATTGAAGGAAGCAGATTCAGCCTCAGCAGGTTAGAAAAAAAAATGACCATTTTTGGTGACCTGAAGTTTTTGCGAACTAGAGGCTATAGGTCCATAACTAGTTTACAGAGGTGCTTCATATTTTTCACTGCAGAGAACATATAACATTCTTGAATGTGAGTGGAATATTTGATACCTCCTAATTAAAAGGTACCTTGTCTTCCCAGTTCTGCCGGCTGGCCTTCTAATTTGTGTGAGTCTGAAAACTCACTGATCTCCCCTTTTCTTAACAGACATCTGGGGAGCTGTGAGCAAAAGGCCTAAAAGTCAGGCCTTTAAAAAAAACTCTTTGAACAGCTTTATTTAAGGCATAATTTGGAAAGAGATTTTTCTGCTGCCCTGTGATAAAGTTCAGTCGAGAGTTGGTGTTAATAAACCTTCCTTAGAACCAAGGTGACTTGGAAAGTTGAGTTCTTTAGGTCTGTGGTCAAATTAACAAAATTATGTCAATAAGCCCCAGGTGAGTAGGGTCAATTTACATATGACACACACAAATATTTGATTATACCTCAATGAATGAATAAACCTTCAGAATCTTAGCTACCATTTTCATTCTTCCATCTTGACACAAAAGGTGGGAGTTCCATTATTAGACACTTGCAGGAGTTCAACATAGTATTTAAATTTAAGTACAGTTTGTTATTAAATGAGAAGTGTTGCTAACTTAGTTGCAATTTTGTATCAGGCGGGCGGTAATAGTTTGTTGGTATGACTTCCATACATGTTGCCATGTGAAGGATGTTTGGGGTGTTTCTTAAACATACAAGAATCAACAAGTCCCACCTACAGGAGATAACAAATCATTATGATGTACTGGACCATTATTCACTGGGGCTAAGAAGTAAATTATCCCCTTTTGAATAAAAGCACAGCAAAATCAAAATGACCTAGTACATATCTGAGAGCAGCAGAAGGCCAAGGGGAGCCCTAGAGAATCAGCTGCCCTTTGTCACCATGTTGCAGGGTAGGGGTATGGGGCAATGCAGCCTGCCCAGAGCAGATGGCTTTGAGGTTATACGGGAGACTGAGGAATGTACTTATTCACATAAAGCCTTTTAAAATAAGCTGAGCATTCATTGCTCTTGAGCTAAAACAGAGCATTCTTCCCCAAGGTGACTGCTTGCTTGCATTTAAATACAAAAGAAGTTTCTCTCCAGGCTTCCTGAGGCCGATGGTGAATGTTCAAAGATCAACGAAGCTAACATGAATCTAAAATGAATTATAAGGCTGACGGAGCGCTTGAACTATTCATTCAGCAGTTGTAAAACAAGTAGCACATTAAAGGACATGTATTTTAACATATCTTATGTGGTTTGTCCCCAGTTGGACTTGCAAAATGACATTTAATAAATATTTCTTGTAAGGGTACTTTCTAAAAGAAGAGAGTGAAAGTAATTCTGCTGTAGGCAGATTGGGCCTGAAATTTGGGTTGTCTGGATTTGCATAATCATCACCTTGAAAAGGTGTTGCTTTACCCCAATTATAGATCAGTGGAAGCTCTCTTGTGTAGCACACGGCCCTGGTGAGATCCCTTAAGATCTCTTGTGGACTATCTGTGGACATCTGGGTTGCAGTGAGGAAGGGCAAGGATAGATGGTATAGGGAGAGAGGGGCAGAATGTTGACTTGGGCAGGACAGGAAAAGCCACTTGTGACTGGTGAGGGAGCATTTCTTTGGGTTCAGAATCATCCTCATCTCAGTGTATCTCCCCATAAGTCTGAGATTACTGAGTGCAAGGTATACATATCAGCAGCTCCTGACTCAGGATGTGTGGCAGAGGGGACCATGAAGTTAACTGTGACTTTCGGAAGGGTGCAGTCTGTTACCCTTTCGGTGGCGAGGTCAGTTTCCGGGAGGCTCTGCAACACTGATATTTTCCAGATGTTTCTCCTCTTCTCCCTTCTCTGGCTGGCTATATCTTCCTCCCTTCATCCTGCTCTTTCAGTGAAATTGAGATAACATGTTAGAATCTTAGGCAGGTTAGAATCTCTCAGCAGTAGGATGTGATTTAATATCTAGACCTCTTACATTAATATTTATAATAGCCTTCACTGCTTGTGAATAGCATAAGCACTCTTTTCTGTTCAAAGTCAATACTGAAATAAAACCCAAGAGTATGTTTTATAAAAATTTACTTTTAATGGTGCAATGGTAATAATCTATGTAGTCCTTATGGTTTTCAAATCCCTTTGTGCTTATATTACCTTATTTAATACAGACATAAATCTGTGAAGTAAATAATACTATTTTTATCTTCATTTTACAAATGAGGAACTGGAGGCTCAGAGAGGTTAATTTGCATAAGGTCATACAAATGATAGATGGCAGAACTGGATTTAAGTTCAGACTCCTTAAATCCATGTCTTTTGTACGTTCTTTTCACTAAATTTGCCATAGTGTTTCTATTGGTTTTTGCCTATATAAAATCGGAAACGAAGAAAAAGAAACGAACTGGAAAATAAATTTGTCAAAAGAGTATATTTTTTTCTCATAATTTCCAAGCGGATCTTTCAGATATGTTATTTGAGGACTTTTTGCCTCAGACTGGCGATAAAACAAGTGTTCTACAAAATACCTCCGTAAGACAGGCCTATCAGTGGCAGCTCTTGTCCCCGCTTTGCAGAAGGGAAAACCAAGGCTCCACAGAGCTAAGGGGACTTCCTCTCAGCCAATTTGTAGGGGCCTGTGGGCCAGACCCGGGGGCAGAATTGAGATCTGTTGTGAAGGCTGTCCGGCTTCTTTATTCTATCAGCATTTCAAATCCTGAAAACCTCCCCTTTGGCATTTTGAAGGAATTCATCCCCAGTTTTTGCTGGTAGCCGGGAGGGAACCGTGCTCTCCCCCTGAGGAAGGCCCTTTGGAGTAACTGCAGCAATGAGTGCCCGGGCTGTGCTTGGAGTACCAGTGCTCGCCCGGGGCTATACTGAATGAGTAAGCAGCCCCGTCTGCTTTTGCTGTGCAAAGGTAAGGGTGGAGGCCGCTCCACTTTCTTCAAAAGGCCCCGCTCTGGGACTTGTGAAATTGTGCTCTCTTAAGCTGGTCCTTGCAACCCCATGGACGATATCCATGCGACTTTCCTACAAAAATAACATACCAAAGCCGCTTTAAAATCCGTAATTTTTGGGTTGCAAGACTCCAAGACAAAGTCAAATGGGCATCAAAAAATGTAATCCAAAAATACAGAGGCATTGGTTCTACCCTATATGCATTTGCTATTTATGTAAAACTACAGTGTGCTCTGAGATGAGACTTTTTTTTTCTTTTTATACCTTTTTTTCCGCCCGTCTGGTGCGTTTGCCGACGGTTCTTCTCGGCCCTGTGTCTCGGGAGAGTCGGCTGCCGTCTGGGCCTGTGCCCCACCTGCGTGCGCCCGGGCCGAGCCAGCCCCGCCAGGTCGCCTCCGCCCGGCTGCCGGCCCGAGCGCGCGGCTCCGGGGGCGGACTCCCGCCGCCCAGCTGACACGCGATTCGTCACTCTTGCAGAACTTTCCCCCTGAAAATCCCTGCACCAGAACCCGCTCTCCCGCCCCGGGGAGGTTTTGATTTTAGTGGCTTTCTTCCTTTTATTTTCCGTCGTGTGCGGATTTCGCTGCAGAGCGAACTTGCGGCTCGTCCGAGTACATGTGAGCGGTAATCGCCCCTGCAGCTGGTTATCCTGACATTATGCACTCCGAAGCAGAAGAATCCAAGGAAGGTAGGATTCTGGTTTCTCCTGGGGGCCGGCCAAGTTCTGCGGAGGAATTTGGAGGAAGGCAGTGGTAGAAGAGGATGGGAGTTTTAAAGTGAGCGGTGGGCACTTTGTCCGCTTGCCCTGCGCCTTCGAAGCCAAGTCGGAGCTGGATAAGCGGAGCCCGGGTCTCATCTTGGGCTCCCTTCTCCCCCCGCAGCCGTTCAGAGGGGAGGGGAGGAAAAGTCGGACCTAGTTCAGCCAGCCCACTAAGTCTGCTTTTTAGCTTTCTCTGGAAACGAAAGAGCCCCACTTGGACTCCAAGAATGCAAAATGTGCTTGGAAAAGGGCTGCCTGCCTGCATCAGAAAGACTGAAAGCGGGATCCCTGGAAGAGCCCTGAGTGGAGGGTCCCTTGAAAAGGGGTTTGAGAAATTAGAAACGCTATATGTTTCCGGCTAAAAGGGGAAGCTGAGTGAGGGGAAGCGAAAATCTGTATTTGAGAAATAGATTAATTTTTTTTCATTGCTGGGTTTTCAGCAGTGAGTTCATTTCGTTGGGGGTTTGAGGGGGCTGAAAGATATGAGGGGGTCCTTGTGCAGCTTGAAACTGAGAAGAGTTTGTCTGTTTCTAACTTCGCAAAAGCAAAGGGTTTCATTTACTCCTAACAGAGAACAGGTGACAGGGCTGGAAAAGCTCCAACCAAAACACAATTATACGCTGGTGTTAGTTTGGGGAGTTTATTTGTGTGTGAGTGTTTGTATGCTTTGTTCCTTGAAACTTTATGTATACAAAAGTTCTCTTGTAAGTGGGGGGTGGGAGTAAGGGTGGTTGGGGAAAATTAGAGAGTAAGAGAGGAGACTATTCAAGATTGTGAAATACTCTTTCTTTTCATGTAGTCTCTTGGAAAGCTGGTTAATTTCAAGTCAATCACAGCAGTTCTGGCAGAGGAGCAGCCCCATCATTTCTCCATTTGGTAGACACCAGTTAGGAAGAGCCCTTGAAACTTGTCCTCTTCTGCCTTTTACTGATTCCCCTCCCAGAGGAAAGCTTTGTGTTTCACCATGTAGTCTTTGTGGGCTCACGTTTACCTTATTATGCTGTGTGAGGGAAATAGTCAATAAAAAGGAGGTTTGTTTAATAGAAATACGGGGCTGGCATGAATGAAAAATGACAGCCAGGAGCATTGTTTTTGAGTTTGATGTGGAGTATGGGGGGAGTAATGCTTTCTTGCCGTGTCCTGTGTTCTGATGGAGCTGTGTGCTGATAGATGCTTTTCTTTTCTATGTCTTTATACCAGCAGTTTATTCAAAGTCAAAGGTAGTTGAAGGCAAATAGGAACCAGGCTGAGAGAACTCAAGGGTGAACTTCTGTGTGAATTACAAGTAGCACTTAAGCTGGCGTTTTCTCTCAGGTGTGTTTTCCCTGTCTTTTGAGAAAGAGAGAGTGGGAGAGAAAGTGGAAAAACAGTATCCCAAAGTGTGTATTATACATTCCCATAGCAACATCCACAGTCTTCCCTCCTCGAGGGCCCAGCTCTCTGGTTTTAAGTTTGGAAGCAGCCTGCAAACTGGCCTATGAAGAGGTTAATGGGGCCCCTTCTGCTTGTTCCTCACCTTCCCTCCACTTGTCATCATTTACATTCTGCAGATCGGCCACAAATGATATGGCGCTCTGCTTTTTAAAGAAAGCCCAGAATGTTTCTTTTAAAATAATCTGAGGTAGTAGAATTTTAAATTGATAGCAATTAGGGTGGGATACTGAATAACTCTTGAGGGAGATTGAACACTTTATTAATCAGATAGAATCATATAGCTTCTGCCAGGAAATGAAGGATAGGTGTCTGTGTGTTTTGGGTGTGTTTTCTCCAAGGCTGGTTCATTGGCTGTAATCTAGAACCTTCTGGTTAGCTACCACCACTCAGATGTCGATGAAGCGAGCTATGTTGTGTAAATAACTCAGTTATCTTCTCTATCGTTACTAGTCCTTTTCCTCTTATACGTAGCTTTTTTTTTTTTTTTCATCCTGGTGAACTTATGTATCCCATTTAGTGTGAGATCACCATGAGTTCTTAAGAATGTCTGTATTGCAAGAAAACTGCCTTTGGATGCTTCATGCCTGATACGCTGTAAGAGGAGATACTTTTAAGTCATTTTTCTCAACTGTAGTGAGAGACTAGTATACTTTGGGGTTGAATCTAAGTCCTTGGAGGCCAGCATATTTTTGCATATGCGTGAATGTAGAAGCAAATGACTGGGGATATTGTTAAGCCATCAGAGCTTAAAACATACTTGACTCTGTGCCAGGGGTGCTGGATATTTGTCCCCAGCCTATAGCCATCTCCTAAATAATTGATTTAATTTTTCCTGCTTAACAATGAATAAGTGATTGTGCTTGGGTATTAAACAGAGAAAAATAATCCAGGCCTTGCTTTATTAAAAACTGAATGAGTTTAAATTATTCAGACATAGAATAAATAGGAAAGAAGGGGAAATGAAAGAAGAAACTCACTTTTTTAAAAAGGTGACTACCATTAAAAAGAGGATATCAACAGTTTCCAGTGGATGGGGCTTCCTGAGGAGATAGGCTGATAGCCGTGTATTTGGCATTTAGTTGTTTCCTGAGTAAATTGCTTAATTATGAAGTAGTTAAAGTGAGTGGCAGTTGAGATCTCTGAGAATCTTTCTAGTGCTAAGCATCAAGGCATCCAGGGCTCCTTTGCTCTGGATGTTGAAGCATTGATACCAGAAATTGAGAAAGCCATTGTTAAGGGGTGGGCGAGGTGTCACTTTGTGGGGACTTGGAAAAGAGTGAGGATTGAGTGGTGAGTGAGTCTGGCTCGCTCCTCCATTGCCCATAGTAGCCATTTCCCACCACCACCTCACCCAGTTCTTACTCTCATGCCTCACCAGGCCTGCTATTTCACAAAGAAAACAGTAGCCATTAGATAACTCCCTCAACGTCCTGTTCCCAGACTGACAGACTCATCTCCGTCCACATCTATCCTCCCTGTGTCTGTGGAACAGGTGTCATTCCTACTGCAGAATGCCCCGCCTTCCACCTTGGGCTCCTCCTACACCAGTCAGCCCATATCCTTCCTGGCTCCTTCTTTTCTGCATATAGAAGAACTCAAGCTCCCCATTCTAGGACATTGGCACTTGCTGGTCTTCCTGCCCAAAATATCCTTCTCTCCACCTGACCTCCTTTTCTTGGTCAGCTCTTTAAAGAGGCTTTTTCTGAACCTAAACTCAGATCCCCTGTCGCCCTCTCTCAGAGCACCTGTTCCTTTCCTTGCTGGCTCTCCCCACACTGCTTAACATCTCTTCTAGACCACAAGCTCTGCAGGGAAAAACAATGTCTGTTTTATTCCCCGCTGTATGTCTAGGACCTACAGAGTAAAAGGTGCTCATTAAATGTTGTAGATTGAGTGAATGGTCTCCATTCTTTAAAGTTAATCCTTGGCAAAAAAAAAAAAGTTTAGTTGTTCCGTAGTGGTGATTAATATCCTCTTCTGTAATAAGAATCCCAATGATATTTTATAAGCTACCACACTGTGTAGTACTCTGTTTTAACCTCACATGGTGTGGCAGCTTATATAATATCATTCATCACTAAGGACTATTTTGTAAGTTTTCTCCCCTATTCCTGCCCTTCCCCAGCCTTTGCTTTGCAGAGGGAATGAAGAGAAAAGGAGGTTAAAGCAGTGGTTCAGCTCTGATGAAACCAAGGGGTATAGCTGACCTTGATGTCATACATAATGTAAAAGGTACAGCATATGCTCTTAAACACCGGACTTTGACGTGCTTATCTGTTTCCTTTTATGTAGTCATTAGGCTTGGAGTGTTGTGTGCTGACAAGGACTAAAAGTGGAAAATCCATTTAGAGATCTATCATACTCTCTCCTCTACAGTGGACATCACTTGATAACTTGGCATTGCCAGACACCTCCAGCTCTGTAAACTTAAATGCATTTGGAGCTTTTTTCCCCTCACTTCTGAAATTTTTATCATATTGAATATGCATCCTACCTTTCTTGCCCCCACCTTACGCCATTGAACAGTCAGGATTATATGGATGATTAAATTTCCTGCTCCTGACTGTTGGTGATCCAGGAAGTAGCCAAAAAGTGGGTGGGTGAAAGAGAATGCAGTAGAGCCAGAAAAACTCAGGACCCAGCGATTGCATTTCAGAACACTGCAGAATTGCTGGATTTACCTATAAATCATTTATTTGTCAGCATTTCTGTCTTTATGCTAGCAACTTGTAAGTCAGTGAGATTAGTGTGGTTATAGACCTGTCTTCATTTAGAGAAGATTGTTCTTTAAAACATAGTGTAAGCTGAATTAAAACAAAACCAAATGATATGTATATCTTTAATGTTTAAGGAAGGTCTGTAGTAAGAAGTCTTCTGTAATTTAAAGTGCCCTTCTCCCACCAAATACACATAGAATCACCATGATTTAGAGCTAAAAGCGACTTTGCCAATCCTTCTTTCTGACCTCTTCATTTTAGAGGTGAGGCACTGAGGCCCAGCAAGGTGATTGCCAAGCCCTTTCTATCCTCTTTAATACATGTTCTGCAAGCAAGGATTTTTGCAAACACAGGTTTTAGCATCCTGGGTATTTGTATGCACTCTCCTTGAAGTAGGACAGACCTAGTCTGTTTGTATAGTTGTCATTCACTACCTCTTGGGGGGATTTATAAAACGCAGATGAATGTTTAAACAAATGAAGATTTCCTGTTTCACCTTCTACGTGTAACTCAAGAGAATAAAACATGAGACATTGTGAAATAAAATTTAGCTCTGCAAGTAGATCCTATTAGATCCCGGATTTTGAAAGTTGTAGACCAAGTGAGAGGCAGGTAAACAGTGAGCTCACTTGTTTTCATTCCTTTGAGAATATCATTCAGGAAAAATTAGCTATTGAGGGTGTTGGTTGGGTACAGACACTCTTCCTTGGGGAGAAGGTATGTATGTGTGTGGGTGGGAAGGGAGTCAGCATTCTGACACAGAATGTGCTATTGCAAAAGCAGACATCCCACAGCCTCTCTTTCTCTGGAGCACATTGCAGCAGGCCCGGTGCACTCTGGGAGTCAGGACACCTTTCTCAGGAAGCATTTGCGGGGCTGCAGCGCACTGCCCCCCCAGCCGCTGACCAAGATATCTGAAAGAGCAATTGCTTAAATTTTATTCTAAAAGTTTATAAGCCTTGAAGAAGAGGTACAGGGATGTAGTATGTCCTGAGTGACTAACTGCTGAGTTGGGAATAAATTGCCTAAGGGAGTGCTGCCCTGGGAATCTGTAAGATTGAGTAAAGCCTGTTAGTTAAGCTGGTATTTATATGGTTTTGAAGATGGGGGAGGGGAGGAGTTGTGTTTATGTGGACTTAATGATAATACATTCTCCAGCTTTGTAGTGAATAATAGTTAATTTTATAAGTAACTAGGAACAGAGTTTCTTCTAAGAAGGTGATGAAGCAAAGAGACTATAAGCAGAATTCCCTACGTGGCTCTGATAGCTTTAGGTGCCTGAAGCCTCCAGACCACATTTGTTGAAGTCAGGGTTGACTGTCAAGAAGTGAATAAGCAGCTCATGAATTTTCCTTCCAGTTTGACCTGCCATTTATGCTTGGTGCCAGCTCACCTGGCTTCAATATGTGTTTTCATGTGGCCTACGCAGCCAGGCTGAGAAGCTGGGGACCAGGGGTGTCCCCAGAGGCACAGGCTGTTCTGCCTGTCATGGACTGTCCAGTAGACTCCTGCTTCCAGGGTGCAGCCCCTCTCCCTTGCCTGCTGCTGCCTTCTTTGAGCCTCAGATACTCCTAACAACAAATGTTAACTGAGATAGCACCTCCTCTGCAGGGCCTGGAGAAGCAAAAATGTGTGTGTAGATAACCCCATCTTCAGAGAGTTTTTGGTTCAGGGCATCACACACAGCACATGTGCATCCATAGTACAAAAATACATGATGGAGAGGGATGAGTACAGCTCAGAGGATCAGACAGTGGACCCTATGAAAGTCTAGAAGAGGGGGTATTCACCAAAAGTCATGATGGACAGAAGTGACTTCAAAGAGGGGTAACTTGTATTCCAGCTAGTTCCTTTAAGCAAATGGAGAAGAGAAAAAGAAAGAGTGAGTGACAGGGAACCTACTTATGCTGTGTGCTGGGATCAGGAAGAATGTCTACAGAAGTGTGGAGAGCAGTGATCATGGTGGGCATTCGTGGTGATGTTGTAGTGGTACATGGGGCCAGTCTAGAAGCTGGACTTTCCCAGGGGGACATTGTATGTAGGTAACAGAGATAAGACCCTGTGAGTCAGGAGACTGATCCTACTCATGACTTTGTTCCTGGTTGTCTGTGCAACCTTCAATAGCTACTTAATCTTTCTGAAGTTCAGTTTCCCCATTGGAAAAATTAAGGCTAGGCACAATGGCTCACACCTGTAATTACAGCACTTTGAGAGGTTGAAGGAGGTGGGTCAGTTGACCCCAGGAGTTCAAGACCGGCCTGGGCAACAAAGTGAGACCCCCCATCTCTACAAAAAAAATTTAAAAATTAGGCACAGTGGAATGCACCTGTAGTCCCAGCTACTTGGGAAAATCAGGAAGATCATTCGAGCCCAGGAGTTCAAGGCTGCAGTGAGCTATGGTCGTGCCATTGCATTCCAGCCTGGGTGTCAGAGCAAGATTCTGTCTCAAAAAAAAAAAAAGAAAAAAGAAATAGGATGGTTTTCAGCTGGATGGAGGAGGGCAGATGCAAAGTAGTGTTTTAGTAATGCCAAGCTGGCAAGAACCATGAGTTGGTCTGGAGGGCAAGATTGAACCTGAGTATAAGGAGCCTCGCCAAGAAAGTGTGAGAGTAGCCAGTCACAAAGGGAGAGTTGATTCCCCATATGTAGTCTCTGAGAGCAAGACTGTAGGGAAAGGAGGGGACTGGGCCATGGATTTAGCTTCTGAGAATATCCACTTTTACAAAGGAGAGAGGTAGATGGAACCAATAAAGGAAATAGAAATGGAGTAGCTCAAGAGGTAGGAAGAAACAAGGAGAGCATGGGGCCTTGGAAGCCAGAAAGGCGAGAGCCCCGTGGAGGCTGTGGTCAGCCTGTCTGTAGAGAAGAGCTGCTGAAGATTGCTTCGTCTTCCTTTTGGGCCTCAGCTAAAACCAGGAGCCTGGGTTTGAGGAGCTCATCTTCTAAGGGATGGGAATATATCATCAGTATTCAGTTAGTATTTAGCAGGTGATCAAGGGCATGAAAGAAGGCATGTGGGGCCCAGGAGGTGACTGCCCTGCCAAGAGCAAGTGCCCCAGCCTCCTGAGAAGCTGGCCGTCTCCATTTCTGCATGCTTTCCAAGTCCTAGTTGCCAGTAGATTCCTTTCCAGATTGTCACACCATCACCTCCAACCAGCATTTGGAAGAGCATTTGCCTACAGGCCTCTTCCTGTGGCATCACACAAAATATGCAGTGGTACATGAGGGTAACAAGTGAATATGGGCAGGAAATTTAATTCATCTTAAAAAGAAAAGTAACTGGTTTCCTATACATTCACAACATTGCTGACACCGAATGTGAGAGGGTCTTTCTTACACCAACCAGTTTTCCAAATTTCAGCGGACGTTGACTAGACGTCCTATAATTTAACTCATTTCTGACACTAATTGTCCAGAGTTAGGGCAGACCCCACAGGTTAAGGGCTCAGTCCCACAAGACTGTCCTCCAACTTGAGACAGCAATTGCAAGGCCAGGCATCCCATACTTTTGACCAACTGGGTATAAATTGGGGATTTGCATGACAGCCCCTCAGGTTCAGTAATTTCCTAGAACAGCTCATGAAACTCAGGGAAACATTTACTGATTTATTCTAAAGGATGCAACTCAGGAAGTGCCAACTGGAAGAGATGTGTAGGACAAAATACAGTAGAGGGATGCAAGCTTCCATGCCTTGTCCAGGCAGGCCACCCTCCCAGCACCTCCAGGTGGGATGAAGTCATTGGCCATTGGTGATTAAACTCAGTCTCCAGCCCGTCTCCCCTGCCCAGAGTGGGGGAACTGAAAGTTTTAAACCTCTAATCACCTGATTGGTTCGTCTGCTAACCATTCCCCATTCTGGTTTATGAGTCACCTCATTAACATAAACAGGTAAGTTTGAAAGAGGCTTATTATGAGTAACAAAAGGCACCCCTCTCACAACTATCACTCAGGAAATTCCAAAATTTTAGAAACTCTGTGCCAGGAACTAGGGACCAAGACCAAATATTACAACAAAAGATGCACCTATCACTCTGTTGTTTTAGAGATAGTCTCACTCCGTCACCCAGGCTGGAGTGCAGTGGCGGGGTCATAGCTGGGCTCAAGCAATCTTCCTACCTTACCCTGCCAAGTAGCTGGGACTACAGGTGCATACCACCTGCCCAGCTAATTTTTAAATTGTTTTGTAGAGACAAGGTCTCACTTTGTTGCCTAGGCTGGTCATGAACTCATGAGCTCAAGCAGTCCTCCCACCTTGGCCTACCAAAGTGCTAGAATCACAGGGATGAGCCACCGCGCCCAGTTATCACTCTTATCATTTAGGAAATTCCAAGAGTTTTGAGAGCTCTAGCCAGGAGCTAGGGATGAAGACCAAATGTATATTTCTTACTATATAACAGTATCACACAGCTCTTCATACTGGGGGAAAGCTTTGGCCACTCAAAATTAGATAATTTTTTTAAGGTAATGAAGGGTTTTTTCCCCTTTTTTCTTTTCAGTTTTTTTTTTTTTTTTTTTTTTTTTTTTGAGATGGAGTCTTGCTCTGTCGCCCATGCTGGAGTGCAGTGGCGCCATCTTGGCTCACTGCAATGTCTGCCTCCCAGGTTCAACTGATTCCCCTGCCTCAGCCTCCCGAGTAGCTGGGATTACAGGCGTTCACCACCACGCCCAGCTAATTTTTGTATTTTTAGTAAAGATGAAGTTTCACCATGTTGGCCAGGCTGGTCTCAAACTCCTGACCTCAGGTGATCCTCCTGCCTTGGCCTCCCAAAGTGCTGGGATTACAGGTGTGAGCCACCGCACCCAGCCAAAATCAGAGAATTTTTATTTGCTCCCTTTGGCCTTCACTTCCTCTCTCCTCGTATTTTTTTCTTCCTGTGACAGGAGTGCATGTCTTAGAATACCACTGATGTTTCTGCCAGGGGTACCCTAGATTTGGCATATAATTTGGAACTCTTAGGACTTTAGTCTTATACATATTAACTAGGATTTGGGCCACACTAGTAAGCTGAGCCATTTTGAGAAATTTTAGATTCCCTCTGAGATGGTAAGCAGTTGTTACACCAGTGGAAATATGCTAGATGGCTTATTCCTTGTGAGAACCAATGAGATAATGTTAGTGTAAAGCTCAGTGCTCAGACAGCTTCACTCAGGAGGTACTGTATAAATAAGGAGGCTTATAATCACACCAAAAGACAGAACCCTGCCCAGGCCTGCCTCTTCATTCAGTTAAGAAGTCCTCATTTCATATTCTCTAAAAAGCAGGTAAGAGTTGGCTTGCTCCAATAAACTTTTTCCTCCTGTAAAGTTGTTTGATAGCAAAATATTAGTGCACTGAGTGTTCTTATTATTAAGCACTTACAAAACCATTTTCACCTTTCAAGGATTAATATGAGAATTGCATCAGTTATGAAATATCTAGAATGAAAATGCATGCCTCCTCAATATCACAAGTCTAAACATTCGACTCAACATCTTCAGAAGAAAAGAGAATTAAAGAGGAAATCTCTCAAGAGAGTTTTCCAAGAGGTAGACAGAATTCAGGGGCAAGTAGCACCCACTGTAAGGGAAAGGAAATAATTATTGGGAAATCAAAATAGCAAAGAAAGTTAAGGGAGTGGCAGTTTGGCAGATTTCACAGTTCTGCAGGAACAATGAGGGAGACATAGCAGTTGGGAGCGATGGGGAGTAGGAGGGTGTGAGAGCAACAGGGTGGGTGGGATCCAGGCCTGATGAGAGCCTCCGAGGGAAGAAGTAGGAGTGGAGAGAGAGAGGAAGGGAGGAGTAAGGAAATAACTCTAAAATGAAAAAAAAAAAAAGTAATATGTGCAAAACTTAAGAAGTGACCAGCAGTATAATAGGCAAGAGACCATTGTAACTGGGTTAAGAAGTTTTGGCAGCTTGCTTATTTTGTTTGATTTTGCAGTTAACAGGAGAGAAAGTGGGGTGCTGGTGTCCAAAGCACTGTGCAGACTTGGAGCCAATGAAATGTGGCATTTGGAGGACACAGAAGCTCTCTAGTGCTTCTGAGGCAGGATTAATGCAGAGGCCCATAAACAAGGATGTGACATTGAGGAATGCTGCCCCTCTTCCAACTGCTAAATTGGGGCCAGTCGGAAGCCAGGGCAGTGTTATGTTGGCTTGGATTTCTAGCAACTTTCTTACTGGGTTATAAAAATGATTTCCTCAAAAAAGCTTGAAAATGGCAAATGATGAAGTAGAAAAGCAGTGGTGTCTGCCTGTGGGCATCATTTCAAAGCTGCCTGTGACATCGTGATGCCCATTTCTGGAGGGCCAGTGGTGAGTGGTTTGTTGGAGGGTTAAAGCCATCACTTCCAACCAGTGAAGCTGTACCTAACTTCGGGGGGTTTCCCTCATTAACAAGTCTGATGGTAAGCAGGCCTCCTGAAGGATTTCAGGCAGAGGATTTTTAGGGGTAGAACTGGTTTAAATTATTTGGCTTACTTGGCCATAGCTCTGACTTGGTGATTAGGCTGATGACCCTAGAAGTATAGGGGTGATTACTTGACATTCCTGTCCTTGCCACCTACCTATTCCAGCATACTTTGGGGTTGCCTCTCTGTGCAAATGGGGAGGGACATGAGGGAGAGGAGATGTTGATTGTAGGTCTCAGCAGTGAAACAAGCTGGCTAGTTTCAACATGTGTAAGGGTTAATCGGGTAAATTATAATTGCTGCTAGGAGAGGCAGCCTAGCTGAGCCCACCCAGCCCTCAGGGTTGCTGGGGAAAGGGTCATTCTTGCAATCCTTAATTGTTTTCCTCTTTCCCAAAGATGAGTTCTTAATGTAACATCATGGTCCATTGACCCATTAATAAAGTTTACATTCCTGATTTGTTTTAGTCCTCTGCATTTCTAGTTCTTTAAATTCTCAGATAACCCTTCCTTTAAAAATGCAATTCGGCCAAATTAAGCAAAGAAAGGAATAATTTGATTTTTTTGTTGCTGTTGTTTAGTTATTTGAGTCATTCTATGGTCTTAGGCAATTTTCTAAATGAAACGTGGAATGTCAACTGGACTATTTTGTCGTAGAGGATGGGAGGGAGAGAACTGTTATATTTGGTAGTGGTACTAGAATAGTATAGAACCTACCAGCAAAAGTGTCTCAGAGTAATATTGTCTGTTGTTTCCTTTCTATTTTTTTAAATGGCACCATCTATCCCTATCTTGTGAACTAGTTAAACATGTTTTAATTGTATATCTTTTAAAGCTTCAGTTAGCCAGATTTTTAAAAAAATGTTTGATGTTGTTTTTTATTCCATGAATGACTCAATTGACTACATGTAGGCAGCTACTAAACTTGGCAGTTTGTTGCCATTAGCATGCCCTTGGACAGGAAGTATTCAGTATAGATATGACAAACCAGTTTCCAGGCTTAAAAATAAAGCGGGGATTTCTGGACAGAATAGGTCTTTGTCACTCATTTCAACATGTCTGATGAGTGTTAAAGTTCAAAGCCTATCCCTTTGCTTTCTCATTTTTTTTCAGGCCATCACTTTACCTGACATATTCTATTATATAGATTGAAATTTATTTCATGATGCTGGTGTTTTGTTCAGTTTTTAAAAATGAAATAAGAGGATATTTGAATAGTCATGAGAATCAGCTAGAGTCAGTATTCTCTCCTTGTTATCTCTTTCATGTTTAGTTCCTTTTAAGTCATCTCCCCACTGAGGTAGGTAATGGTGAAATAATGTTTCCCTGCCTGTAAAGCAGCTTAAATTAAAAGTAGCAAGTGTGTGCCAGGTACACTACATGACTTCTCTTCTTGAATCTGTGGTCCACTTGAAATAGCATTTTTTTCCCCAAAAGTTGCTTCCCATCAGTCTTGTAGTTCTTAATTTCATTTGTCAGGTAGTCACTTAGCAACTTGGGAAGAATCATACTATTTTGACAGATACTAACAGGTTTTTTGGCATCTTGTTGCCTACAGTTATTGCTTTATGACTTAAAAAGTAAGTTCATACTTTTTTTGCTATCTCCCGAAATAATATAATTTTCCCTCCTGTCTGTTAAAAAAAAAAACCCACACTTTCTCTTCTTTCTTTCACTTACCTATTCTAAGCAGCGTGTGTGTGTGTGTGTGTGTGTGTGTGTGCGTGTGTGTGTTTGTGTTGGGGTTTAAGAAGCCTTGACACCACATTTCCTGGAAATACTAAATTAGTCACAGCATTTATTAGATGAGAGTGTCTACAACAACAAAAAACTTTCTTTTTCTGAAGACTTAACTCCATGCAAGTGTCAATCTCTGAGCGTCTATTTGTTTTTCAAATAAGAAACTGTGCCAGGGAAAGATGATTTGAAATACAAAATGCTTGCAAGTGTTTTTAGTTTGGGGTAAGGTAAAGTCAATAATGATTCTTTGGGACATTTTTCGGGACCCAACTAAATTTCATTTGCCAAACTTAGCAATAAACCATGTTTATAAAGAATGAGGTTAAGTTCTTGTTCTGGGGCAGGACATGGCTGTGACCCTGAGGTGCTTGTGCTCTGGAGCTCCTTGACTCTTCTTTCATGATGGGAGCAGGCCTGAGTAGCCCCTGCTATGCTGTACATTGAGCTTGATAAAACTCCGGCCTTTTGAAAATACTGGAATCCTCTACCCTAAATACCCTATACCTGTTCAAATAGGATGCTTTTAGGGAAAAAAAGGGAACTGTTAACATAAGCCAAACTTTCTTTTCTTTTCTTTTCTTTTTTTTTTTTTTTTGAGAGGGAATCTTGCTGTGTTACCCAGGCTGGAGTACAGTGGTGCAATCTTGGTTCACTGCAACCTCTGCCTCCCAGGTTCAAGTGATTCTCCTCCCTCAGCCTCCCAAGTAGGTGGGATTATGGGCACCCATGACCATGCCCAGCTAATTTTTGTATTTTTATTAGAGATGGGATTTCACCATGTTGGCCAGGCTGGTCTCGAACTCATGACCTCAAGTGATCCGCCTGCCTGGGCCTCCCAAAGTGCTGGGATTACAGGCATGAGCCACCGCACCTGGCCCAAACTTTCATTGAGTTAAATGAATCCCTGGTCTGAAACTGTAATTTCTTTAGCTTTGTAGTGCTCAAGACTCTTGGACCTGAAAGTGGCTGGTAAGCGTCTTCTAGTTTTTATGATGATGGGCACATTGTAGGCAAACAGAAAATGCCTGATAACCAGTGAGGTGTGAGGACAGGCATATGATTCAGAGTGTAAAATATTTTGCAGAATTAAAACTTAGGCAGTTTTTCATGAGATTCATAAATCATCCATACATTGATATTTTTTGTGCCTCTGGCCTCATTGTTTGGTTTTTAGGCATAGGACTGTGTTTTACTCAATAGGTAGTTGTATCATCCATGGTACCACAGTCTGTCAAAACCACACCAGACATTGATAATGTATTGTGCATATGGGGTGACCTTTAGGAAGGCTTGGTAGGACCTTTTTCTTGCTGGCTCCCTTCGAGCCAGTGTGAGTGATATTCCATCTCCTAGTCTGTGTTTTGGATCACTGTTCTCACGCCTAAAGTCAGAACAGACAGACCCATGGGAGGGACTTAACCAGGTTTGTCTAGGCCGATGGAGGGCTCTAATGGGGTCACTTCTTACTCTTTTGAAAAGTGGTGGAAACTGAAATGAATTGTCTTTCAAATTTGGTCCAATCACACTTTATTGTCTGAAAACTTCTGTCACATCTTGTGGCAGCAATGGAAAAGGGAATGTTTTAGGTAACCCTTGTGTTTGAAATGCCTGCTTTTCTTTTTTTTATTGTTTTTTAAATGGATTTTTGTTTATTTTGCCACAGAAGCAGCTCTCTGTTTTAATTTGTTGGAATTTAACATCTTTGGAGTTCTTCCTGGGTTCTAGCCACTGGAACACAAATCAGTCCAGAAGCTTATTACTAGTTAACTCTAATTTAAAATAAAAATCAAATTTCAGCAGAAAGATTGGAGAAGAGAAAGATATTACTTGATTGAGCAACAGAGAAACAATGCATGAATCCACACATAAAACTCTTTAAGTTGAGTAAAGGAGGCTTTCAAACCCTAATTCATGCATTTAACAACTAAAATCCCAGCTTTTCCCATGTTGAGTTTACACAGAGAAGTTAAAAGATAAATAGACTTTATCAGACTTTGACAGTAAATTAAAGACCCTTTATCTTCCTGCCTGGAAGTTCTATAAAATAATGGGTAATAAAGGCAAGCTATTAGTCAAAATGGTCTGAATTAAGCCTGGAAAGAAAATCTTGCCTCTAAGAGCAGAAGGGTGCAAAACACTGGCCCCTCCTGGGCTTGGGCCCAGAGACAAAGGAATAGTGGTTACTATGACCCAACATCAGTCTGCAGCCAGAGTTCCAAGCATCTTCTCTGCTATCCCTAATGATTTAAAAATATATAAAAATATTTCACATTCTTTACCCTCCATCAGAATGCAGTGAGCAGTAAGTCAGCTCAAGAAAATATGACCCAGTGCCTAACCCGTTGATACTTTATTAGATGCCATTAAAACTTTAGAGAGCTGGGAGATTATTAAGGCCTACATTTGGAACCTGGAATCTTTTCCTTTGGGAACCTGGAATCTCAACTCAAGGATTCTGTAGCTTGCTTTTTTGCCTGTATCTAAGATTGCTCTATTTTGTGATAATGTAAACTTAATGGAAGAAAATTACTTCATAGATGCTAGACATTCAAGAATTAAATCCCCTTTTCATGTTAGCTAGTGTCAAAACATTTGTTTAAACATGGTTTCTAAATTTTGATGGGGTAGCATACATGGTTTTATTTTATTCTGTAGATGTAGTGAAAAAATATTTTATTTTGATACATTAACAAGGAAGATAAGACAGCATTCATTTTGAGTATTTGCTATAGAATATACCCTGCATTGGACTGTGCGTGGAGTCTGGTATTTGTATGTTTCAAGGAAATAAAGGTACAGAGAAGCACTTGTTCGTTGCCTATATAAAGACTAACTGTACAGCTGACAGCTTAAAAGTACTGTATGACACTGCATTTCTTGTCCAACAGTAGCGTCTGTTTCCTTCATTCCAAAACCAAAAAAAAACATTAAAGATGAATGCTGAAAATGTGATAGAAAAAGACCTTCCTTTTTGGCATGTCCATTAACTGCCCTCACCGTTCTTTTCCAAGCATAACTGCTAGACTGGATGGCATAAATTAAACAATTAACAGGATACTAGTTCAAGGGGAAACTCTCCAGTTAGGGTAGATTTAATTTTCAGATTTGGAAAATGAATCAAATTACACATTCAAAAGACTTGAATTCATTTTTTTCTCTAAGCATGTACTTTTTATAATATACATTGTCTAACATCGGAGAGATAAATTCAGTATTATTTTCCTAAGATACTTTCTGCCTTTTGTAGCAGTGAGAATACTAGAAATCAGCGAGGCGTGGTGGCTCATGCCTGTAATCCTGGCACTTTGGGAGGCCAAGGTGGACAGAGGTGGTCCAAGAGTTCGAGACCAGCCGGGGCAACATGGCAAAACCCCATCTCGGCCGGGCGTGGTGGCTCACACCTGTAATCCCATCACTTTGGGAGGCCGAAGCGGGCAGATCACAAAGTCAGGAGATCTAGACCATCCTGGATAACACAGTGAAACCCCGTCTCTGCTAAAAATACAAAAAATTAGCCGGGCGTGGTGGCGGGCACCTACAGTCCCAGCTACTCAAGAGGCTGAGGCAGGAGAATGGCGTGAACCCGGGAGGCGGAGCTTGCAGTGAGCCGAGATCGCGCCATGGCACTCCAGCCTGGGCGACAGAGCAAGACTCCATCTCAAAAAAAAAAAAAACCCATCTCCACAAAAAAAATTATTTTTAAATTAGCCAACTGTGGTGGCACACCTGTAGTACTAGCTACTCAGAAGGCTGAGGTGGATCACCTAAGCCTGGAAGGTGGAGGTTGTGGTGAGCAGAGATCGTGCCACTTCACTCCAGCTTAGCAACAGAGTGAGACCCTGTCTCAAAAAAAAAAAAAAAAAGAATACTAGAAATCACATCAAGAAGAAAAGTTCAATAAAATAGGTTGTCTTTCTTCATAGAAATGATGTTTTAGAGTTTATTATTTATAAGAACTTATAAAATAACAGCTAGATATGATCAATAATATAATATTTTCCAAGAACAAAGATATGACCGTAAACCTTGCTAATCATTTGACTAAGTAAAATAAATTCCTAGCTTTGTTAAATGGCCACCGCTATGTGTGCAGATTTTATAAAGGCTCCAGTCTTTTAGAAAAAGTAGCCCACATACCATAAAAATACAAGTTGACCATCATAAATTGTATCTTAACATTTTTTTAAAAAATTATGTTAGTGGCTGGGCACTATGGCTCATGCCTGTAATCCCAGCACTTTGGGAAGCCGAGGCAGGAGGATCACCTGAGGTCAGGAGTTCGAGACCAGACTGGTCAACATGGTGAAACCCCATCTCTCCTAAAATATACACAAATTAGCCAGGCATGGTGGCGCACACCTGTAATCCCAGCTACTCGGGAGGCTGAGGCAGGGGAATCGCTTGAACCTGGGAGGCAGAGGTTTCAGTGAGCCAAGATGGCGCCACTTCACTCCAGCCTGGGTGAAAGATTGAGACTCCATCTCAAAAATAAAATAAATAAATAATAAAGTTATGTTAGTTAACACTGCATTTATTTTTTATGATCTTTGTCCTATATCTCTACCATGCTGACCTTGGTAGTATGACTGGATTCTTCTTGGGTATGTATTACACCTGAAGTCATTACAGAAGACACTCAGTCCCTTCATCCACCCCAGACACAAAGCTTAATAACCATACCCAACCCCTTTTCGACAGCCTGCTGGCCACACTGACTTTCCTATAAGATAAAAACTGCCGTATGTGGGATAGCTCTTGTTAGTACACCAAGAATGACTTCCCAATAGTAAAATTACTCTTACCCCAAAATGTAAGAGAGAGTGAAGAGATGCAGATATTTTCCCTATGTTAGGCACTTCATGTACTAAGACATTTTTCATTCATTTCATTTAGAAGCTTGTTTGGAATTCTAAAAAGTCACTTCAAAACTTTCCTCACCGGGACGTCAAGACAGGCATACAACGGGAAAGTGACTAGGGATAAGTTAATACTGGTACCTTCACCAGAGGAGGAGTATGCAATGTGGAAGACCTGTTGCTGCTGTTGAGTAGTTTTCAGTCTAGAGGAGTTAACATGCATACAAGAAAGTACATATTACATGGGGGTTAGAGAGGTTTCAGAAGGGCTGTCTGTGGCTGAGATCTTTGAGGCAGAACTGTTGAGACGGAAGGGATTGGCATGAAGCTTTGGAAGACTGGACGTGTGGTTGTTTCCCAAATATGGTACGTATGCCACTGGTAGTACAGTGACTGATTTTAGGAGGTCCCAGGTATAGTATTAAATCATCTTCAGTCATATCACAAAAAAATTAGTTCCTTTTCAGTGTCCTTGGAGTCCTTGACATCATTCACAGAGAATGCCTGCGTTTTGGGCTATGTGATCTCTGCCAGCTCACAGAAGCTTACCTCTTTTTGTGCCATGTAGGTAGATGGGGATTCATAGCCTTTGGCAGGCAACAATATCTGGCTAGAAACTAATAGTATTGGTGTTTTTTTTCCTCATTGAATTATTTCTTATGGTTTTAAACATTTTTTAATGATTTTTAATGATATATTTAGGGGAGTATCAGTTTCCATTCACATAGTATATAGGGTTTCCTTTTATGTGAATTAATTTTTTTAATACAAATACATTAAGTAACCATAAGTTAAAGTAAAATACAGGTAGCGTATCGCTTATCCAAAATGCTTGGGACTGAAGTGTTTTAGATTTTGGATTTTTTTTTTCAGATTTTTGGAATATTTGCATTATACTTACTGGTTGAGCATCCTATATCCAAAAATTTGAAATCTGAAATGCTCCAATGAGCATTTTGTTTTAGTGAGTGCCATATCAGCTCTCAAAAACTTTCCAATTTTGGCATATTTTGGAGTTTGGATTTTTAAATTTGAGATGCTCAACCTGTACCGATAGTAAATAGAAAACAAGGCAAGTGGGTTAGGATGTTCCTCACATAGATACAGCATGACTTTTCAGGGGAAGAGAGATTCCAGCAAAGATCCTGGGATGGAGAAGGTAACATTTTGAGAGAAAGGTGAGTAAGAAGTTGGCAGAAGCCCAGGGGGTCCTGTTGAAGAGTCAGAGTTGGACGCCTTCTAGCTCAGCTTGGTTGCCAGCGCAGGGAACAGAGGGCTGTAGCTCTTTGCATCTTATACTCAAGGCTGTCTGCAAAGTGATTCAGAATGGTTTGAGCCCCTGATCATTTCAATGCGGGGTAGCTAGGGCATATGCCTACGGGAGCCAGGAAATTACCCAAGTGCTGGAATGGCCGGGGGGCTAATTGGAGAGGACCCTGTGTTTCCCACTCTCCTCCCTCAGTATTGCCAGAAGGTCAGATTTTTTTCTGAGAAGCCAGAAATGTGAATTTTTATTGAAAGTTCCCAACTTCTACAAGTTTTTTTAAATACTAATTACAGAAATAAAACTTAGAACCTTTTGGGGGCCAATTTTGGGGGTGATGGACATGTCCTGGAGTTAGATAGTGGTAATAGTTGCACAACATTGTGAATATAGTAAAAACCACTGAATTGTAGATTTTTAAAATGCTTACAGTGGTGAATTTTATGTGATATGAATTTTATCTTAATTAGAAAAAGAAAAAAACACTATGAGGGCCCAGCCAAAACATGTTGCCTGCCAAAAGTTTGTAAGCTTTGCTTCAAATGGAGGAATTGCTATTTGCTGCTTTTCATAATCCCAACAGAAAGCACCTTTCCACAGGGGAGCAAGTGATTGGGAATTAATGGGGGTCATGTTGTGATCCCTACGTTAACCTCTAGGCCTCTGTTTTTCTTCCTGTGGTCTCCACGGCTTCTTCTATCTCCTAAAATAGGACCCATGATAGAAATGGTGAGATGTGGAGTGGTGGACTTTCTTTTAGAGTAACGAGTGAGTAGGTGAAAAGACACAGCTACGAAAGGTGGGGGCTGCTCAAGTATTTTAGAGAAGAAATTTATTTTATTTTGCAACTACTTATAACATTGATTGGTTGTGTTATGTTACTTGCCAAAGTTTATTTTACCCAGATATTAACCATTAGAGAAGTAATTAATCTTCAAGACAGCAAGTTCGTATATTTTGGAAAACGTTTTTCAGTTCTTACCAGGGAACGACTATAATGATCTTTTTAGTTATTTTCTTCAAGTGGAAAATGAGTTTAATATAGCAAGTATATGTCATCAACATCAAAGGATTATATAATTATTTTAATAAAACAATTTGTCTTTGTAACTTTTGGGAGGCTCTATTAAATTTTAAATATAATTTTAAGTTTGCCGATTTCAATAGAGGCAAAATGTTCAATTTAGGATCTTAAAGTAAGGATTATATCCTTAGTTAATCTTCAGCTTTTTTTCTTTCGTAGCAAACTAGCAAAGAAAGGTAGAGTTTCTGCCTTTTTCTTATGACTTAAACCTAAAGAATATGACTTTTTAAAAATCTTGAACCAACATTTGTACTAAAAACAATTATTATTTTTCAAAGTGTGGGTTATTCAGTAGTTTTTGCCAGTTCCAAATGTTATCAGATGACTTTTTGGATGCCTATCTTTAGTGATGAAATGTCGCATTTAGAATAAACACTTTCCACCCAAAGAACACTGAAATTAAAATGAAAAAATATATATAAACTTAAATTTTCTTTTTTGTTTTTTTTTTTGAGATGAAATCTTGCTCTGTTGCCCAGACTGGAGTGCAGTGGTGCAATCTCGGCTCACTGCAACCTCCCCGTCCCGGCTTCAAGAGATTCTCCCACCTTAGCCTCCTGAGTAGCTAGGATTACAGGCATGTGCCACCACAGCTGGCTAATTTTTGTATTTTTAGTAGAGATGGGCTTTCACCATGCTGGCCAGGCTGGTCTCGAACTGCTCTCTGTCACCTCAGGTGATCCGCCCACCTCAGCCTCCCAAAGTGCTGGGATTACAGGTGTGAGCCACTGCACCCGGCAAAAATAAACTTTTTCAAAAGGACTGCATTGGAATATTTATTTCATATGTAAGAGTATTTGAAATATAATTAAATCTAATGTTATTTATTTGTAGCCTCTTATTTCGGTTGTTTTATAAAAATCAGTATTCATTGTCTTCCCACCCCCCCCGTCTTTCTGCTCCCCCAGAAACAACCTGAGAATGCTTTTAATCCAGCAGATACATATTAAAGATTAATTGGTCATTTATTGCAAGGAATAAACAATAAATTGTAACCAATCACTAGGATTTACTTTCAGGGAGTACGGAAACAAAAGTATGATAAGCAGTTTCCAACAGCAGTTAGAGACAGGATAGAGCATTTCTGAATGGACGGTCAATGAGGACTTCCTGATATTTGGAAGGTGATATTTGGGAGGGACTGTGGGAGACTTCACCAACTCAAGACAGGTCCCCCTTGATTCCTTCATGCCTCTGCTCAAATGTCGCCTTTTCGGAAAGGCCTTCCCCAAGTACATCAAGTACCCTAGATAAAATAACATAGTTCCCCCTCCCATACACACATTTCATTTTTCTTTTAGCCTATATTGCTGCTTGACGTATTTATATATGTTTGTTTGTTTGTTTAT
This sequence comes from Homo sapiens, assembly GCF_000001405.40. Taxonomy (NCBI): domain Eukaryota; kingdom Metazoa; phylum Chordata; class Mammalia; order Primates; family Hominidae; genus Homo; species Homo sapiens. The sequence continues at coordinate 119,377,030 of NC_000005.10, forward strand.
ATATTAGGTGTCCTAGAATCTGTGCTTCCTGAGAGTAGGCACTTTGCCTGGCACATAACAGTTGCTTAATAAAATAAAAGTGTATTGAATGAGGCTGGGCCTGGTGGCTCATCCAGTAATCCAGCACTTTGGGAGGCCAAGACAGGAGGATTGCTTGAGGCCAAGAGTTTGAGACCAGCCTGGGCAACATAGCGAGACCCTGTCTCTATCAGAAAATGCAAAGATTAACCAAGCATAGTGGCATGCACATGTGGTCCCAGCTACTTAGGAGGCTGAGGTGAAAGGATCACTTGAGCTTAGGAGGTCAGAGTGACATTGCACTCCAGCCTGGGCAACAGAGTGAGACCCTGTCTCAAATAAATAATTAAATAAGAAGTAAAAAAAAAATAAAAAATAAAAATTTGTTGGAGAAAGAGTGAGGGAATGAATGGGGGAAAGTTTTTCTGCCATAAGGCTCTTGACTGTGTAGAGCTCCAAACTGGTATGGAGAATCCAAGTTCAGTTTTCTCCTGGGATCATTGTAAATTTGTCAAATTTACCACCGCTCTGTGACTTAGTTGACACATTCTATAGAAATAAGGAGATTTTGGTACTCAAATGTAGCTTCCTGAAGTCTATGAACAAGTGTTATGAAAACAAATCATGATCACTCTTAACCTTCCCACCACTTCACCTTGCAAACCCCTCGTTAGAACCTCATATAAGTTGTGTTTAAATTATTTCACAAATCCAAGACCCCACACATGCCCCTCAGTTTCCAACATACGGGTACACTGCTGGGCCAGATTTTTAATTCCTGACTACCCAGTAGGAGTTGTTCCACTGAAATATAATCACATTTATTTCTGTAAGGCAGTGATTACCTACGCAAATGCCTACAGAACCCAGGAAATGAACAGAAATGTGTAGATGGCCAGGAGGGATGTGGTAAGCTGGAAAGGGTAGTCTTCTAAAGGAGGCAGCCATAATTTAGCTCAAATCCATTGTTGTCATATGAGAACGTGGGCCCATTTGGTCAGATCTGATTGTTCAAAGAAAATCAGACACACACATGTTGAAGCTAAATTTCCCAATTTTCTAACATGGACCACTAATCCTAAAGTACAATCCTGGATGGGCCAAATAATATGATATCCAGGTTACAACTTCTGCAAGGCATCCTGATCTAAATAAAACGGGGATGCCTGGGCATGCGGAGAGGAAAGGTTAGAAAGGGGTAACAACCACTTCACAGAGAATATAAATGCTGTGCTGGTGGTGAGCAATACTGCTTCTATAGAACTCTGGGTTTTTTTTTCCTAGAATTTCAGAGCTTCAGAGTGTCTTGATATTTAAAATGAGATCGTTTACATGAAAGCCTAGCAAATTCCATCTTACTCTTTGTTTACCTTTAACTGGATCTAGCCTCCTGACATTAACATGGCTATGAAATGCCTAACAACATTTGGATACAGTTATTGAGGAAAAATTGTGACAAGAATGTTGAGAGGTTGTGCCAAGATGCATATTTGAGAGATGCCCAAGCTGAGGCCAAGAGGTTACTGCTCCTAAAATATTCAAACAGATGGGTTTGGGATCTTTGCATGGAAGATTCCAGAACATTTGCTGTAAGGATTGAGTTAACTAAATATGGTCACTTCTCCAAACAAAAGTAGCTGGTTATTCTGTATGTTTTGGCAAAGGGCAGGGAAGAAAAGCAATAGATTAAAAAAATGAAAATGCATTTCTTTTACACAGCTTCCTCCCCTTTAAAGCAAAAGGTGGCTGGGCGCAGTGGTTCACGCCTGTAATCCCAGTGCTTTGGGAGGCTGAGACAGGAGGATCACTTGAGGCCGGGAGTTTGAGACCAGCCTGGCCAACATAGTGATAACTCATCTCTACAAAGAGAGCCTGGCATGGTGGTGTGCGCCTGTAATCCTAGCTACTCAGGAGGCTAAGGTGGAGGATCTCTTGAGCCCAGGAGTTCAAGGTTGCAGTAAGTTATGATCTGGCTACTGCACTCCAACCTGGATGACAGAGTGAGACATTGTCTTTTAAAAATAAATAAAACAAAAGATAGTTTGTATCCATATTTAGGGTTATGTGTTTATTCATGGAGTACAGATAAATTCATTTATTAAGCTCTAAATAGAAGAAATTGAGTTGATTTCCTGATACACCTTCATGAATTGCTGTAAAAGAGAGTGAAGGGTTCCATGGAGGCAGATTAGAGCATAGGGTTTAGTGCACCCCATGCTAGCTGGAGGGCACGTGTTAAGCACTTTGAACAATACAGAGATGAAAAGGCATGTACCTGTACCTTACTTGTCAAGGATTCTAAATAGATAAGAGAGGAATTTAACTCTTTCACAAGACAGAAAAGCAGGTTAGGAGAGATTTATTCTGGCCATTGGATTTGGAAAAGCTTTTTGGAAGGGGCGGCATTTACATTGAGCTTTACAGGATCAATAGCACTCTTTCAGGCAGGGATGAAGGGGGAAGGTGAAGGCAGATATATAGCTTTTCTTTAGTTTCTGTTCCCTGATGTGTTTGACCTGTGCTCCTTCATTTGATTTGTTTTATTTTTATTTGATTTGATTTGAGACAGGGTCTCATCTGTCACTCAGGCTGGAGTGGAGTGGCGTGATCTGAGTTCACTGCAGCCTCAACCTCCCAGGCTTGAGCAATCCTCCCAGCCCAGCCTCTTGAGTAGCTGGGACCATAAGCATACACCACAACACCTGGGTAATTTTTTTGTATTTTTAGTAGAGATGGGGTCTCTCCATGTTGGCCAGGCTGGTCTCAAACTCCTGACTTCAGGTGATCTGCCCACCTCAGCCTCCCAAAGTGCTGGGATTATAGGCATGAGCCACTGTGGCTGGCCTGTGCTCCTTCTTTTTAGTTCGAGGAGTTGCTTTATCTGGGGGAGCAGGCAGGCTCTAAGAAGTGGGATTCTGCAGCTGGCAAGCAGCTTCATGGCATTTGGTAGGCAATTTATAAACAATGAACATTATCCTAATTTCACTTTTCTTATAGAGCAGCTGTGTGCTATAGTAAGAAGTAATGGGCCTCAGCTCTGCCACTGTTTATGCACCCTTAGATAAGTCACTTGACTTCTGAGCCTCACTTCTCTTATCTGGGTCCCCCAGGGTTAAGTAATAACAGGACCAAACCAGAAATTCATTTAAAAGTGTTAGTGAAAATATCTTGCAAACTGTAGAGTACTATACAAAAATCAACTGTAAGTTTTCTTGTCTTTGTTATGTGGCCAGGAGCAACCTGATGAAACCAGAAAGGGTGTGTTGACCATTGATGCCAGCTGTGGGTCTGGTTCAGTAACTTCACTCTAGTGTGCTGGATTTTAAAATGTTACTGGTTTTCTAAGCCCTGCATGAATATAAATATTCATCAAGAGTCAGGGCCTCTGGCAGGACGGGAGAATTTAGGGATGGAAAAGTGTAGAAAATCACGGAGCTGTTGAGAGGATTATCCTCTACATTCTGGTAGATGATTGGATTATATCAACAGTGGAAAGGTTTTATGTCTTCAAGAAAATATGTAAATAAATCCAGCTTAATTGAAAAGTCTTTAGAAAGACTAATGTATCCTAATTCAACATAATAAATAAGGAAGATTCATTTAATTTCAAAAGACAAAGGATAGTTCACTAAGTTCAGTTTTGTATAAACAATTGTAGGATATTTTAATTTAATTTCAAAGCCATTTTGTAGCCTAGCGGTAGAGTTAGGCTCTGTTCAAACTTTGGTTTACAGTATTATCTAGAATGGGCTAACTTTTCTATTCTCTTGGATACTTTATCAAATTTTTTTAAATGTTTAATATAGTGAGCTCTGTTTAGAAAACATTTTATCTATATTCCTTGCACAAGCTGACATCTGTATTTTTGTGAAAAAAATCTTGAGAGGGAATTAAATCTGTCCATAATCTACTCACAGCATGCCTTTATAGCCAGAGTACGTCTGAAAATTTTAAGTATGGCATTCTAGGAGTACAGCTCAGAGCAGGCGTGTTCCAACTTTACTATATATCAGAATCAGGTAGGGTGCTTCCTACAAATGCTGGCTCTCAGACTGCAATCCTGGAGATTCTGATTCCGTTGGTTTAGCCATTTCTAAGAGGCCTCCGGCGCTTCTGTGGTGGACGGCCCATGACACTAAGAATTCTTCCTCAGATACCTGCTATATCTATCCTCTCCCTGCCAAACAAAGCCTTCTTGAAAACCAAGTATTGGCTGGGTGCCGTGGTTCACGCTTGTAATCCCAGCACTTTGGGAGGAAAAGGATGGCAGATTGTGTGAGCTCAGGGGTTCAAGACCATCGTAGGCAACATGTTGAAACCCTGTCTCTACCCAAAAAAATACAGAAAATTAGCCAAGCATGGTGGTGTGCCTGTTCCTGTTGCTCAGGAGGCTGAGGTGGGAGGATTACCTGAGCCCAGGAAGTTGAGGCTGCAGTGAGCCATGATTGCACCACTGCCCTCCAGCTGGGTGACAGAGCAAGACCCTGTCTCAAAAAATAAAAAATAAAAATTAAAAAAACGGAGTACAGAGACTATATACCACAGTATAGAGGCCATTCCCCTGTCTCTTTTTCCTAGGATGTAGTAAGAAGGTCCACTCCTGTGAGCAGTCCCAGGGTCCCGGGTAAGATTTCTTGGTTATACTCCCAATAAGGGTGGCACTTTGGCCAGAGGAGTTTTACCAGGGACAGAGTGGCCAATATGGTGAAACCCCGTCTCTACTAAAAATACAAAATTAGTCGGGCATGGTGGTGGGCACCTGTAGTCCCAGCTACTCAGAAGGCTGAGGCAGGAGAATCGCTTGAACCCGGGAGGTGGAGGTTGCAGTGAGCCAAGATCGCGCCATTGTACTCCAGCCTGCAAGACTCCGTCTCAAAAAAAATAAAAAAAAACACCGAACAAAAAACGGAGTACCTTTGTAGTATTTCCTGGGTCTTAACAAGCTATATATAATGTTTCAATTTTTTCTAAAATTCATAGGAGACACATACATCCTTGGGTTTCTGACATATAGGTACACTGATGAACAAAATTTTTTAATTCCTAATTAGCCAGTAGGAATTCCACAGATCTGCTCTGAAATACAATCATATTTATTTCTATAAGGCAGAATCTTCTTTTTCTTTGAAGTCAATCTCCTTTTGTGAAACTTTCCTCAAACCTAACCTCCCTCTATCACCCCATCAGCAAAAACTAATGTTTCCACTCTTTGCTACCATTGCATTTTTACATGTTCCTGTTACACAATTTATGGTGCATTCTGCCTAGCTGTGTACTCATCTATCCCCGGACCAGTCCCTGGGAGTCTTGAGTGGAGAAGAGGGATAGTGTTATTTATCTTTGAAACCACAGTATCTTATACATTATACACACTCAACAAAAGTTTTTGTTGACTGACTCATGTCTTTGGGTTTATGTTCTCTCTTTTCGCCACACTCCTTTCACAAGACCTGATCATAAGACCTGTGGCATCCTATACCAGCAGAACGTTTACAGTATCTACCATAATAATGATAATAATAATAATAATTGCTTACATCAGTTGACCCAATTATTTTATATTTGGTGCTGTTCTAAGCACTTTATATGGATTACTTTCATTTAATCCTCTTGGTAGTCCCATTTGCAGATGAGGAAACTGAGGCATAGAGAGGTTAGATAATTTGCTCCAGGCACATGAGCACTCAGTAGCAGGGCAAGGCCCCTGACCCAGTCTGACTCTAGAGCCGGTGCTTGCAATTACCATAATGCCTGGGTTTACCTGACTGCCTGTCTTGTACTCCCCTATTTGCATCTGATAATTGTGAATTCATTCCAGAGGAATACCAAGAACCCTAGTTAATTTGTTAGCCAATTATTTTCACTGACTTTATTCTACAAATTTGTTATGGTATCCTTTGTGAAATTAATTTGCAAAACTTGGGTAAGCAAAGTTAAAATGGTTCTTTATTGCACTAATCCTCAAAGCCTTTAGTATTATTAAAGCATTTTGTGCATCTCCAAAGGGGACCTTTGTGTACACTGTTTCCCAAACTTATTTAACTAGAGATAATTTTCCCCCATAAGACTCTTTTAGCTTATTGAAGAATTAAGGTTTTGTTTTTTTAATGTAGTTTGTAAGAGAAGCTAGCTAATGCCCTTGGGCGGTTGCCAAGAAATTTCTCAGGTCTTGAATATTTAGGTAAATCCTTATTTTTGACACTTTCTTATTTAGTCATAAATAGGGTGACCACTTACATTCTGGGTCAGTCACAGATCTGTTGTCATGGTGTAATTACTAACAGCACTGTTTCCAAAAGTATTCCCTTTGGATGATAAATTATCTGATCACTCTAATCATAATACTTGCCCCCCAACCATTAAATAAAGACCTACTTTACATACTTGCTACCTTCTCATCACTTACTGAAGGATCCTTACTGATAATGTGTGTGTGGGAACAAAGGTCATAGCCCGTATTTCTCCAGCATTTTACCATTTTATGTCCTAGTTTTATGTGGAATTATGGACACATATACAGTTTATATTCTTTCATCACTCAAAAGTTGCATTTCTTAAGAATTGCAAGCCTCCAAGACTTCTTTGCACTGCTCAGTATCTATTCATGTATTTGCTTAGTTATGCAGGGAGAAAAAAAACAAATCTAAGTTGTCTCTTGGAAGCAAGGGCAAGGGTTGAGGGTCAGAACTGCAGTGGGTGGCAAAGATGAGAAAGAGCTTTTCCATTCTGTATATTCTGACTTTTGAACAATGTAAGTATATTGTCGTTTTAGGTTATATTTTAAAATGCTTATAAACTGCTCAAGTTCTTCCCTGGAAGCTATTTCAAGCCCAGCTGGGTTGATCTTCCTTATGGTCTGTTTCTTCCCTGCAGGGAGACCTGGTCCCTTTCTTTTCTTTCATCTTACTTCACTTAGCTAGACATTATTAGATCTTCCTATACTAAAAGAAGAGGAAGCTTCTTTTCTTAAGCTCATGTATTATAGTGTAACAGCTTGGAGTTGGACATATCTGAGTTCAAGTTAATCTCTGCCACTTACTGTAAGACCTTGAGATAGTAACTTAATTTCTCTGGGCCTCAGTCACCTCATTTCTAAAATGAGTATAATAATAACCTCCTTCCTAGGGTTGCCGTAAAGCTTCAGTAAGATAACGTGGCCCGGCACGGTGGCTCACGCCTGTAATCCTAGCACTTTGGGAGACCGAGGCGGGTGGATCACCTGAGGTCAGGAGTTCGAGACCAGCCTGGCCAACATGGCAAAACCCCTTCTCTACTAAAAATACAACAATTAGCTGGGCGTGGTGGCATGTGCCTATAATCAGCTACTTGGGAGACTGAGGCAGGACAGTTGCTTGAAGCCGGGGGGTGGAGGTTGCATTGAGCCGAGATTGTGCCATTTCACTCCAGCCTGGGCAAAAGAGCGACACTCCATCTTAAAAAAACATAAAAAATAAATAAGTAAGATAACACAAGTTCTAGGCGGTTCCAGGGATAATGTAGTACAAATTCAAAAAATGGGGGCTGCTGTTATTATTGTTATCACTGTAATCATTATTGCCTAGGGCAACCAATGAGTCTTGTGGATATAAACCTCTGGCTCTGACTTTGGGTAACCACAAAATTCATTTCCCATAACCTCTATCCTAATATTTTGAGACTGACAGTCTTTGAGGTCCAACCATACTGCTTTATACTAACATCACCAAACTTTCTTCCATTACTGGTATCAGAAACCTAGAAGCAGCAGGGATATTTTGTCAGAGTTTATGCCATAAAGAAGGTATCATATGATTCCTGGGGCAAATTGATAGAAAAAGAGCAGAGATGGGGTCTGATATGAAGTTAGAGGAGTTGAAACTCAGGAAATGACATTTTCAAAATCGTCATAAAACTAAGCCACAGGAATAAAAGATACACGGTTGAACTCAAAATCATGATGAAGAGATTCCAGAATTAAAGCCTGAGATCACAGAGGGAAAGGCTTCATCCTGTTTTCTTCAAGGCATCATTTTTCTTGTCCACGAATTTGGCAAATAAGGGATGTAAGGAGAAATGGCCTAGTACACTGCTGGATCTTTTCAGATTTATAAGTCATTAAATCTCATTTAAGCCACACCAACTTGAAATGACCTCCAGTGTAGAAGATGAGAAAACTGTGTTTCAAATAAATTGCACCCAAGTTTACAACCTGGGACTCTTGACTTTGAGCCTTTTGTTTCCATCCATGCTGTTCTTAATTGGCTTCACGCCCTGCTGTTGGATCTCTGGTTCTCTGGGAGGCTTCAGAAACTGCATGAGAACGCTGTGACTTCTAAAGTGACCTTGTCAGCCCCTGTGGCTTTTAACTGTGGCTTTATTTTTGGCCCATTACCTTTGCATCTTGCTGCTGTTGCATAGCTTTTCATGGATGTTGACTAGGCTTCTCCTCTTGTCTTGTAGTAGGCTCTCATTCTGTTCGTGATAGGCCAGTTTTCTCTAGGCAGAATACCCCTATTTTAACTAGCAGAGTCCTCGTAGTACTAAATCTATTGCTAACAAGAAAGTAAGCACCTTAAAAAAAGAGAAATTCCCTTCTAAAGAAAGTTTTTAATATGTTATATATTTTAAATATCATTATGAAAGAGAAGATGTAACTCCTTATTAGCTGAACTATGTGAGGTCTCCGTTTTCACCCAGCCATCTGGCATTTTGCATTTCTCAGTTCATGATACTACCAGAAGGAATTAATTTTGGCCAAATGTGATTCTGTACTAAAGAGCATCAGAATGTATTTGAAGTTTAATTTGTTGTGTTCTTTAACCTATGAAGAAGGCTGTTCTGTGATAGGGATTGTGTGAAACACATCTATGTGGTCCATGTCCATTTATCTCTGGAACAACTCCAAAAAGTGGGGATCATTGTACTTATCTTACAGATGAGGAAGCCGAGTACCAGTAATATCCCTGAGCAGTGTGGCAGTTCATGGAACCATTAGCTACAGAGTATTTGGACTTTTATAAGTATACTATAGTTTTCCAGGACCCTGGGGAAATAAGTTGCCACAGAAAAAGAACACTAGTGCATTAAAGGTTCATACTGCAGTCTTTTTAAAAAAAATGTTTTCGGTGGAAAACATTCTAATATGTGTTACAAGGTATGTTTTTTAAGAGGATAAATTCATGACTCTCATATAAATACAAATTGCACATATTGAAGATTTTACTTAACTCATTTATTAATGAGGGAACCAGTAAGCTCTTATATTTGGTTCAAGGAGGATCTTAAGAGCAGTCAAACAAGAAAATCAGGAATCAATTGCATGCAGCTCCACTGAACACATTTTATTTGTGTCTGTATGTAGAAGAGCCATTTGCAATATTATCAGTTTTCTACAATTTACAGAGTATAAAATAGCTAAGCGAAGGACAATAAAGGGAATCTGGAAGAGTGCCTTAGACAATTCCTAATACTCCCGTCAAAAGAACCCAGTGTTTTGTTTTGTTTTGTTTTGTTTTGCGGGGGAGGAGTATTTCAAAGTCACCATTTTCTCTGACATGTCTTCTTTACTATGTTGCCTTTTAAGGTTAGCATGTATTTTTCTGGAGTATAAGAAACAGAGTGAATGACTTAGCTTGCCACTGTAATGGTGCCTGTCACTGGTTCTTAACCACTTGGGGGGATGTGCATATACCCCAAAATGTGCATTCCGTATCAGGTTAAGGACTTCAGATGTATTGATTCTCCCAAGACTATGTTCTGTGTGACAGCCTCCATCTGTGTGGCATAAGGCCAATTTTGGGATTAAGGTGCCTGGCACTTGTCTTCTCTCTCTAGTTGATAAGATTGCCTCCAGCTTGCTGCCATGGTCGTTGCTTCTGACCCTTCCAGGGCAGCCCCCTTTAGAGTTCATATCTGTGCTGCTTCTACTGGGTCTCCCTCCCTCCCTCCCTCCCTCTCTTTCCTTCCTTCCTTCCTTCTCCCTCTCTCTTTCCCTCTGTTGTTTCTTCTCTATGCTGTTGAATTTCTGACTTTGGGATTTTGAGTATGAAAGCTGGTGACACTGACACATCACTAGCTACTCCGAGCGTTCATTGCTTTTCTCTGGAGCACTGCCAAATCTCCATGTAGGGAGGTCAACTCTTCGCCTGCTGACTTCTTATGACAGGGTTCGTTGTTTGTTCTGGCCACTTTCTTATCACCAAAGCTGACTTTTTACTAAGTCCCATTAGATTTAGAATTATTTAGATACAAGAGAGCTAAGGTTTTATATATTTATTTAAAGAACTTTTATTAACAGACAACAGCCAGACATGCTTTCCAAATTATTATCTTTTCTATCCTTCCTAATATTGGAAACCTGGATCGAGTTTTAACTAGGCAAGAATTTGCAATGTATGTACATCTGTTGTCATCACTGTTAAAGAGTCCCAAGTATAATAGATTTGAGGGGAAAAAATTATGTATTTACTGGTAAGACTGTAAAGAAAATGATTTGAGTACTTTATTAGAAAATTCTCAGTGGGAGTAGTTATGTTATGGGGCATTTTTGTTAATTTTCATAAAACTAAGTATTAATAACAAAGGACTTTTTTTTCCTTCTGAGCATATTTTTTCTTGAATATTTGGGTCAGTATATTTTAACCATATTTATCTCTAACTTTATAATTTTGATGCTAAAGCCAGAATTCCCTAAATATCACTTTGCCTTACAGCAAATGTTGCTGAAATGGCCAAGGGAGGAGATACAGAGACAGAGAGGGAGGGAGGTAAGATAAGTAATGTAAAATAACATTTACACCCTATTTCTAGAAAATAATCTTAAACAGTTTTAATGTGGTGGTAATGCTTTGTATTTTTTTTTAAATACAGCATTATTCTTCATTAATGAACAATTTACATGTCTGTTTCCAAACACAAGTGAATTGATCTTAAGAGGCAAAAAACTGAATGAATATTTTCAGCACTTTCTCCTTGGGGAACATCTCCTGTTTACATCTTAGTTGCTTCCCAGGACATGCCTTAGGTATCCCTCTGGCACATGTCTAAACATAGATCCAGCCAGAAGTAGAGGTGGGCCTGTGTTTAATCTCCTGCTACAGTTCAAGTCAGAACTACACCTTGCTTTTACTCTAAATATTTGCATTATTGTCCTTGGATGTTTTCCCATTATGCACAACAAATCTCTCCTCTTTAAAAGAACTGGTTGATGACAGTAAGAGAAATCATACTCTGGAGCGCACTTAGAGGGAAGAAAAACCACATGTTTAGTGAGGTAAAACAAATACCTGTTTTTCTACCTTTTAATACAACAAACAAAAACACCCACTAATGTATTTACAACTCTCGTTTTACAGGCCAACATGTTTTCATAGAAAAGTATTTGAGTATATTGTGGATGAGATAGGGGAAATTGATTGCTGCTTCTGGACCAGCCACTCTCTAGGCCTGCAAGTTGACACAGTGAACATGATACACAGAATCTTTGCTCTCAGAGTTTAAATCCTAGTAGGGAGAGGCAGACAATAAAAATGTAGGCAAATGAAGAGGATTTAAGGAACAAGGAGGTGTGATAGTTAGCAAAGAACTTACATGAAGCATCTTTTTTTTTCTTTTCTTTTCTTTTCTTTTCTGAGACAGGGCCTTGCTGTGTCGCCCAGGCTGGAGTACAGTGGCATGATTATAGCTCACTGCAGCTCTGTAGCCTTGAACTCCTGGGCTCGGGCAGTCCTCCCACCTCAGCCCCCTGAGCAAATAGGACTACATGCCCAGCTATTTTTTTTTTTTTTTGAGTTTTTTTTGTAGAGACAGGGTCTTGCTATGTTGCCCAGGCTGGTCTCAAAGTCCTGGGCTCAAGTGATCCTCCCACCTTATCCTCCTAAAGTGCTGGGATTACAGGTGTGAGCCACTGCGCCCGGCCCCATTTGCAAATTTCATTTCTTGAAACTCTGGCTGATATGTGAAAAGAGATAGAAAGGGGTTTGGACTAGGCTGCTGTCCGTGGAGATGGAGGGAAATGGATAGAATTCAGAGAAATGCAGGAGGAAGGTGGAATGGAAAGAACTTAATAATGGACTGGGTGAGGGAGAGAATGGTATGGTGGATGATCCCCAGGTCTCTGATTTGATTGAGCAAAAGGTTGGAAGGGATGCTATTAATTGAGATCATAAAGAGTGAAAGAGGAGCACTTAGTAGGGAGGCAGGAGAGAATCAAAGATCAGTTTTGCATATGGTAAATTTGAGATGCCTGCAAAATAGTCAAGGAAAGAAAAATCTTGAATGCACTTACAAAATGAGTCCAGAAAAGAGGTCAGGGCTGAGTTATGGCTATGGGAGTCATTGGCACATGGGTGGTATCTGAAGCTGTGGCAGTGGATGAGATCACACAGGGGTGAGGATAGACTGAAGGAGAAAAACTTGATCCAGGACTAGCTCTGAGATACACCAGACTTTTAAGGGATCTGGTAGAGCATGTGGAACTGACAAATGAGCCTGCACAGGAATGGCTAACAGCAGTTAATTTGCAAGAAAAAGAAACAAACTTCATGAGCACAGACCACACATCCCTGGCCAGCGACTCTCAGCCACAAGCCCCAGTTGGCTTCAAAAAAACTTTCTCTAATGCTGGAAAATAAATCTACTCATGCATGTCTTCTTGGTGGAGGGGGAGAAAGAGCTTCAGATGGTGGAGGGGAACAAGGAGCTTCAACCTCATTTAAAAAGACGACTTCACTGGAATAACCCAAAGAATAAAAGGAAAGTGTGACACAGCTGCTGTGTTTCTGGAGCGGGGTTTGAAGTTCCTCTAGGATAAATATGAAAGCCTCAGAGATCAACTTCTCTATCTTGATTCATACTTGATTACCAGTAAATGGGGAATGATCTTGCTTAGTTGGCAGTAGATTTGCCTGTTACACACTCTCTTGCAGGAAGTTGAAGTGCTGTATCATAGAGTTTTTGTTTTCCATGTTTGAAGTTAAATGGGATATTGAGATTTAATCAGAAAAGTAGCTGAGAAGAGGTGTAAACATGAAAGTCCAGTCTTGGATAAAGGAGAAATCTTATGAATACCTCTCCCTCTGGTTTCAATATTTCACAACATAAAGTATGTCCAACTGATAGACTTGTAGTAAATCCCAGGTAAGATATTTGTAGACTGTGCCATGTTCTAAAACATTAAAAAAAAACACAATAACATTTCAACTTTATATGTAATATATTACTGAAATCCTGGTTATCTGCTGAGTAGCTGAAAATGGTTGGGTATCCCTATATAAATCAAGTTTATTGATTTTTTTTGAGGTCTATATCAGGAGTTCTAAGATGAAATATGGTCCCTGGTTTTAATGTGATACTGTTAGCTACATGGATGCCATTTCTTTTGACATAAATTCTTTAGTGTGAATTAATCTTTATACTCTTTTGCAAATCATTGAAGAATAGGAATAGAAACAGATTTCTGCTTAAATGATAAAAACATAAAACATTAAATGATGGAAACTTCTCCATAAAGTTGGCTGTTTCTCACACATTTTCACTTTCCTTCTCTTTTTCAAAATATATTTTAGTTCTTCTGCAGTTTCAGTTCATGTTTCAGAAGTTTAAATTTCGACATTTGTGAGGGGACCCTTTCTTATTCAATCAAGACATTCTTTGAGTGGATGTATGGCACTGTATATTTATAAATGATGTTCAGGTCATAAGGAACCATTTTGCAGCTGCCTCTACTATATACCACGAACTACTTTGGTCCAAATTTCAAATCTAATTTGGTTCTTCTTTTCCTCAATTTTATTTAATTTTAATTTTTTCTGAGACAGGGTCTCACTTTGTTGCCCAGGCTGGAGTGCAGTAGTGCAATCACTGCTCACTGCAGCCTCAACTTCCCAGGCTCAGATTATTCTCCCACCTCCAACTCCCTAGTAACTGGGACTACAGGTGCATGCCACCACACCTGGCTAATTTTTTTTTTTTTTTTGTAGTTTTTTGTTGCAATGGGGTTTTGCTATGTTGCCCAGGCTGGTGTCAAACTCCTGGGCTCAAGTGATCCTCTCCCTACCTGGGCCTGCCAATGTGCTGGGATTTCAAGTGTGAGCCACCACACCCCGCCTTTCCCCAATTTTAAATCCAACATGGCAGTTCTGGATTAAGGGAGTCACTCTTCCTATATGTCTTCCCAGTCTGGATTTTGAAGCAGCTGCCTTTTTGCTTCCTAATGATGCTAGCCTATCCAAACTAGAAATAATCTTATATAATCATTGATGCCTTGACTCATTTGTATGTATCTGTATTTTTAAACTTTTTATCTTTCATTACCAAATGACTGCTTTCTGATACCCAGGCCTAGGCTTAAACACTGGCATATATGGAGAGAACAGTTGCCACTCGACTCAGAGATTGAGTAGACACCCAAAGAACTGCAGTTCTTAAGCCTTAGGAGAAGCGAGAGAAATGGGCCAGGTGCGGTGGCTCATGCCTGTAATCCCAGCACTTTGGGAGGCTGAGATGGGCAGATCACCTGAGGCCAGGAGTTCGAGACCAGCCTGGCCAACATGGTGAAACCCCGTCTCTACTGAAAATACACAATTAGCCGGGCATGGTGGAGGGTGCCTATAATCCCAGCTACTCTGGAGACTGAGTTGTGAGAATCACTTGAACCCGGGAGGTGGAGGTTGCAGTGAGCCAAGATCACGCCATTGCACTCCAGCCTGGGCAAAAAGAGTGAAACTCCGTCTCAAAAAAAAAAAAAAAAAAAGATTGCTACATGCATGGAGTGGGGAAAATTGTGGTAGAAGAAAAGTAAACTTGGTTTGGAGAATAAACATTTATTGAGCATTTTCACTTGACCAGCTCTAAGGTGGGAAGATTACATATAGTGTCTGTTTAATATTTAATATGTATAGCCATTATTATGTATATTGTAAACATCTGTCAGAAGTTATAATTCCAAAAGTAAACTCTAAGCAACAGCTTTTTCAAAGTATATTTTTCATGTAGCACATTTCATTAGCTCATGAAAAGGTTATTTCCCCAAAATGTGTAAAAATGTAAAGTGAACAATGGCCATTCATCAGAAATAGCAAGTGACAATGAGCTCTCCAAGGAGCACTTCTTTTCAACACTCGACTTCTGGAGGCTGAAATTCAAGGTACTTAGGACAGCCAAATTGGTAGGCACTGGCCAATGTCTTGGGAAATTTGACTTTTTGCAACCGGATTATAAAACAAGGCTTTCCTTTTGATTTGCTTAATCTGCCATTTTACTCAATATTATGGCTTTGCCATTTGTTCTTCTTCCATTTAAATGAATTTCTTTTAAATCGCTTGTGGTTGCTGTTGCCCAGATGACAGGTATAGAGTTGATTTTGTATTTTTTTTTTTGTTTTGAGACAGAGTCTCGCTGTGTCACCCAGGCTGGAGTGCAGTGGAGCAATCTCAGCTCACTGCAGCCTCCGCCTCCTGGGTTCAAGCGATTCTTCTGCCTCAGCCTCCTGAGTAGCTGGGATTATAGGTGCCCACCACCACGCCCATGTAGGCCGGGCTGGTCTCAAACTCCTGATCTCAAGTGGTCTGCCCACCTCAGTCTCCCAAAGTGTTGGGATTACAGGTGTGAGCCACTCCACCCAGCCAAAAATTCTTTTCTGAACAGAGACTAATGTCGGTAGATGTAAGACAAACCACAAATGGTGGGAAAATGAGGAAAAAAAGTGCTCCCAAATACCTGTTTTTAGTTCGCTTCACTTGCTGATATTTACTAATTGTTAATTCTTTTCCTCTCTTTTTTTTTTTTTAGTGGCCACAGATGTCTTTAATTCCAAAAACCTGGCCGTTCAGGCACAAAAGAAGATCTTGGGTAAAATGGTGTCCAAATCCATCGCCACCACCTTAATAGACGACACAAGTAGTGAGGTGCTGGATGAGCTCTACAGAGTGACCAGGGAGTACACCCAAAACAAGAAGGAGGCAGAGAAGATCATCAAGAACCTCATCAAGACAGTCATCAAGCTGGCCATTCTTTATAGGAATAATCAGTTTAATCAAGATGAGCTAGCATTGATGGAGAAATTTAAGAAGAAAGTTCATCAGCTTGCTATGACCGTGGTCAGTTTCCATCAGGTGGATTATACCTTTGACCGGAATGTGTTATCCAGGCTGTTAAATGAATGCAGAGAGATGCTGCACCAAATCATTCAGCGCCACCTCACTGCCAAGTCACATGGACGGGTTAATAATGTGTTTGATCATTTTTCAGATTGTGAATTTTTGGCTGCCTTGTATAATCCTTTTGGGAATTTTAAACCCCACTTACAAAAACTATGTGATGGTATCAACAAAATGTTGGATGAAGAGAACATATGAGCACATGAGTTAAGATTGTGACTGATCATGATTTATTTGAAGATGGAGCACTGCTGATTTATGAAGGAAAAAAGAAGAATTTTCTAAAGATTACACATATTTCAGAAAGACTTTACCCAATTCAGTTGTCAGACATAATGATTTATTTGAAGGCTTGTTTTATTTGAAGAAAAGCATATTGCCAAAAATTCTGGTTAAAAGCTTCCTAACGGGTAACAGACCATGGGAGAGATATGTGGTTGGGTAATGCAAATGTAGTTATACAAAGAAAAATACAGATGTCTCCAGACCTGAGGACTTTTTAATAGGGCAGTTGTTGTGTTGGTGGCACATTGGATATTTCTAACATGTACAAAGCTATGTATTTTGATTTACTTTCATTTCTTGCTATGTATATGTACTTTTCTTAAAATGCCAAGAACTTTCTCTTGCTATCATTGCTCCTTTTGAAACAATTCAATTTTCATGTCTACAGCTGACTGTTTTGTTAAGATTGAGTCATCGACATTCAGGATTTAAGTCTGAGGTAGTCAACCCTCAGGAAAAAAAAAATGGCTTATCTGAAATCAGTACTGTGGAAATGAACTATATTAGCTATTATGAATAATGTCCAGTATAAGAATATGCTTCTGGAATTGAGTTCTCCTTTTAAGTACCAATGATACTTAAATTTCTCAGAAATGTAATGGTGTGTCATTGCCTTGAAATGCTTGCTTAGGGCTTCTTTTATGTTATCTTAAAAAGTGCTGGTGAATTTTCCATTTTTTACATCCATTTCACATGTAAGAGACAAAAAAGTCTAGATTGGTCTTGATATTGAGATAATAAAAAGTAAGTAGCATTAAGAAAGGTAACAATCTTCATTCTACAGATGAACTCATTGAAACAATTTAGGGGAATGAGGGGCAAAAGGGGAGAAATACTGCTAAAGAACATGAGCATAAAAATGCGTGCGTTTCAGTGTTTAAGAAGGCTTGATAAAGAATGTCACTTTTTTATTTAACTGATAAGATTTTTGTTATTTTTTACTTTGATAAGTAAACCAAAGAATATTTGTATTTCAAGCAGTTTGTGTGGTGTTTCTATATAATTTTCTGTGTATAAATAATAAAGTAGGCATTTGTTTATTTTGTAAAAAAGAAATGAAAATCTGCTGGCCAGCTATGTCCTCTAGGAAATGACAGACCCAACCACCAGCAATAAACATTTCCATTGTCACTGTGTCTATGATTTTTTTTTTTTTTTTTTTGAGTCTCGCTCTGTTGTTTAGGCTAGAATGCAGTGGCATGATTTTGGCTCACTGCAACCTCTGCCTCCCAGGTTCAAGTGATTCTCCTGCCTCTGCCTCCCAAGTAGCTGGGATTACAGGCATGCACCACCACACCCAGCTAATTTTTGTATTTTTAGTCGAGATGGGGTTTCACCATGTTGCCCAGGCTGGTCTTGAACTCCTGACTTCAAATGATCTGCCTGCCTCGGCCTCCGAAAGTGTTGGGATTACAGGTGTGAGCCACTGTGCCTATGATTTAGTGTACTCTCTTGCCTTAAATTTGCCTGCCTCCCAGAATATTGACATTAAAATAATAGTTTACCAGGAAAGGTTCCACAACTAAAAATTCCAGAAGTTGAGATCTGCTCTAACCCATTTCAGCCTAGAGAGGGTGGTCAGTTTCTCTGACACCCTCATTTGCTTGGCTAAGACAAGCAGCAAAGGTGTAGAGTTTCTTCCTGTTTGATATTAAATCCTGACACTAAGATTTGAACTGAAAGTATCATTCTCACTTCCTAGAGCCAGTAGGTGATCAGTATATGCTGTAACAATAACACAGTGACTACAGAAATGACCCTTCTAGCTTCATAACTTGCTAAGTGGCTTATAAATGGAATTCAGCAGCCTTCCTTGACCAGCTGTTTTCCTCACATGTGAAGGCTGAGAATGTGATGGGGGGTGTGAGCTACTGACTGGATGTGTTCTGTTCTCCAGATCTCAAACAGCAGAGGTATGGGAAACGAAAGCCCTGGGCAGTCCATGGATGCTTCTTGCTCATCTGTAGCTATAGACAGGACCAACCAGAGAGAGAAAACGTACGGAGGGAGAAATCTGGATCTCTCTGGACACACTGGATCATAGGGTTGTGCCAGCAGGCTAGCAATCAAATGTGCATGGGATTGGGGGAGCAATGCTTCATCTCCCACAGAGGGAAGGCAGTGAGGAGTAGACCGAAGGAGGGAATCCTGTTTGCTACCATTTCTCAGCATTTTCTGGAGGGGACCCATCTCCTTACCAGTGCTGTGCCTGAAAAGCATGTCTTGGATCAGGTCCAAAGTCGTGATTAGCAAGTTCATTTCTAATACAATAGGACTCCCCTTGAGCATTTAGGGTGGCAAGGAGCGTGGGAGCTGGGAAGAATCCCCACGTGCTTAGGGTAGATAAATCTGAGCCGAGTTAATACTAATTTGGGGATCCTATGAACCTTTTTATAAAATAGTATCTGTTCACGTTTTGAAAAAAATTGTGTTGTAATTGATTTTATTTTGTGCTGGTGGCTTCTCTGCAAAAATTATGAGTGGATATGATAAGTGGATGATAATACTAATGGACAACTAACGCAGAGTAGTTTGTATTATGTGTCGGGCACATTAACTCATTTAATTCTGCCACAATCTTCACCATCTTATAGATAAGGAAACTAGGGGAATAGAAGTTAAGGAATTTCCTGAGGTCACATGTGCTCGAGGTGTCCCAGCCGGAATATGTATAAAATCTTATTTTCACTTAAAGATGATATGGCTAAAGGCAGTGCTAGGAACATCTTTGGCTCAGAGAAGCGTGGGCAGTATGCTGCTGAAATGGTTCCTCATATAGTGACATTTTAGGCAGTACCTAAGTCAGCACAGGTCTGGCCTGTTCTCTAAAGATCTGTGTAGATGTTGTACAAAGACATTTTTCAAAGTTTTCAACATGACTCCTACTTTGGGGGC
Source organism: Homo sapiens (assembly GCF_000001405.40). NCBI lineage: Eukaryota > Metazoa > Chordata > Mammalia > Primates > Hominidae > Homo > Homo sapiens. The sequence goes on from NC_000005.10 coordinate 119,396,364, forward strand.
ATCTTGTGGCTCAGTTTTCTGTCTCGTGGAACTTCACTTCTAGGTGCTCACAATGACTTTTAACGTTGACTTCTGAGGTGCAGTGAGCTGCTCCCCCACAGCTGTCCCTAGCAGTGGTGGGTTCAGAGCATGACAAGGCACTCAATGTGCATTCACCAAGAGAAGCAAGGAAGCAGCAGTTCAGTACTGTGCTCCCTAGAGTAGGCACGGCATCAGTTTCAAACTTCAACATTATTTTCCAGATTTGGAGGCTCAAAATATTTGAGCAAGTTAAGTTAAGAAATAGCCTTTTTCTGATTATTAGGCCTTTCATATACAACTCAAAATTAGTTTAAGAGTAAAGCATGGGGTGGGTGCGGTGGCTTATGCTTGTAAGCCCAGAACTTTGGGAGGCGGAGGTGGGAGGATCACTTGAGGTGAGGAGTTCGAGACCAGCCTGGCCAACGTGGTGAAACCCCACTGCTACTAAAAATACACAAGATTAGCCAGATGTGGTGGCAGGCACCTGTAATCCCAGCTACTTGGGAGGCTAAGGCAGGAGAATCGCTGGAACCTGGGAGGCAGAGGTTGCAGTGAGCTGAGATTGTACCACTGCACTGCAGCCTGGGCAACAAGAACGAAACCCCGTCTCAAAAAAAAAAAAAAAAAAAAAAAGCATGAGTTAAGAACTTTGATCGTACAGAAATATTGCGTTTTAAACTCTTATATAATAGTATGCCATTCACAATTATCTGGAAAGTTCTTTTTCTCCCACCATGTGAATACACACACACACACACACACACACACAATTTTTAAGCCCCCAAAGGCTTAAAATAGTACTTTTTGTGGTCTGTACCGGTCAGTTGGATTTTTACTAAGAATTTTAATTTATCCTTGAGATACTTGATGAGTGTATATAAGCAGTTGCAATTTAGCATACAAAACCTGACAAATGGTAAATAAAAGAATATGTTTATCCAAATGATGAAATATTTGTAGTAAAAAGTGCTATTCAATTGCCAGGAAATTAAAATACTCCAGTAAAATGAATTAAATTAGCATGTTAATAAGAGTGATAATATTTAAAAGTTTTAGTCAATCTTGCATTTCCATACTTGCATTATCTAAACTAGTTGAACTTTTCAGTGTTTTACTTGATATATTGCATTCTTGAGCATTAGGCTTCTAGGTGATTTGTTAAACTCATAGCAGGTTTTAGTACACAGTGCTGTTTATGACAGAAAAAATTTTATCCTACCTCTGAAATAATTGTACTTTCTGTGATTCAGATAAAAACTTTATAGAAACTCCCTAATGAAAATATTGAAGCATTAACCAGAAAATGAGTCAGCTTTTTGTTTCCAAAATGATGCAACAGGAAAACCTTTAACTACTTATAATCCCGTATAGTCACCATCACCACGAAGTATTGAAAATCTGTTTTCTCTTTTACTAAGTGTCTGCACGGTCACTTATGTATACCCAAAGCCAGAAAGATATTTTTATCTCAGGGAAATTCCAGAAATGGAAACATTTTTGTGTAATATTGATTCATTTCTGTCTCACCAAAGATGTGTTTTCCACGTAGCAAAGAACATCAGCCCCACGTTATAGGGAACAAGCGAGTCCCAAATCGTACCATCTGCTGAGCACTGAGAAAGGATATGGACAAGTCAGTCAGCATTCACAATTAAGAGAAAAACATCTGTGCTTTGGAAAATGTTCTTCAAGGATAGAGAATTGTGCCCTATGTCCACCAAATTTGCATGAGATCTTTATAAGATTAGACAGCCAGTGGATAAGGCCCCTTATCTTTCTTCATGGATGGCTGAGGAAATTCTCCGCCTTCCCTGACATCAGCTGCATAACTGTATTTCTGCCTCGTGGAAATAAAGTAGATGATCAGGCACTTGCGGTTTGTTCTTAATACAAGAAAGACAATTTGATTTTTAAAAGTTTTGATTTGTAGAATAATGTAAGACAATATGTTTCTTTCTACTTTGGTTTTTCCATTCAAAAGCTTACAGATGAATTCATTCGTTTAAAACTGCCAGGCTGAGTGCGGTGGCTCATGCCTGTAATCCCAACACTTCGGGAGACTGAGGTGGGCGGATCACCTGAGGTCCAGAGTTCAAGACCAGCCTGACCAACATGGTGAAACCCCATCTCTACTAAAAATACAAAATTAGCCGGGTGCAGTGCCACATGCCTGTAATCCCAGCTACTTGGGAGGCTGAGGCAGGAGAACCACTTGAACCCAGGAGGCAGAGGTTGCAGTGAGCCAAGATTACACCACTGCACTCCAGCCTGGGCAACAAGAGTGAGACTTTGTCTCAAAAAAAAAAAAAGAAACTCTGTCTCGAAGTAAATAAATAAATTTTTAAAAACCAACCTGATGTGAAGTTGAAACACAAGACGCGGAAATAAAAACTCAGAGTATAAATATCTATATTGTTACCATTATCTGGGATAATTGATGATTTATAAGAAGCTGAGGTTTCGTCTTCCTAGAAATGGACTTTTATTAGGCCAGCAAGAATGACCACTTAGCCATTTAAATGATTTGTCAGCATCTTTTGCTGCTCTCTTCTAAGACCATTGGTTTTCACTAAAGGATAAATACCTGCTAAGCAAATTATAAAATACTATAAGACATTTAATCTCCTGGAAGAGGACTTGCTGATAATTGGATCAAAGTTCCAGCATTATTGCTCTTTTCGAATCATATGGACTTAGTGTTCTCATGACCGAGGAGTCACATTTTTAGCTTGCTAAAATATTCACTGGAGAACATGGTGAAATCCACGAGTGGAAACGTTCCATGGTATTTTCAAACGCCACGTGTCAGGAATTTGGCATGCCTTCCTCTGGGAGAGGCACTGGAGTGTGGCCAGATGGAACCCAGCAGGGTACAGAGGGCATTTGTGGGAGCAGTTAGGAAACCAGGACGTCCAGCTTCTGCCTGCCAGGGAGCTCGCTCATGTTGTCTCTGAAATTTGCATAAGAGCAATTACCTCATATTCTAATTTTAAAGATACAATTTTTAAAGACATGGAAGGCTCTGAGACCTCCTGAAGGCTATTCCTATGTGAGGTATTGTTTACGGGTGGCCTTTCACTATTTCCAAATCAGCGATGAAAAGAAGACTGAGTCTAAAATAAATGAAGCAACAGACTTCAGCAGCCTGAGAGAATTTTGTTCAATTCCAGTCTCCTTAAAAAAAAATCGGTTTTTGCTTTCAATTTAGGAAAATTGTTTTGGGTTGCATTGTTGAAAGTAATGATTTCTAGCAGCTACTTATGTATAATCTCTTAACCAATTAAATTCTGAATCTCTTAAATCACTTGATTATTCATGCTGGTTTTAGTTATCCACTGCTGTATTATAAGCCACCCCAAAATTTAGTGGTTTAAAACAACAACCATTTTGTTCCCGCTCACAATTCTGTGCGTTGAATGTGCTCACCTGGGCAGTTCTCTGATTTGGGGTCTATCATGTGGTTGTGGTCAGATCATGGCTGGGACTGGAGTCTTACAAAGATTTGGCTGGGACACCTGGATGACTGGGCCTCTCCTCTCCCCATGGTCTCTACTTACTACTTACTAAGAGCACCCCAAATTGCAAGAGCAGAAGTTTCCAGGCATTCTTAAGGCTGATGCCCAGAACAGGCACAATATCATTTCTGCCTCATTCTACTGGTCAAATCAAATCACAGGCTGTATTGGGGTCACCAAGACACCCTCAGGTTTGATGATTCTCTAGAAGGACTCAGAAATCTCAGAAAAGCTATTGTACTCATAGTTATGGTTTATTATAGCAAAAGGATACAGATGAAAATCAGCAAAGGAAGAAGGCACATAGGGCAGAGGCCAGGAGAGACGAAGGTGCAAGCTTCCAGCTGTCCTCGACCAGTAGAATTTTATAGACAGCACAAAATTTTCCTAGCAATGATGTGTGACAACATGTACAAAATATTGCCAACCAGGGAAGCTCACCCCAGCCTTGGGAGTCCAGGGTTGTTAATGAGGCATGGAGCACTCACATGACTAACCTTAGTTACTCAGGCTCCAGCCCCTCCAGAAGTCAAACTGAAACAGGGAGGCCCAGAGCTCCAGGTGAATATCATAAATCACATTGTTAGCATAAACAATGTGTCATGGCTCAAGCCCTAGGCATACAAAGGCACTCTTATCAAGCACTATATTCCAAGGGCTTGGAGACTGTCTCCCAAGATCTAGTCAAGGGCCAGTCCTTTCTTTGGAATTTGCAGGGTTCGAACTTCCCAATCTTGCTGAGTTAATCCTTTACTGCACACAGGCTCAACCTGGGTTTAGTACAGGAGGAACTACACAAGGGCATGAATTCTGGGATGCATGGCTCTTTGAGGCCATCTTCGAAGACTAGATGCCATATGATTGTTTCCCACCCTCTTGGCTCCAGCAAAAACAGAATTCTTGGGGAGTCTGGAGTTCTTCACATAATAGTTTGTTTTTAATTGGAAACAAATATATAAAATAAGGGTGGACTAACCTGAATGTAGTTAATAACTACATTCCTGTCCATGTGAACATGTGAGTCCTGACAAGTTAATCTACGTAATTCAAGAAATGATGATTAAACAGCTACTATGTGCCTAACGCCAGGCTGTACCCTGGAACTATGCAGTAACACCTAGTTCTTTACTGACTGGTGGGGACACTTACAATGCACAGGTAACTTAATACCGAACGGGGCTTCCCACGATGCAGATGAACCTAAGAAAGGCTTTTTTAGCCCAGCATAGGCTTTCTGATGTAACAATTTTCAAACAGTGTTTTGAGCTTTAAACTGATATTTTAAAAGCAATAAGCTCAAAGTAGCGGCCGATTTCTTTTTCAAAATCAGTGGCAAGTATGTGTGCTGGGGGCGGGTGGGGGAGGTGGTATATGTGAGACAGTATAAGTAGAAGATAAAATGGGCCATTTTTCCTTTATTTTCCTTTATAAATGCATGTTCCATGCATTTCCTTTAGTTCCTGGGCCCAGTGGCTCACACCTGTAATCCCAGCACTTTGGGAAGTGGGCAGGTCACTTGAGCCCAGGAGTTTAAGACCAGCCTGGACAACATGGCAAAACCCTGTCTCTACTAAAAATACAAAAATTAGCGGGGCATGGTGACATGCACCTGTAGTCCCAGCTACTCTGGAGGCGGAAGTGGGAGGATAGTTTGGATGGCTTGAGCCTGGGAGGCGGAGGTTGCTGTTAGCCAAGATCTTGCCACTGTACTCCAGGCTGGGCCACAGAGCGCAACACCTGTCTGGGAAAAAAAAAAAAAAAAAAAAGCTTACAAGTTATTTTTTTTTTTCAAAATAATAATGGTTATAAAAAGCCCCTGGCAAAATGTAGATTATAAATTCTACTGAATGGAAGAATGTAAAATAATATTTTAAACACTTTTTTTGGTTCATTTTGTTAAAAAACAGAGTTTTGCTCTGTTGCCCAGGCTAGAGTGCAGTGGTGTGATCATAGCTCACTGCAGCCTCGGCCTCCCGGGCTCAAACGATCCTCCTGCCTCAGCCTCCTAGGACGTTAGGCACTTGCCACCACACCCAATTAATTTTTAATCAACATTTAAGTAACATCTTATTTAACATTCTGATTCTTGGGACTATCTGAGTAATAGCAACATGGGAGATGCTTTTAACATTTTAAAATCGTTTATCTAGAAATTAGATTGCAGCCTGATTTATGAAGCTGCATAAACTCTGACTTCATATCCTTGTGCCCAGTGAAGCATATGTGTGTCCCTTGACCCCTCAGGCCAGGACACAGAAGTACATGGTTGAAGAGGTTCAGTTTGTGACTAGCCATGCCATAGGCCCAGATCTCAGTGGGTACTGCTCACCATTTGGTTCTGTCTGTTGGCTTGTCCCTATGACTACCCTGAGCTCCCTGAGTCTTGAAGAAGAAACATTAACAAAACAATCCATCCTCTTGCTGGCAAATGACTGGCAATCAAGCTCAGGAACACAGCCCTGAGGACAAAGCGCAGTGTGGGGTTGAGGCTGTGGCTTTCCCTGGGGCTCCAGACAAGACAAGGATCTTTTTCTTTTCACTCCCTTACATTCAGAGAGTTGGAGTGCAAGGTCCTTTTTTGAATGAATTACAAGACTTTCTAACACTTGCTAATTCATGAAAGAATTTTACAAAAATATGGGCTTTTGTAGTTCCAGTTTTAGTTTTAAAAATTGTAATCTCTTGACTAAACTGTGTAATTTCAACCAAGAACAATAATATAAACATGGCTGATTGCTTAAAAACCTACCCTATGTTCAGAATCAATTTGGCTTTTATTAGCAGGTCGAGAAAGATGTCTACTCTACTCTATTCTGCCTTCAAGTAGCCTTTGCCACACTCCCCTCCCCCAGACTCTAAAAGAAACAAACCCACCAACCGGACGTTGGCTCCCCACTCCTTTCAGCTTAAGGAAAGGGAAAGCTACTGTCTTGGTAAGAGACTCTGACTTCCTGGTTACTGTTAGCAAGAATTGAGTTCGGAATTCAAGACAAACTAAGCTTTTCAGTCTTTTTCCAATGGTAATTTCAATACATCTGTTTTCCCTAATAGCTCATCTTTAATTCCTCTGTTTAGTTCTCATAAATCTTCCATTCGTATATAAAGTTTCCTATTTTAGAAAAAGAGCCTGAAGTTCTATGTTGATGTGGTTCTCGTCACATAAATCATCGCAAGCCCAAGGAGCAAGAGATCAACCAGAGTGTCTAAGAAGCATGGTTTGGTTGCTCCTTTCCCTTATCTTTTGTGAGTATTTTCTGTAAATGTACTTCCAAGTAGGACTTGTGTTTTCCACTGACCGTGCTTCACACTAAACTACAGGAGTTGGGGAGTTCCAGCCCTGCCCGAGGGGAGTGGCATTCATAAACGTGTGTGGCTAATTCAAATTGGACAGGGTCAAAGATTCTTCTTTTTCCTTTAAACTTAAAAAAGTTATTATAGACTCATAAGAAGTTGTAAAAATAGTACGAAGAGTCCTGTGTCCCTTCATCCGCTTTGTCAAATGGTGACCTGTAATGTAGTACAATATCAAAACCAGGAATTGACACTGGTATGTTGGTGCTAGACTACAGACTTCCTTAGTTTTCACTGTTGTATAAATGGAACCATACAGTTGTAATCTTTTCAGATTGGCTTTTTTTTACTAAGCATAATACCCTTGAGACATAGCCAGGTTGTTGCATGTATCAGTAATTGATTCCTTTTTATTGCTGAGCAGTATCCTATTGCATGGATGCACTAGAGTTTATTCAACCACTCACCCATTGAAGGATATCTGGGTTGTTTCCAGTATTTTTCTAGCATGAATAAAACTGCTATGAATATTCATCCATAGGTTTTTGTGTGAACATAATTTTTCATTTCTCTGGAATAAATAGCCAAGGGTGTGATTGCTGAATTGTATGGTAAAGACTGCAAAAACTATTTTCCAGAGTGGCTGTGCCATTTTACATTCACACTAGAAATGTATGAGAGACTCTGTTTCTCTACATCCTTGCCATTATTTGACATTACCATTATTGTTTACTTTAGCTGTTCTAATAAGTGGGTAGTGATATTGCATTGTGATTTTAATTATGATATTGAATGTCTTTTCAGGTGCTTATTTTTTTGCGTGCTGTTTTGTTTTAAATTCCATGCATTTCCTTTAGTTCATTCTTTCATTTATTTCCCTCCTCTTCCTCCTTGCCCCCTCTTTCTCTTCTTCCCTTTTCTTCTTTCTCTTCCTCATCTTCTTCTTCCTCTTCCTCTCAGTAAACTTACTGAAGTTCAATATACAGAAAATCATAAGCGTACAGTTCGAGAAATTTCTCACAGAGTAAACATAACTATTAACTAGCAACCACATTAAAAAGCAGAACATTTCTATCACCCAGAAGTCCCCCACCCAAGGTAACTACTATTTTGACTTCTAGAGATTTGTTCTGCCTATTTTTGAACTTCATGTAAATGGAATCATTCAGTATATATATACTCTTTTGTGTCTGGTTTCTTTTACTTATAAGATTCATCAAATATTTTTAAATAACCTCTAAGACTGACTGACTACCAATTTTAGGCAGCAAACACCATGAGGATGCTCTCCCAGGTATGTTGTAAAGTCAAATATAAGAGTGTAATACCACTCTCAGCTCCTTGCTCACTTGAGCCTAATGCCAGCAATCAAGCCAACAATAGTTCTAAGGCCTGATAAACACCAAACGCCAAATACTGTATGGGATGATGATGATCATGGTGCTTATAAGTATATGCTGAAATACAAACAACTGAACCAATCCCCTACTTTGTATAGTTTCTCCTTGGTTCATCTTTTTTTTTTTTTTTTTTTTTTTTTCTTTTTTGAGAAGGAGTTTTGCTTTGTTACCCAGGCTGGAGTGTAGTGGCACAATCTTGGCTCACTGCAATCTCTACCTCCTGGGTGCAAGCATTTCTCCTGCCTTGGCCTCCTGAGTAGCTGGGATTACAGACACATGCCAGCACGCCCAGCTAATTTTTGTATTTTTAGTAGATATGGGGTTTTGCCATGTTGGCCAGGCTTGTCTCAAACTGCTGATCTCAGGTGATCAGCCTGCCTTGGCCTCCCAAAGTGCTGGGATTACAGGTGTGAGCCACCACGCCCACCCTTGGTTCATCTTTTGAAGGGAGGAACAGCTATTTTTAGGGATCACTTTGGTGAAGGGGAAGCAGACATGATCAAGAAGACTAATGAGCTTGAACAGGGATGCTTAAATGCTGTTTCCCTAAGGTACGATGAACCACCACCATCAGCTTTTCAGTATCTCAAGAAGTGACATTTCTGAAATTATTTGCATGACAATAGAGGCCAATTGTCCTGCCTGTTCCACCCTCTGCTTTTTCTCACTAGTAGCAGGGCTGCTGCAAGTTCCAGTCTGAAAACTTTTGTTTACAAGTGAGAGTGTATCAAGGGACGCTTTGACGTGAGTTCTCACAGATGATAAAATTATTCTTTGTTCCAGAAAAGACAAAGTGGCACATCTGAGGTAGTCAAGATAAGTTTTTGCAGAGATCAAATTAGTATCTCTAACTTTAATCCTTTCCTGTCTGCAGTCAATTCCGTTCCTTCTGCAGTTATCTTCTCATAGTGATGTCGGGATTCAGACATCCCCACCCTGAGTACGATGCCATGATCACGAACCATTTGCTGTGTGCTAACATAAGGCTGCTAGATGTTGTATACAGCACCCTCTTACCATGAGATATATGGTGTCATTCCCTTTTACAGAAGAGAAACTAACACTGAGAAGATTACACATTTTCTCAGCAACACAGCTGGTCAGGGGGCAGAGCAAGGGCTTGAACCCAGGACTGACACAGACCCCTGCTCTGTGCACAGCACCCTAGCACTCCCAGAAGGGTGGGTGGCTGAGGTGAATCTTCAGTATTCTCTTCTGGTTCCAGATGTTCAATTGCAGTATGTTCTATGGTGGGTCAAAGAAAGCTGTCTTCAAAAAATTATCTAACTCACCTTAGTCTTGTCTTTACCTATGTGTGGCTTGCTTATGCAAAGATCCAAGTTAGAATGCTGATATTTATTAGATGTAACAACTAGCTTGTTGCTGAAAGTCAGAAAATTGAGATCCTTACTATCATATCCACAGATCAGATGATTGTTAAACATATGAAGGGGGAGCCACTTACTGGCTGTGATCTTGTTCTGGTTTCTTATTTTCTCTGCCCCTCGTTATTTTCACCTGTTAAGGAGAGATCATTGTAGTATTTATATATAATCCACATGAAGCACTTGTGTAAAGAAGAGTGCCTCACATATAGCAAGTGCTCAATTACTGTTACCACCACCACCATCGTTGTCATTGCCCGGAGGATGTGGATGGGGATGTGGAGGTAACGGAGTGGTGCTGAGTGTGGGCTGAAGCCAGGTCTCTGGGCTGAGATACCTCTGTAGTTGGCAGCTGCCTTTCCTAAGGATATTCTAGTGGTTGAATTTTAGATTTGAAATGCACTTTAGCAATCATCCAGACTGTTTTAAAGAAGAAATCTGATGCAGAGGGAATTTATTTAGGAGACTTGCTTAATCCTTGCACCATTTTAAATGAGCAGTTTTTATGTGAAGAAGATTTAGATTTGGAGTGAAATGTTCATCTTCATTTTGAAAATATTCACCAATTATCATTTTTCATGTCTTTCTCTTTACTTTGGAATATAATAACACACTTAACCAAGGGGACCAGGGCTGTGCTAACAGTTTCATCCGACCAAAACCAAATTCCGTCTTAACATTCTGCTGGCTCCCTTCAACAATGACCCTTCTCATTCCCTGATGTCTGGCTGAGATCATGTTCTTGGTGGATTCCAGCTCCAAGAAAGGTGATTGGTCTGTTCCTTCTGCGTCACCCTTGTCTCTGGCTGTAGCTTTGACATAAATTCCATGTACGCAATATGTAAACCAGCCATATGAGCACCATCTGACAAAAGTCTTTCTTCTCTGTTAGCTCTTTAGGACAAGCTGAAACTTATCTGCTTACCTCTGCCCCCTTTGGTCTCTATTATGGCTCCTCTGTTTAAATCTTGGAATTTCCAAGGTCTTGACCAAGTGTGTGGAGGTAGCAGGGTGGGAGGGGAGAGGGATGATTGGCACTTGTTACATTACTCTGGATTCACATATTAATTCTGGCATAATAATTGCTGAGTGAAAGGTGCTTTATATTAACTGATTAAATCCGTACTTTGCCAGAACATAGGACCTCTGCCCATATGTTGGCATTGGTTATCTGGCCTGCATTTTAGGGACTGTCCTGATTTCTAATGTTATATATTATTGTTCTTCTGCATGCCTGGAGTTTAGTTAAAAATATATATGGTTGAATCCCTAGACTTATAGGGCATTTGGATCTATAGTCATGTATGTTTGTGGTTGTTTACATTTACTATTCAGTATCCATTCCTTGTTCTACTGTTCAAAACATCCTGGGGTGGGCATGGTGGCTCACACCTGTAATCCCAGCACTTTGGGAGGCCAAGGGGGCAGATCACCTGAGGTCAGGAGTTCGAGACCAGCCTAGCCAACATGGCGAAACCCTGCCTCTGCTAAAAATACAAAAAATTAGCCAGGCATGGTGGCTCATGTTTGTAGTCCCAGTTACTTGGGAGGCTGAGACACGAGAATCGCTTGAACCCGGGAGGCGGAGGTTGCAGTGAGCCAAGATCTCGCCACTGCACTCCAGCCTGGGTGACAGAGTAAGACTCCGTCTCAAAAAACAAAACAAAACAAACCCATTCCGGTTTTTCTTTAGAGCTATCACCCTTCCCCAACGCTCTATCCATGTGCCAATGTCACCTCTGATAACAGTTGGGCACATGAGCTGGATCTGGCCAATCACAGCATTTCATTCCTTTCACCACAGGGATTGATGCAGGGGTGAACACATAATGGATAGACTGTAGAGCACCTAGGACTTCTGCTTGAGATACATATAAGAAAACACTCTCTCTTCCCACTGGACTTGAAACTATGAGGTTAGGAACCTGGAGATTCTTGCAATCAATGTGCTCCCATGAAAAAACAGCCAGCCTGAGAAAAAAGTGAATCTGGAAGGCAGAGCCAAGAGAGGGGCAGAAAGGGAGTCCTGATGCTGTCCTCTGAGCTGCTCTTTCAGCCACACCTGCAGCCAGCCTTCCCCTGGGCTTCTTCAGGTTCAAGAGACAATACATTTTGGTTCTTTTGTTTCACTTAAGCCTATTTGAGTAAAGTCTCTTTATTGATACAGGATATTGCTAGGTTGATTTTGCATTCCCTGTGGAAAGTTCTTGCTTTTTTTTTTTTTTTTTTTGAGACAGAGTCTCGCTCTGTCGCCCAGGCTGGAGTACAGTGGCACGATCTCGGCTCACTGCAACCTCCACCTCCTGGGTTCAAGCGATTCTCCTGCCTCAGCCTACCGAGTAGCTGGGACTATAGGCACGTGCCACCATGACCAGCTAATTTTTTGTATTTTTAGTAGAGACAGGGTTTCCCCATTTTATCCAGGATGGTCTCGATCTCCTGACCTCGTGGTCTGCCCGCCTTGGCTTCCCAAAGTGCTGGGATTACAGGCGTGAGCCACTGCACCCAGTCAGTTCTTGCTCTTTTAGAGAAGAGAGAGGGAACCTAAGAAACCTCTAGTCCATGAACACTTTGCCTAGAAACAGACTAGAGAGCACCTGGCATGGGCAGTGGAGACGGACCAGCCAGAACTCAGAATTAAAGTCTATCCAGAAGTATCATGAGAATGTATGGATTCAAATCAAGATTTGTTATTTTTAAGCATTTGTGATCATTAATTTAAAATATTTTGTAAGTCTGCAAAGTGTCCTCAGGTTAAGAAAACAAGCCTTGTATTAATAGCTGGAGCTTGGGAAAGTTACTCATTTATTTGAGCCTCTGTTTCTTCATCTGTAAAATGACCTATCTCAAAGGATCATTAAAGGAGATAATTGATATTAAACATTCAGAACAAGATGTCAAGTACATCCTCAATAAATAGAAGCTATCGCTATTAATAATGCTCTAAATTTTTCCTTTTTGGATTGAGTGATGATGGATCATATCACATCTTTGAGTCAGAATTAGAGTCAAATGTAAACTGGGAGCACCAACTCGCTAGAAAGAGGATTCTGGATTTTTGAAACATTCCTTAGATTCACAGATTTGTTTTCTAGCTCTTCTAAGGTGGTAGGCAAAGGGAAACCTAAATACTGGTTGTTTCTTAGTCTCAGTGAGGGGCCAGGTTATCCAATGGTGTTTCCCTTGCTCAGTTAAGTTGTCAGTGACAGACCTTCTCCTGATGGAAGGAAGGAGTCAGGCCAAGTTTTGCCTCTTGGTCACAAATGAAAAAAAAAAACCCAACAAAACACAAATCAAAAAGCCTAATTGAGACTAACCCTCATTTAGTACCATGTGCCTGGCAGTATGCTAAACACTCTTGTGCACTGTCTTGTCTCTGTCACAACTCCAGAAGGTGAGAACTCTTACCATCATTTTACAGAAGAGAAAACTTGGGTCAGAAAGAAAGGACTTGTTGAAGGACACCTGCTGGTAAATGGTGGCAGCTGGTTTGAATCCAGTGCCTGTTCTTGTAGCCACTGTGCACACTGACGTCCCCTTCCCTGTGCACACTCAAGTCTAGCAGGATTTGAGTCCAAAGCCCCTGCTCGTGGCCCCTGTGCTCACAGTAGTTCACTGAAAGTCTGAGCTCATCAGGAGATCTAGTTCCCAGGAGTCAGTACTCCCAGAATCACTCACAAGGCTGACAGTGGGATTTTCCAGGGGCAAGCTGCAGAGGACAGGACAGAACTGCATCACTTTGAGGAAAAGGGATGTTGTTCCTGGGAAGAATTGTTATATTTTCATTATTTCTGCTTGTTGCTCTGCAAGTTTGGGGACGATGTCTCATTAGGAAGGACAATTGCTTCTTTCTGATGAACCACTTAATAATTGATTTGATTATATGTAGTTAATATAAGAACCAGATGGGAGCAAAAGGTAATTACTTTATTGCAATGCTCAAAGAGGGAACTCAATATGTTTCAGGTAAACACCTGAAACAAATGACTTACTTCATGTAAATTTTGTATTGATAACATGCCTTGTACTACGATGAATTAAAGACAGTGCTAATAAACATCTTCTATCACCCCAGGGATTCCTGAAGTTTCCCTTATCACCTTAACAGTTATTATCTGAGATCTGTGTTGTTGTCATCAAATGTTGTCATTGTCTTGGCTTGTCTCCTTGAGATTTGTGTGTATGTGACTTGGTGACTATAGAAATTAATGAAAGATATGGGCAGAGACTGAAACAGTACTGAGCAAATGAATACTAATGATCCTTATCACAGGTCAACCAGCACATGATTGCTGAGAGTCAGGGCCACCACACTTCACAACACCAAGAGCTCCATTTGCTCTCTATTCAAATACACAAGGTTCCATAGTCACCTGGGCTGTGCTAGACTACAGAGAGGGAAGGGCTGAAAAGTGATTGAGGTGGATTTGTCTTGCTTCCTGACAGCCCAGCATCCACTTACTCTACTTAAAATAGCCTCCAACCTTCTCAGGGAGTCTACGCTTCTACTCTCAAGGCTGGGGGTTCCAGTGGAGCTGATTTCCAGCTCTAAGGGTGGCATGTGACCATGTTTGACCATCAAAGCTTCACATTCCCTTGACTGCAGTGATTGGATCAGAGATGGATAATGACAGGCCACCGGGACTTCCTCCTCTTTTGCTGAGACTTCTGAGATGAGTCTTCTTGACACAGAGACTTCTCAGCCAGAGTACAAGGCTGGCCTGCTTCTCAGAAGTCCCTGAGCTTTGGGGCCCAGGTGTAAAATGATATTGATTCAAGCAGGTCTCAAGCTGGGAAGGAACATATACCATGGCAGGAATACAAGTTTATGGTGAGCTGGAGGCACAGATTTCTCCATAATAAATAAGCATTGTGTAGGAGGGACCAGTGTTAAGAGCAGAAGGGTGTTAGGGAGGGGCATCTGGCGGGTTTGAGGAGTCTGGATCTGAACTCTGCTGGAGGATTCCAAGATGCGGAATGTGATGAGTCTCCAAAATTGCAATATGCTCCTCCAAGCTTTCAAGATCTCTGTAGTGAAGAGCCTTGGCTGCACCCTCCTTCCTGTAGCCAGCTGCATGTTTGCACACTGAAGAATTTAGCCATTGCTCTTTCTCCAGTCCTCTCTGCTTTAAGGCATCTTGGTTATTGTTTTTTCCTTCTCCCATCTTTTCTCCCACCATCAAGGTGAGACTTCACTTCATCTCTGGCAGTGTTTAAAAGAAATTTCCATTCAGCACAACTCTTTGAATCCTTTGGAGAAGAGTTTATCAAAGAAATGTAATAGGAAAATAAACTCTGTGGCAAACATTTGGCAATTTATTTTCAGTTTTTTCCCTTGTAGTTTGGCAACCTGTTCTGATGAATCCATGTGCATGAATAAGCGACAGCCAGGATTCAAGGAATTGTATTTCTATTGTCTCAGTCATAACTTATCTCCCATTGTGTTGACTCCTCCCTGTATTTTTTGCCTGACATACTGCCTGCAGCTTCTGAGTAATTCTGCTGAGGGACTAAATATCTTACTCAGCTCTATTCATCACTCCTTTGTTCAAGCTGAACTAATAGCAACAACAAAAAACAAATCCCCAAACAACCGTATGGTAATTTGGTATATAACATGCCACCATTTATGGGGCTGAGTTTTAGAACGTCCCCCCACCCCCTACCCCCCGCCCGGTGCCAAGGACTCAGGAATGATGGGGAGTGTAATTGAGGGATTTCCATTTATGTCATTCCTAGGAAAGTATGTTTCCCCAGGCTCTCAATCTGATTTTTCTCCTCTTACTGAGTGCTTACTGTAGCCTTTACAAGGGATTCATTGGTCTGTATATCATCTAATTGCTTCAGTGCCATGATAAATCAATTTAAGAAGCGATTGAAGCGTTCAACATAACAAGTCTTCCCATAAACCAGCTATTTGGGCTCTGGTGGCAAATCGGAGAGCAGAGACAGGCACCGGAGGGTGCCCTCAGCACGGAGACAGGAGCCCACTGCTGGTAGTTTGGTATTGGAAAGTGTTCCTTGGGGAAGTCAGCCAGGACAGCAGCGGGAGAAGAAGCTGCTCCGGGCTAACTTTGCCTCATCGTAACAGCGAGATCTGTAGATACTAGCTCTGCCTTTGGTCAGAAGAAAGTCTCTGAATTATTAGAAGGAAAAAGAGAGTGGGGGAAATAGAAACAACAAAAGTTCTCTATTTCCTCGGGAATGGTAGAGCCTAGCCTTGAAGACGCTAATGTTTCTGTGGCTCTTTACTCCCTCTTGTGGCCATATGGTGCCAGTGTTTTCTATCACAGACCATGTTTGCATCAATCACTCTGTTGTTTAACGTGAGAATATAATTAGTTTGGATGTAATAATCTAAGGACACAAAGCAAAGAGGGTCTATGTGCATCTGGACACACTTCTCAGAGAGTTAAAGAATTCAGTCGTAAAAAGTCGTAAATTAGCACGTAGATCCATTGTTCCTGCCAATATATAGCTTCACAAACACCTTTTTCACCAAATATTGGACTAGTACAGGGATTATACGACTTGGGAAGGAAAGAAAGCAAAAGAATTTTACTCTTTTACTTCAGCTGAGGGTAAATAATATAAAATTTCCCTACAAGAATTAAAACGTAGGATCTGAATTCATACATACATCTCAGCGATGTAATGTATGTTTGTAATATTTTTGGAATTATTTTACTTATTGCATATTGTATTCTCTGTAACATGCTCTCCTCTGCAGCACAGGCAGGAGTGGAACAAATGACAATTTAATTGAAAGGTCCCTTTTTTGAAAACTTGAATAGGATGGGCAGCTCTCCAAGAAAATGTACTAGAAATAGATTCTGTTTTTCAAGGAAAATGAGCTGGCAGCAATTTTTAAAGTGCTATGCATTGCTTTAGGATTATTCTCAATAGGGCCAAGTACATCTGCAGTGTGGCTTAAAGTTTTCAGTACTTTGGTAAATTATGCGACATTAAAACAAAAATACTATACTTTTTTCACAGGTATGGACTCTGTACAGGGCATTCTTTAACTGGCCTGGCTGCTTGGGCGTGGTCAAGGTACTGTAAACATTTGTCTTTCCTGGTAGGGTGGGCAGCCTCTACAATTGTCCCCACAATCTTTCCCTCTTGGTATCCATGCCCTTGTACAATCTCTCCCCTTTGAGCATGGGGTGGACTTATTGACTTGCTTCAAATGAAGAGAATATTGCAAAAGTTATGGGATATCATTTCCTTAGGTTACAAAAAGACTATGGCTTGCCAAAAATGGAAGCAACCAAGATGTCCTTCTACTGATGTGGCACATCCACAGAATGGATCATTATTCAACACTTAAAAAAAAAAGAGCTTCATCTTCGCTGTTAAAATTGACAGTATTGTGGATCATAAAGCCAGTTTCCCTATATTTAAAAGGCTTGAAATCAGGGAATGTTCTTTGATGATAATGCATTACACTCAAAATCATTAATAAAAAGATTACTAGGAAATTTCCTTGCTTGATATTAGGAAGCAAACTTGTAAATAGCTCACACATCAAGAAAGAAATGTTAGAAGCTGGAAACCATCATTCTCAGCTGCTGCGGGAAGTCAGGGACCCCGAATGGAGGGACTGGCTGGAGCTGCGGCAGAGGAACATAAGTTGTGAAGATTTCATGGACATTTATCAGTTCCCAAATAATACTTTTATAATTTCTTATGCTTGTCTTACTTTAATCTCTTAATCTTGTTATCTTTGTAAGCTGAGGATGTACGTCACCTCAGGACCACTGTGATAATTGTGTTAACTGTACAAATCGATTGTAAAACGTGTGTTTGAACAATATGAAATCAGCACACTTTGAAAAAGAGCAGAATAACAGCGATTTTTAGGGAACAAAGGAAGACAACCATAAGGTCTGACTGCCTGCAGGGTCGGGCAAAAAGAGCCATATTTTTCTTCTTGCAGAGAGCCTATAAACGGACATGCAAGTAGGGAAGATATCACTAAATTCTTTTCCTAGCAAGGAATATTAATATTATTAATACCCTGGGAAAGGAATGCATTCCTGGGGGGAGGTTTATAAACGGCTGCTCTGGGAATGTCTGTCTTATGTGGTTGAGATAAGGACTGAGATATGCCCTGGTCTCCTTCAGTACCCTCAGGCTTACTAGGGTGGGGAAAAACCCTGCCCTGGTAAATTTGTGGTCAGACCAGTTCTCTGCTCTCGAACCCTCTTTTCTGTTCTTTAAGATGTTTATTAAAACAATACGTGCACTGCTGAACATAGACCCTTATCAGTAGTTCTGCTTTTGCCTTTTGCCTTGTGATCTTTGTTCTGCTTTTTGCCCTTTGAAGCATGTGATCTACTCCCTGTTCTTACACCCCCTCCCCTTTCGAAACGCTTAATAAAAAACTTGCTGGTTTGAGGCTCAGTTGGGCATCACGGTCCTACCGATATGTGACGTCACCCCCAGGGACCCAGCTATAAAATTCCTCTCTTTGTACTCTTTCTCTTTATTTCTCAGCCAGCTGACACTTATGGAAAATAGAAAGAAACTACATTGAAATATTGGGGGCAGATTCCCCCGATACTCAGCAAACTATCACGAGGACAGAAAACCGAACACCATGTGTTCTCACTCATAGGTGGGAATTGAACAATGAGATCACTTGGACACATGGTGGGGAACATCACACACCGGGGCCTGTTGTGGGGTGCGGAACTGGGGAAGGGATAGCATTAGAAGAAATACCTAACATAAACGATGAGTTAATGGGTGCAGCAAACCAACATGGCACATGTGTACCTATGTATCAAACCTGCATGTTGTGCACATGTACCCTAGAACTTAAAGTATAATAATAATTTTCTAAAAAAAAAACTGCCAAAGGGGGAAAAAAAGAAGTTAGAGAACATTTTAAACTGGAAAACTTCAAAGTTTTCTTTGGAAACCAGGAGGGAATGATAGAAGGAAAGGAGAAGCAAGGTTGTGGATTGTAATGGTGGATCATAGAATCTAAGCAAGAGGAGAAAGTAAGACAGAAAAGAGGCTGGCATTAGGAGAGCCAATGGAGTCAATGCACTTCCATGAAAAGGCATGGAAGAAACTGAAATTCATATTACTAAGTGAAGAAAGCCCATCTGAAAAAGGCAACATACTGTATGATTTTAACTATATGACATTCTGGAAAGGAAAACCTATGGATAAAATAAAAAGATCAATGGTTGTCAGGGGCTTGGGGAGAGGGAGGAATGAATAGGCAAAGAAGAATTTTAGGGCAATGAAAAAGTTTGTGTGATACTATAATGATGGATATATGTCATTACACATTTGTCAAAACCCATAGAATGTACACTGATGGGTTTCTGGGTTTCTGGGTTTACATTAGGGGTTATGTAAACCACAGACTTTGAGTGATAATGATGTGCCAGTGTAGGTTCACTGATTGTAACAAATGTACCCCTCTGATAGGGTGTTGATAGTGGGGGAATTTATGTGTGTGTTGGGGGAACAGAGTGTATATGGGAACTCTGTACTTTCTGCTCAATTTTGCTATGAACCTAAAACTGCTCTAAAACATAAAGTCTTTTTTTTTAAGATGGTGGCTTCTTTTGGGGGGAGTCTTCTCTTGCTCTCTCATTTTCTCACCTTGAGTTGCCAGTTGCAGGCTGTGAGTGGCCTTATGGAGTGGTCCAGGTGGCAAGGAACTGATGTCTCCAGCCAACAGCCAGAAAAGACCCGGGGTCTGCCTATTGCCACAGAAGTGAACTCAGAGTGGGTCCTCCCCCAGATGAGTCTTGAAATGATTGCAGTTGAAGTGGACACCTTGATTGCCTTGTGAGACACATTTTGAGAGACTGCAAGCTTTAGGTATCTGGCTAAGCTATGCCCAAATTTCCAACCCACATAAACAGAGATAATAAAGGAGTGTTTGTGATGTAAGTGTCTAGGTTTTGGAGTGATTTGTTAAACAGCATAATAACTAATATACCTGTGAAGCCACCTCTCATATCCAAATGTTGAAGAGATTCTTTAAAACTGAGATTTAGATGAGAAAGACTAAACCGATAGTTTATACTATGAACTCTATGCATAATTAAGCATAAATATATCCAATCATCTATGAATATAAGTTATAATCACTGTGGTGTTCTAGAGTAAACTCTCCCTCCTTATGTAGGAAATTAACCTTTATTGAGCAGTTAGTATTTACTAGGCACTTAAATTATATCTTTCAGAAGGGGATTAGAGTAGGTCAATAATTTATACACGTTTATATAGATAGGGAAGGTGTTGAAATTCAAACTGAGGTGTGACTTTTAAGTAAAAGTAACTTGTATCACTCTTTCCAGAAATTTTCTTGCATTTTCTGATTCTATATTCTTTGCTCATCTATGTTAAATACTTAGGCCCCTCCCACGGTCTACAGTGGATGGGCTACTGCTTTGAATCTGAGTTGCTAATGCTAACTCCAAAGAGTTGTCATGCTGTCTATTTACAATTGTAAAAAGCTAGTTGCAGTGCAAATGTATTGTCTGTGCAAAACAGTAGTCCACTTTTTTTTTGAGGAATTTCTCCACGTTTTTGTAGGAGCTGACAGTCTTAGATCTTGCCCTAAAGAATTAGCTTATGACGGCCAGATGGGGTGGCTCACGCCTGTATTCCCAGAACTTTGGGAGGCTGAGGCGGGTGGATCATGAGGTCAGGAGATCAAGACCATCCTGGCTAACACAGTGAAACCCTGTCTCTACTAAAAATACAAAAAATTAGCCAGGTGTGGTGGTGGGTGCCTGTAGTTCCAGCTACTCGGGAGGCTGAGGCAGGAGAATGATGTGAACCTGAGAAGCGGAGCTTGCAGTGAGCTGAGATTGCACCACTGCACTCCAGCCTGGGCGACAGAGTGAGATTCCGTCTCAAAAAAAAAAAAAAAAAAAAAAAAGAATTAGCTTATGACTCAGCATTGGCTTGCCAAGACACTCCTTGGCCATAGTGATTGTATTCCAGCGAGACACTAAACAGACAATTTCTCTAGAATTTAAAAAAGTAAACCTGCTAAGGTCCTCATGATCCTCGGGAAGTTGTAGATAGTTTCCTGGGGTCTGGTCTTCTATAGTATAGAATGGATCACAGGACAATAGCAAACCTTCAAATACGTATAAAGCAAAAAAATGGAAAGAATAACAAGAGATTTAGAAAAACCCTGAATCATAGTGGGGTATTTTAAACATATTTCTGTCAGTAACTGATAGTGCAAGCAGATAAAATATCCATAAAGATACAGAAGACTTGAACAATATGATCTACAAACTTGACCTAATGACCACATATGGAACCCTGAGCCCCAAACTGCAAATACCCATTCTTTTCAAGTATACATGGAATCCCTGTTAAAATTGACAGTATGGTGGATCATAAAGCCGGCTTCCCTATATTTAAAAGGCTTGAAATCAGGGAATGTTTTTTGATAATAATGCATTAAGCTCAAAATCATTGACAAAAAGATGACTAGGAAATTTCCTTGTTTGATTTTAAGAAGATAACTTGTAAATAACTCATGCATCAAGAAAGAAATGTTAGAAGTTAGAAAACATTTTAAACTGGAAAACTGCAAAGTTTTCTAGGAAAGCATGATAGAAGGAAAAGAGAAGCAAGGCTGTAGATTGTAATGGTGGGTCATAGAGTCTAAGCAAGACAAGAAAGTAAGACAGAAAAGGGTCTGGGTATTAGGAGCGCCAAGGATGCACTGGAGGTCATGGTGCTGGAGACTTCTGCAGTGGGAGCACTTGTGCTAGAAAGGCAGGACATTCGGACATGAGATTTCAGAAGTGGTAAGGTTCTTGGTAATGAACACATTCAGGGTTGTGAGTATGGGCGAGAGTGCTAGCAGTTGTTAAATTTAAAAAGTCACTGGAAATGAGAGCATTAACTAGGATACAAAGTATTGGATGGGTCCAATTCAGTGGGTCCAATGCACATTGATTCTGAAGTCCCCAAGCAGAATAAAAGCAGTTGAGGTGGAGCGCAAGACAGCAGGAAATAAACTAAGTGATAAAAGAGGGGTTGTGAACAGGAAGTTGGAAGACTGAACGTAACAAAATGTGAAAGTGGGTGGTAAATCCCAAGTGGCTTAAGTGTCAAAGGAATAGGTGAATGAGGTAAGCCAGTTTTACTCCTAATTAACATTTCACTGGGTACATTCTGTAAAGAGAGACAAATGCTGGCAGTAGCTCAACTTTACACTGAAAGTGGTTTTCATAGTTTATACAACGCACAGATCATCCACGGCTTTCCAGTTAGAGAAACCAGCTAAGTTCTTATTCCTAAATTGCATTTTCTCAGCCTCAGCATGCAGCTTTATTTAGCATGCTTCTCCTCAGTACTCCCAAATTCTCTGCTTCCTAAGCTGATTAGCTTATTATGCAATACACATGGCTGCTTGTGGTTTCTCTAAGGGAGATACACATCATACAACTCAGGCTACACAAGCTGCCCAATATTGTGTTTTCTTTAGCATGGTGCATCTGCTTGTAATTGAGTAGGTTTTACGCTATGCAATACATGGTATTTTAAGGAGCTTAAATTGTTTTTTTAAAATTATTCATTTGTATAATTACACAAGTACATTTTCATGTGAACAAAAAAAGATAAAGTGAAAGTCTCTTTCATCACTGTCATGATCCCGAACATATCTCCAGAACTAACCACCGTTATCAGTTGGTATGCCCCTCCCTGGGCTTTTCTCTAGGCACATACATTCTTATAAGTATATGTAATGAAATTTGTGGTTTTACATATCAGATTATTTTACTCCCTGGCTTTTCAAGGGATTTCTATTATAATTAGAAGAAAATCCATACTTGTAACTATTGCCTACAAGGCTCCACACAATCTGGTCCTTGCCCACTTCTTTGACCTCCTCATGTACCAGGAAGTCAAGGTGTTTTCCCCACAGAGCTTTTGCATGTGCTTTTCATTCTGCCCAGAAGGGTCTGTCCTAATGCTTGCTTGACTGGTTCCTTGTTGACATTCAGGTCTCAGCTCAAAATTCACCTCCCTGTAAGCCTTTCCAGGATACCTTCTGTAGATTTGTACCTCCCCTCCCTGTCTCTGCTTCCAGTCTCTTTTGAATAGAATTATCCAGTTTTAGGCAAAAATCACTGGGGTTTGAATTCTCACTTCACTCTATGCTAGCAGTTATTTAACCTTTTTGTGGAAGGGTTTCTCATCTGAAAATGAGGATAATTATAAAATCTACTTTTTAGGTCGTTATGAAATCAGATAAGTTAATATTTGTAAAATACTAAGAAAGTGCCTAGAAAATAATGACATCTGTTAAATTAATAAATATCTTCCCTTAGCACTTACAGTTATCTGGAATTATTTATTTGTAGTTTATCAACTCTTTTCTCTCTAGAATATAAGATCTATAAATGCAGGGACCTTGTCTATTTTGTTTGCAGCACCAAGAACAGTGCCTGACCCATAGCAGCCCTGATATGGTTTGACTGTGTCCCCACACAAATCTCATCTTGAATTGTAGCTCCCATAATTTCCACATGTCG
Source organism: Homo sapiens (assembly GCF_000001405.40). Classification (NCBI taxonomy): domain Eukaryota; kingdom Metazoa; phylum Chordata; class Mammalia; order Primates; family Hominidae; genus Homo; species Homo sapiens. The sequence goes on from NC_000005.10 coordinate 119,419,514, forward strand.
TGGAAGGGACTTGGTGGGAGATAATTGAATCACAGGAGCAGTTTCCCCCATACTGTTCTCCTGGTAGTGAATAAGTCTCACGAGATCTGATGGTTTTATAAGTGGGATTTCCCATGAACAAACTCTCTCTTGCCTGCCGATTTGTAAGATGTGATTTTGCTTTTCATTCACCTTCTGCCATGATTGTGAGGCCTCTCCAGCCACGTGGAACTGTGAGTCAATTAAACCTCTTTCCTTTATAATTACCCAGTCTGGGGTATGTCTTTATTAGCAGCATGAGAACAGACTAACAGAGTAAATTGGTACCAGTAGAGTGGGGCACTGCTGTAAAGACACACGAAGATGCGGAAGCGGCTTTGGAACTGGGTAACAGGCAGAGGTTGAAACAGTTTGGAGGGCTCAGAGGAAGACAGAAAAATGTAGGAAAGTTTGGAACTTCCTGGAGACTTGTTGAATGGTTTTGACCAAAATGATGATAATGATATAAACAATGAAATCCAGGCTGAGGTGGTCTCAGATGAAGATGAGAAACTTGTTGGGAACTACAGCAAAGGTCACTCTTGTTATGCTTTAGCAAAGAGACTGGTGGCATTTCGCTTCTGCCCTAGAAATCTGTGGAACTTTGAACCTAAGAGAGATGATCTGAAATTGGAACTTATGTTTAAAAGGGAAGCAGAGCATATAAGTTTGGAAAATTTGCAGCCTGACAATGAGATAGAAAAGAAAAACCCATTTTCTGAGAAGAAATTCAAGCTGGCTGCAGAATTTGTGTAAGAAATGAGGAACCAAATGTTAATCACCAAGAGAAAGAGGAAAATGTCTCCAGGGCATGTCAGAGGTCTTCACAGCAGCGTCTCTCACCACAGGCCTGGCAGCCTAGGAGGAAAAACTGGTTTTGTGGACTGGGCCCCGGGTCCCTCTGCTGTAGGCAGTCTAGGGACTTCATACCCTACCACACAGTCGCTCTAGCCATGGCTAAAAGGGGCCAAAGTATAGCTTAGGCCATGGCTTCAGAAGGTGTAAGCCCCAAGCCTTGGCAGCTTACACATGGTATTGAGCCTGAGGGTGCACAGAAGTCAAGAATTAAGGTTTAGGAATGTCTGCCTAGATTTCAGAAGATGTATGGAAACTCTGAATGTCCAGACAGATGTTTGCTGCAGGGGTGGGGACCTCATGGAGAACCTCTGCTAGAGCAGTACAGAAGAGAAAATGTGGGGTTGAGGCCCCACACAGAGCCCCCACTGGGGCACTGCCTAGTGGAGCTGTGAGAAGAGGCCACCGTCTTCCAGACCTCAGAATGGTAAGTCCACTGACACTTTGCACTGTGTGCCTGAAAAAGCCACAGACACTCAATGCCAGCCCGTGAAAGCAGCCAGGAGTGGGGCTGTACCCTGCAAAGCTGGGGCAGAGCTGCCCAAGACCATAGGAACCCACCTCTTGCATCACCATGACCTGGATGTGAGACATGGAGTCAAAGGAGATCATTTTGGAGCTTTCAGATTTGACTGCCCCTCTGGATTTTGGACTTGCATGGGTTCTGTGGCTCCTTTGTTTTAGCCAATTTCTCCAATTTGGAACAGGTGTATTTTCCCAATTCCAGTACCCCAATTGTATCTGGGAAGTAACTAACTTGCTTTTGATTTTACAGGCTCACAGGCAAAAGGGACTTGCTTGTCTCAGATGAGATTTTGGACTGTGGACTTTTGAGTTAATGCTGAAATGAGTTAAGACTTTGGGGGACTGTTGGGAAGGCATGATTGTTTTTTGTTTTTTTAAGATGGAGTCTCACTCTTTCACCCAGATTAGAGTGCAGTGACACTATCTCAGCTCACTGCAATCTCCTCCTCCCAGGTTCAAGCAATTCTCCTGCCTCAGCCTCCTGAGTAGCTGGGACTACGGTCATGCACCACCATTCCTGGCTAATTTTTGTATTTTTAATAGAGGCAGGGTTTCACCGTCTTGGCCAGGCTGGTCTAAAACTCCTATCCTCAGGCGATCCACCTACCTCAGTCTCCTAAAGAGCAGGGATTACAGGTGTGAGCCACCACACCTGGCTGGTGTGATTGGTTTTGAAATGTAAGGACATGAGATTTGGAAGGGGCCACGGGTGAAATGATATGGTTTGGCTGTGTCCCCACTCAAATCTCATGTTGAACTCTAGCTTCCATAACTCCCATGTGTCATGGGAGGGACCTGGTGGGAGATAATTGAATCATGGGGGTGGTTTTCCCCATACTGTTCTCGTGGTAGTGAATAAGTCTCACAAAATCTGATGGTTTTATAAATGGGAGTTCCCTTGCACAAGCTCTCTCTTGCCTGCCGACATATAAGATGTGGCTTTGCTCCTCATTTGCTTTCCACCATGATTGTAAGGCCTTCCCAGACATGTGGAATCATGAGTCAATTAAACCTCTTTCCTTTGTAATTACCCAGTCTTGGGTATGTCTTTATTAGCAGCATGAGGACAGACTAATACAAGCCCTTAATAAATAAAGGCTGAATGTATGCATGATGAAATCTTACCTCCTGCATAGGGATCTGTGTGCCCAAGAGATAAGTTTAAAATGGAAAACATGGTACTGCTTTTATTAAAAACACCACTTTATAAAAATGTGGAAATGTTTATTTATTTTATTTTATTTTACTTTAAGTTCTGGGATATATGTGCAGGATGTGCAGGTTTGTTACACAAGTATATGTGTGCCATGGTGTTTTGCTGCACCTGTCAACCCGTCCTCTAGGTTTTAAGCCCCACATGCATTAGGTATTTGTCCTAATGCTCTCCCTCCCCTTGCCCCCCATGCCCCAACAGGCTCCAGTGTATGATGTTTCCCTCTCTGTGTCCATGTTTTCTCATTGTTCAGCTTCTACTTATGAGTGAGAATATGCAGTGAAAGCATCACTTTTATACACTAGTCACCACTGGATGCTATCACCGTATCTTGTGCTGTTATACTAGAATGAATGCTAGCTCCTCTTGCACCTCCAAAGTGGGATGAACTCAACTGCAATTCTCTCACTTGTCTTACTTTTCCAAAGAGCACAGGATGCATAAGACCAGTGTAGCAGCAGCTACACACCCACAATACTTAGGAAACATGAGCAGCAGTTATCACAAGCAAAAATGATATTTCCCAGATCCCAGCACAATTTAGATCTTTATTGCAGTTGCCAGCCAAGCGATTTAGGATAATTTGCAGAATGGAGAAAACAGAAAAGCTTGTTTGAGCTTGTCAGGTTGCTTGCCAGGTTACCAGTCATACTGTGCCAGTTGGCCAGGGTCTGTGAGCCTAAACTCAATTGGGAAATATCTTGTGTAATAAGACTAGTTGTGTTTCTATGTACTCTTTTTTTCTTTTTTTTGACAGAGTCTTGCTCTGTCACCCAGGCTGGAATGCAGTGGCATGATCTTGGCTCACTGCAAGCTCCACCTCCTGGGTTCACCCCATTCTTCTACCTTAGCCTCCCGAGTAGCTGGGACCGCAGGTGCCTGCCACCATGCCCAGCTAATTTTTTGGACTTTTTAAGTAGAGACGGGGTTTCACTGTGTTAGCCAGGATGGTCTCGATCTCCTGACCTCGTGATCCCACCTCGGCCTCCCAGTGTGTTGGCATTACAGGTGTGAGCCACCGCGCCCGGCCCACTGTGTTGTACCTTTTGTTACCAACATAACAAGGTTTCAGAGGCCCAGTTAGGGTGCAATGACATTTGCTAGGCATCGATTAGTAACACTGACTTTGCTACTCCAAAGGATGCTTAAAAATTTCCTTCTTGCTAACATTTTCTTGCTACAGCAGGTTCAACCTGGATCATCTGTCCAAGGCTAAGGAATAAGATAAAGGAGAAAAAAATCAGAAAAAAAAATCTATGAGATTTCCACCTAGTAAGCTGAGCTTGAGAAAAAGAGCAAGTCTAAGCTCTGTTCCTGGCTCTAGCAATGGTTCTACAGTTCATGCAAAATCCAGCTGCCGTTGCAGTATAGAGCCCCTTAGAAAGCTTCTTGTGACCCCAGGAAAGGAATTTCTATCTCCATTCAAGACTTGATCCTGACTTATGCAATATGAGTTCCTGGAAAGCCTATGTTGATCCCCAGATGGATCCATTTTCTTATTAAACTCAGATACTGTGGTTTAAAAATGCTAAAGCATACTTTTGGCCTGCATAGCTGCCATCTAAAGACAGCTGCAGCTCAGTGACAGCTCAAATCAGCCATGGTAAATACAAAAGTTTTCATCTCTCCTTGCCATATTTTGGTTTCAGATGGTAGCTCTCATTTGTTGCCACATTGAGCACCAAAATGTTCAGGATTCAGTGTGGGCCTCTCCCTATTTCATACCTCAAGTTCTGTAACTGCAGAGATAGGAAATCTATGCCCATAGGAACCAAATGAAAACAAATAAGATTACAAAAAGGAGTATGCTTGTTCCAGTGCCCAATGCCAGGCAGGTCTAGGCTGGCCACTCCATAGTTTCAAGTGATAGTCTGGACGAAACTGCCATACTGGAAGATAAAGAACAGAAAGGAGATGGCTTAGCCTCTTACTAGCTGAGTAACAGTCTTGATCAGCTTGCTGATAATCCATGCGACAGAATAAAGGAAGCAGAAGGAAGCCCACCATATAGGTGTAGGAAGTGGAACAGAAACGGTGGGGCTTGTTACTGCCTTTAGAGCATGGTATCCTCACGTTAGTAAATGTGGTTCAGCGAATACCTCTGGCTCTCTTCAGTCAGATTGGTCTTTCTTCCTTCCTCTGGGGAGAGATACTAAGTGGGGCCATACAAAAGAGGGGCTAGTTATGTCTGTCCTCACTGAGCCAAGGTTGAATCATGGCCTAAGATGCAGAAAATTTCTCCTTCTCCCCAAGTAAGATAAGTCCATTAAGATGACACTTTTTCTAATTATATTATCTGCAGCATCGACACTATTGACCTCTTCAGTTTCTACTCTCCCTTTGGTGAATGCTATATTTTTCTGGTCACTGTCACAGCTCTCACTCACTTTTCCTCAGTTGTTATTGTTGCCTTTCCTCTAACTGGGTCTTAAATGTGGGGATCTCCTCTCTCTGTCTCTCTCTTTGTGTGTATCTCTCTATTTCTCTGTCTTTCTCTTGCTCTGCATATTCTGGCTGGATAATTTCGTCCACTTCCAAGACACCAACTCTATTTTCATGTTGTTCTCTTTTATATCTTAAACTCTTGATTCCCTCTTAATTTCTAAAACTAATTTTCCAGATGCTTTCTGAGTTGTCTACAAAAAGTCCTCATTTGCATCTTAAAATCCACATGTTAAACGAAATCTATTGACTCCATCTCTGTTCCCCCAATTTTTCTACTCATTGCCCTCCATAAACTCACTCCTCTTCTGATGTTTCCTATTCCAATTAATGGCATGCCTACCTAAATCCTTCAAGCTTAAATCAAATGCCTCCTTCTTCTTGAAGTCTTTCATGCCACCTTGGTTAGAATTATGAGCTCTTTTCTTTGCACTATATGTTGCTTATTTTTCTTTCTTAGTATGGATTTGTCAAGAACTGTGAAGGGTCTGAGATTATAACTTACTGGCAAGCTGACTAGTTAGCCTAACTAGTTCAGTGGATGCTGAGACAAGATACCAGACTCCAGGGTCAGAGACAAATGCTTTTATTGCTTACAGCACAAGTTCTATGAGTTTCATGTTTTCATTGGTTTCCTTGTCCTTGCCATGCTCCATGAGTGAGAGGCAGAGGGGCCTAGGTTGGTGCTGAGCATGCAGCAGTTTTGTGCCACAGCTGAAGAACTCTGAGGCTAGGAAACCTGGATCTTTTATAATGGCTGCAAGCAAACCTTCCCGAACTTTGCTCAAGAGGGAGATGTTATATTTATGACACTGGACAGTAAACAAACCTGTCCTTTGTTCCATAAGCAAATGCTATCTCTATTTTCCATTTCATTGTCTTATTCATTATACAAACATCCTTAAAACGATAGTCTAGGACAAAAGGGTAGTTAGTACCTCTTGTCATAAGATGAGCAGAAACATGAAAGGTCTATGGAGAATTGGCTCTCAATGGGATTCACCCTGCCTTGTGAATCCCATTGTATGTGCTTAGTATATATAATGTTTTTTTTTTTCCTACATGTCCAAATGTAATCTCTGATGTTGGAAATTGTGGCTGATTTAGGAATATTTTTGGTAAAAATAATCAACCTAAGGTTTCTTCATACCCAGAGGAAACCTGTTAATAGAACAATGTAATCTTGCTATTGGTAGGCCGCTGAGACCCTGCAAGGGATGGGGGAAGTGATAGGCACAGAATCTGTTTAAAATCATTACAAGAACTATGGCTTCAGCCACGACCTATGTAACAAGAATAATACTTTGGAAATAACTGTCTTGCTTAGGGTTCCTATTCATAAGCAAGAAAAACTGACTCTGTCTGATTTAAGTACGGAAGGATTATTAAAAGGACACAAGGTGGCCACCAGAATCTCTAGGTGGGGGGAAGAAAGCTAGATTCCGAGGCTCTGCAGTCAGGAGCTATGTCTAAATCATGCCACAGAGTTGGTATGATGAAGATACTGTTATCCTCACAGCTGGATATTAGATGACGCCACTTGCACCCCTGAGACTACCACCACTGAATCCTGCTCACTCCTGCTAGAACTGATGCCATTTCTCCTCCAACTATCCATCACCAGAATGCATTCTGTATAGTTTGTCATTCACCCCATCAATCATTATTTCTCAATTCAGTGCCTTGGGAGGAAGTACATGATTTGCAGAACTTAGGTCATGTGCTATGCCTGGCTGCAGTGGAGGCTGGGAAGAAGAGTACCCAGTATTTTCAGACTCTGAAGTAGGAAACAAGTAAGGTATTATCCAACAATGGGAAGGTAATTTAGAGACTAGGCAGCAAAAAAGAAAAAGAATGCGGTTTCATCGTAATATCTCTTCATGTTCTCCCAGCTTTCCATACACTGTTCGGACTAAGCCAAAAAGCCTAGTGTCTCCCTTAGAAGAGTGAATCTTCAGAATAGAGCTATCCATAAGGTGGGAGCAAGGAGAACAAACATGGGAGGAGTTCTAACAACCAGCAAAGATCAGTAGAATTCTTACTGTGAAAAGGATGAAGATGATTAGGAGGGTGGATAATAGGGGTGTGGTCTGCCTGGGTTCTTCAGGGAATCAACATATTTTTCTTTTTCCTGGCTCTACCTGAAGAGATAGGGCAGTGAAGAGGATAGAAACACTAGATACATTTTGACTTTGAGAAGACATTGCCTTGCAGGTGATCTTAAAGCATCACAGGTTGACTGTAGCAGAATGACAATGGCCTTATTGTTGATTTATGCCGTAAGTGAGCTGAAGATCCTATTCTTATCTCCTTTGCTTCCTGGATGGAATGGAAGAGATATATTTTTGTTCATTTAAAATTTTTATTTTTATAATGTTTTATTTGGAATAATTTTAGACTCACATAGAAGTTGTTAAAAATCGTATAGAAAGAGAGAAAGCACAGCATATTCTAGGACTACTTAAGCCCACATACTGATGAAAATATAATTCAGAGGCCAGATAGATTTGAGTTGGAGTCAAATGCAGATGGGTTGAGGACTCCTGGGACCCCTCAAATATGTGAATAAAGCACAAGTTTCATCTGCCACATACTTTCTCAGTAGCTGGGGAGTAGCTGAGGGAGAAGCAGAGGCCAGCATGGCCTTAAAGAACACCACTAACCCTGCCAAACCTTTCCTGTCAAACATGTCACCTGTTTACATATACACTATGCAGTCATAAAAAAGAATGAGGTCATGTCCTTTGCAGGAATATGAATGATTTCAGAAGCCTTTTCCCTTAAACGCCGGGCAGCATCTCATACTATCCTTGACTGGTTAGTGTAAAAACAACACTCTTCCCCTAAGAAGGTGCAGAGTCCTCCTTTCTCAGGAGTGAGGAGGTCTAGGCCTCAGCGATTTTGGAGAGTCACTGCTGCCAAAGAGTCTATTTGGGATTGTAGAGTAAGGATAGATTTTGTTATTTCTTGCAAACTGAGAAATCCTTTGAGAGTGTGTGGTATTAGGATAGTACATGTTACACTGTTAACTATTGGCAAACTTTAGTTGAAAACCTTCTAAGTTTGGGATTTTAATTCTTCTTTGCTATTACAAAACCTCGTTCAGTTCATATTAACTTAGAATTGGTATAGATCGCTCCTTCCTGTTTCTGTAAGTACTTTAAGATTTGGCTGAGTGCAAACAACTCACACATTTGAGCAGACCAGTTATTAGGCAATTTTCCTAACTCTGCTTCTGCAAGAGTTTCCTTATCACTTACCCATTGTGTCTTTTTCCCTTAATCGCCTGGGAGGAACCATCTATCATGCTGTCCTGAAGGGAGTTTCCTCCTAGATCTGGTCGGACCTTTGTATGGTAATTAATTAAGATTTACATCCCCTGTTAGGAAACCTGCTGGGTTAAGGATTTTTGATAGGAAGGCTATGGTTTTTCAGTGGCCTCAGTGCTTTCGGGCTATGCCCTTGTTTACACTGACAACAAGGTGCTATTGGAGTGTTACAGGGTTAGAGAGAAGACCTTCAGTTATCAATTATAGGTTTTAAATTTACCCTGGCTTTTAAAGGAATAGGGTACACTGTTTTTTCTTTACTACTTCTATCTCTCTCTTTCTCTCTTTGACTTCTTTGTCTGTCTCTCTCTTTCTCTCTGACTCCCTCTTTGTCTCTTCCTCTCTTTCCTTCTTTGACTTTCTGTCTCTCTGTCTCTTCCTCTCTCTCTTTGACTCCTTCTTTGTCTCTGTCTCTTCCTCTCTCTGTCTCCTTCTCTTTGTCTGTCTGTTTCTTCCTCTCTGTCTCTCTTTCTCTGTCTCTTTCTCTCTTTCCTTTCTGCTGCCTCTGCCAGCTATTTATGCTGCTGTTCTCTCCTCTCCTTTCCCTTCTGATGGCTTTGGTGGTGTAAGACTGCCACCTCCTTGGGTTTTTGCACTGCGTGCAATAACTCCATGGTTTCCTTGTGATATTTAATGGGGGTTCCCCCAGAGGTTAGGAACTCCCTTTCTTTCCATATTGCAGCATGGGCATGTAGGATTAGATAAGCATACTTGCTATCTGTATACACATTTATTCTTCTTCCCTTTCCCAGTTCTAAGGCTTGGGTAAGTGCCACTAGTTCTGCTAACTGGGCTCTGGTCCCTGGGGGAAGAGGCTTACTTTCAAGTACTGTTACTATGGCGTAACCTGTCCTTCGTATCCCATTCTCCACAAATGAACTTTCATTGCTGTATAGGTTAAGGTCAGGAATAACTAAGGGGACTTCTTGGGTGGCATAAGTCTGGACTATAATTAGTTGGCAGTCATGCTCGATTGGTTCCCCATCCTCTGGGAGAAAAGTGGCAGGGTTGAGGGTCACACACAAGCATATTTGAAGCACTGGTCCCTCAAGGAGTAGCACCTGGTATCTAAGGAGGCAGTTGTCTGATAGCCATAAACTTCCTTTGGCACCCAGTATGCCATTTACATCATGAGTAGTCCAGACAGTGAGATCCTTTCCTTGTATTATTTTGATAGCCTCTGACACTAAGATGGCCACCATCACAACTACCTGTAAACAGTGAGGCCAGCCTTTTGCTACCATATCAAGTTCCTTACTTAGGTATGCCACTGGTTGTGGGGTTGTCCCACGAGTCTGAGTAAGGACACTAAGAGCTATTCCTGCTCTCTCTGTGATGTATAAAGAAAAGTTTCATCCTGTGGGAAGGCTTAAGGCTAGAGCTAGAGTTTGTTTCTTCCAATGCCCAGTCTTCAGGGTTGATTCCCTCCTCAAGCAGGGGACAATAAATGGGTAACTTGTTCCTCATATTCATGTAGATAATAGCTCCAGCTTTGGCTAATATATCCTTCCCCAATAAGGGTATGGGACTTTCAGGCATAACAAGAAAGGCATGTGAAAAGAGCAGTCTCCCAGTTACAACTGAGGAGGTGGGAGAAATACCTGGTTACAGGCTGTCCCAGGATTCCTCGGATGGTAACGGACCTTGAGGACAGCTGTCTGGGACAGGAGATTAACACTGAGAAGGCTGCACCAGTGTCCAGGAGGAAGTCAATTTCCTGACCCCCCAGTGGTTAAATGTACCTGGGGCTCAGTGAGGGTGATGACATGAGCTGGCACTTGCCCCAGGCACCCTCAATTCTGTTGTTGGATCATCTGGTTGGGGGCTTCTGGCCCAGAGAACCTTTGTCCTCTGGGGCAGTGCACCTTCCAGTGATTGCCTCGGCATAGTGAACATGGATGAGGGGGCAGCTTGTTTCTCATTGGACAATCTTTTTAAAAGTGTCCTTGCAAACCACACTGATAATAAGCCCCACCAGGTGATTGGTCTACTCCATTTTCTGTCCTCTTTGAACCACCAAGGTTTGTTTATCTGAGGGCCATGACTAAGGCTGTGGCCTTTCTCTGATCTCGCTTTTCCTGTCCCTCTTGGTCCCTATTACAGAACACGGAGGTTGCCAGGTTTAATAATGCCTCCAGATTTTGTTCAGGGCCCAGGGCTCACTTTTGAAGCTTTCTCCTGATATCTGTGGCTGATTGGGTAATAAACTTATCTTTTAGGATCAGTTGACTGTTGAGGGAGTCACAGGGGAGAGTATATTTCCTTAAGGCCTCCCGTAGCCGCTCGAGGAAGGCAGAAGGATTTTCTTCCTTTCTCTGAGTTATGGTGGACATCATTAAATAATTCATGGGCTTTTCCCTAATTCTCCTTAGTCCTTCTAGAACACAGGTCAACAGATGTTTGTGACTCCAGTCCCCATGATCTGAGTCAAGGTCCCATTGGGGATCCATACTGGGGACGGCTTGCTGACTGGTAGGGAATTTGTCCTTTTCTTCGGCTGTCATTCTATCATTTACTTGACTAAGATACCAGGTATATCCAAACTCTTGGGATGCAGCTAAAGCTGCATTCTTTTCATTAAAGGCCAGGGTTTGATCTAATAGCATGACTTCTCTCCAAGTGAGGTCAAAGGTTTGCCCTAGACCCTGTAGGACATCTATATATCTATCAGGATCATCTGAAAGCTTCTCCAGGTCTGCCTTGATCTGCTTTAAATCAGAGAGGGAAAGGGGGACATGTACCTGGGTTGGGCCAAATTCCCCTCCCCCTACAGCTTGAAGGGGACATAACTGATAGCCCAGGGGCTTTTGTGGTCCTTTGGAGACTTCTTTGCTTATTTCCTTCTGGGCAGGGGAGATTAGAGGAGGCTTATCATTAATAGGAAGGGGAGCTATAGGGAGACTAGGATATGGAGGTAAACTGAGAGGTCCTCCTGTGGGATGTAAATTGCAATCTTTGCATAGTTGAGGATTCACCTTCAATGAAAAGAAAGCTTGAACTAAGGTACTTCACTCCATTTGCCTTCCCTCTTACAGAAAAGGTCAAGCTGCAGGATAGTTTTGTAATTTATATGTCCCTCAGGTGGCCATTTTGGCCATTTTTCCCCACCAGAGAGAGAATACTGGGGCCAGGCCATAATGCAGAAAAAAATGATCCATCTCTTTTTCAGGGTCTGTGGGTCAAATTGGTCCCAATAGCTTAGGATGCATTTCAAGGGTGAGCCTGTTGGTGCCCGAGTGTTTCCCACCTGAAAGACAAAACTGCCTGCGGTTTTGGTTTGTTTGTTTTTCCCCCTGCCCAAGAACCTGCAATGGTCCCTGGACCCTGCTGATCAGAATAGTTGTGCTCACCGACACAGCAGCAGAAACACCTCTTGCCCAAGAACTCACAATGGTCCCTGGATCCTGCTGATTGGAATAGTTGCACTCACTGACACAGCAGTAGAAACACTAGTTTTCCTCCTAGACCACAAGGAGGGCCAAGGAAGGTCGGATTTAGTGGCCCTTACCGACGCATTCTCGAAAACCTGCACCCTTGCCTGTCTTCTGAGACCACAAAGAGGACCGAGAAAAATCGGATTTAGTGGCCCTTACTGATGCATTCTCGAAAACCTGTTAGAGTCCTAAGCATTCTTCTATGAGTATTGGGACTTTACCCCTGTCCTATAAAGATGTTATGCCACCAAAATGAAGTGAACGTCCATACCCTGAGGGAGGGAAGGGATCTCCAGGGTTGGAAGAGTGATGCCTTTTGTCCTCACTTGAATAGGAAGGATATCATTTCTGAAGCTTCCCATATCCTAGCTTCAGGAATAGGTTTTGTTAGGCCTGCTAGTCTGAGGAGGGATCCTAAAATTCCAGATCGTCCCCCACCTTGATGGGACTTTGGACAAAAATTATGTCTTTCTGATTGGTGAGCCCAAGTGCCTAAAGAAGGGAATAGAGTCCTGATCTTATAGGAGAAACTAGAAAAGCACCAGAGGCAGGGAGTGGTTTTTAGACGTGGGACTAGCCTCAGAGAAGAGAGGCAAGAGGAAGTTTGTCTGACAGGCGTTGGGACCCAGGAGGCAAGGGTCAGGATAGATAGGATAGATGGGTGAGTCTCGCTTGGGCAACATGACTTTGAGAGTTCTGCTCATGGCTGCAGGGTCAACCAACTTGTTGTTGGGACCCCCAGAGCTGAATAACTTTTCTCTCTGTTGACCCTCAGCTCAGCCCAGAAGTACAGGAAAACTGGAAGCTGGTTCCAGGAAAACCAACGCTCCCAACTCCGAAGAGTCACGGGTTGTTAGAGAGCCCTTTCCCAGAAAGCCTGACACCTGTGTCTTTAGTCTGGCAGCCACGCTACTTGCTTTTAACTGGCTGACAGATGCCCGGTATTTAGCCCCTGAATTCTAAGGAAAAATAGGACAGAATAGGAAGTGAAAGGGGTCCGATGGTACTCATCGCTTGGTGATAGTCCCATCTGGGTCACCAAAATGTGTCCGGAATTTATTCTTCCCAGTGGGTTCTTGGTCTCGCTGACCTCAAGAATGAAGCCATGGACCCTTGCAGTGAGTGTTACAGCTCTTAAAGATGGTGTGTCCGGAGTTTGTTCCTTCAGAAGTTCAGATGTATCCAGAGTTTCTTCCTTCTGGTGGGTTCGTGGTCTTGGTGACTTCAGGAGTGAAGACCTTTGCAGTGAGTGTTACAGCTCTTAAAGGTGGTGCGTCCGGAGTTGTTTGTTCCTCCCGGTGGGTTCGTGGCCTTGCTGACTTCAGGAATGAAGCCACAGACTCTTGCAGTGAGTGTTACAGCTCATAAAGGTAGTGCGGACCCAAAGAATGAGCAGCACCAAGATTTATTATGAAGAGCGAAAGAACAAAGCTTCCAAAGCGTGGAAGGGGACCCGAGCGGGTTGCCACTGCTGGCTGGAGTGGCCAGCTTTTATTCCCTTATTTGTCCCCGCCCACATCCTGCTGATTGGTCCATTTTACAGAGTGCTGATTGGTCCATTTCATAGAGTGCTGATTGCTGCGCTTACAATCCTTTAGCTAGACCCAGAGCACTGACTGGTGCGTTTTTACAGAGTGCTGATTGGTGCATTTACAATCTTTTAGCTAGACACAGAGTGCTGATTGGTGCATTTTTACAGGGTGCTGATTGGTGCATTTACAATCCTTTAGCTAGACACAGAGTGCTGATTGGTGCGTTTTTACAGAGTGCTGATTGGTGCATTTAGAATCCTTTAGCTAGACACAGAGCGCTGATTGGTCCATTTTACAGAGTGCTGATTGGTGCATTTTTACAGAGTGCTGATTGATGCATTTACAATCCTTTAGCTAGACACAAAAGTTCTCCAAGTCCCCACCCAACCCAGAAGCCCAGCTGGCTTCACCTCTCAATCCCAGCACTTTGGGAGGCCGAGGTGGGTGGATTACAAGGTCAGGAGTTTGAGACCAGCCTGGCCAACATGGTGAAACCTGTCTCTACTAAAAAAATACAAAAATTAGCTGGGCATGGTGGCATGTGCCTGTAATCCCAGTTACTCAGGAGGCTGAGGCAGGAGAAATGCTTCAACCCGGGAGGTGGAAGTTGCAGTGAGCTGAGATTGCACCACTGCACTCCAGGCTGGGCAACAGGGTGAGACTCTGTCTCAAAAAAAACAAAACAAACAAACAAACAGACAAAAAATCACCTGCTCCAGTGACATTTAGACGAGAGAGAAGAAAGAAATACAGAAAGACAACATTTACTCTAAACAGAGTCACTTTTAACTGGCAACTTTAAGACTCTATTTCTGCCTCTGCTTCCACAAGAAAGAGGATTTGAGAGCAAGGTAAGACCATTAGAGAAAATAATCTACACTTCTATAGCAACATTCTTTTGTAGTGTGCTAAATTACATATGTCATTGTACTTTGATGACTGTAATTTCTAATCTGTATTGCCTCTCATTCACATTCGAGTCATTTATTTGGGTACTTACTGTAGTAGGCATTAGCATTTACCTATCCCCATTGACTCTGGTCTAGGACTAGCCAATATCCAGTTTTGAGTCTAGGGAGTGGACTATTGCCTTCCCAGCAATGGCTGAGAGAGGCTTAATTCTCTCTCATATTGTGGGCCTGTGGGTGAATGCACTTCCTTTTAGGTTATAAGTGAGTTAATTATTTTTCTTTTTTTTGAGATAGAGTCTCACTCTGTCACCCACGCTGGAGTGCAGTGGCATGATCTCAGCTCACTGCAACCTCCACCTCCCAGATTCAAGCAATTCTCCTGCCTCAGCCTCCTGAGTAGCCGGGATTACAGGCATATGCCACCAAGTCTGGCTAATTTTTTTGAATTTTTAGTAGAGACGGGGTTTCACCTTATTGGCCAGGCTGGTCTTGAGCTCCTGACCTTGTGATCCACCCACATCGACCTCCCAAAGTGCTGGGATTACAGGAATGAACCACTGCACCTGGCCAAGTGAGTTAATTATGCACTTACATTTCTGAAAGTAAGAGTGAGACAGGAGAATAGGGTCTGCAGGCAGGGAATTCATGCTGATTTCCTAGAACTAAATCAAATGGAAACACTTCAGCTATGACAGGAAAGATCCTCTCTGTTTACATAGGAAGCAAACCAAGTAAATGTTCTTGTAGCTTTACTTCATCTTCTTCATTTACATAGCACGTACACCAGGTAACCAATGGAAACCTCTAGAGGGTATTTGAACCCCAGACAATTCTGTAATGGAGCTCTTGAAGGCTCTATGCTCGGGTCTGCTCCCACCCTGTGAAGTATACTTTCATTTTCAGTAAATCTCTGCTTTTGTTGCTTCATTCTTTCCTTGCTTTGTGTGTTTTGTCCAATGCTTTGTTCAAGACACAAAGGACCTGGACACCTTTCACTAGAAACAAGAGTAATGTGCTCTGCCTCTTTATTTTTATTTTTTTAGGCTTAAAAAATTAAACAGAAGAGCAAGCTTATTGGGCTAAACAAGAGAGATTACAATGGAATATTGAAACAGATATCCAGCCATGGTGATCTGGGAACTTGCTCCAAGGTGGAGCTAGTGAAGGAGTGAATGCACAGCTCAATAGGCTTCCTCAGTGGATCTGTTTGAAGAAGTTTGGTTATTCTCTGTTTCTGTAGCTGCATCAGCTTCTCCTGCAGGGTACAGGAGTGTGAAGACCAAAGTTTAAGGAGTTGCAGTACAGGTTTACCCTTGAATTGTGGATTACCAAGTGGCCGTGCTGGAGGCTTACTTTTACACCTTGGTCTATGCTTGCATTCGAAATGTCCAGGGGCTTTCTTGTGACCCGAAAGCAAAGAAGCTTGTCCTTTGTTTAAACCAGGCACAGTAGCAGGAGTAGATGCGCCAAGGGCAGAGAGGTGTGTCAGGTGCTGGCAGGGTGGCTTGGGACCGAGAATTGGGCCTCACCTCTAGGCATTTCATCCCATAGTAGGAGGCTGCACTGAGTTGGTTGAGGTCCTGGCCCAAGGACGTGCCCTTGGTAGACTGCACCTCTTATCACAAGAGCTTTCTTATCTTTGGCTCCTGTGCTCTCAGAGCTTGTCTCTATGAGTTTTAGTGAGCATCAGAATTCAGCGGTCAAACCTAAGGTAGATGTGGACAAATGGCTAAGAGAGCAAGGTGCTAGTTTAGGGATGAGCTGTCAATGGAAGGATGTGCTTTTTGAAATTTTAGGCTTGTGTTACAGAGAGATTTTTCTTGCTACAGACACCTGAGTGGTCTCTGGTTTTCTCTTGTGAGGAGGCATGCCCCGCCCCCTTGTGGCGGCCTCAGGAGTGAGAAATCAGGAACTACCCAGTTGGAGAAGTAACCTGCACTCTCAGCAATGCGGAAAGAAACCAGCCGGCAACCTGGGGCAAAGGATCCTCACATACTGTGGTGACGGCTCTGTGCACAGACCAAGGAAGGAGAAGCCATGAGAGCCAGTAAAATACTTCCTTGGTGGTCAAATTCTGGAGGGCTGAATGTGTGTGTGCATGAATGAGCACAAACAACCCTGCTTGCAGTGTTGTTTGTGTGGATGGTGACAAGTCCTACTGCTGGAGTAAGGGGGTCCTCTCTGCGGTTCTGTGGCTACCTCATATGGCTTAGGGCAGATCATGCTGTGGGATTTATACTGGCATGCCAACTCTAAGAGGGGCCTAATTCTCCCTTGGGGGAGTGACCAGAGAGGACAACACGAGTGGGAAGTGTGCAAGGGACCTTCAGAGGGGGAAAGGGAGGACACAGGTCCACCTCCCAGGGCAGGCAAGGCAAGACACCCCCTGGTTTGAGGGGTAGAACCTTCTGGGACAGGCAAGGCAAGGCATCCCTGGTGTTGTGGGAAGTCAGGGACCCCAAACAGAGGGACTGGCTGAAGCCATGGCAGAAGAACATAAATTGTGAAGATTTCATGGACATTTATTAGTTCCCCAGATTAATACTTTTATAACTTCTTACGCCTGTCTTTACTGCAATCTCCAAACATAAACTGTGAAGATTTCATGGACACTTATCACTTCCCCAATCAATACCCTTGTGATTTCCTATGTCTGTCTTTACTTTAATCTCTTAATCCCATCATCTTTGTAAGCTGAGGAGGAGGTATGTTGCCTCAGGACCCTGTGATGATTGCATTAACTGCACAAATTGTTTGTAGAGCACATGTGTTTGAACAATATGAAATCTGGACACCTTGAAAAAAGAACAGGATAACAACAACATTCAGGGAACAAGAGAGATAACCTTAAACTCTGACTGCTGGTGAGCCAGGTGGAACAGAGCCATATTTCTCTTCTTTCAAAAGCAAATGGGAGAAATATTGCTGAATTCTTTTCCTCAGCAAAGAACATCCCTGAGAAAGAGAATGTGTCCCTGAGGGTAGGCATCTAAAATGGCCACTTCAGCCGTCTTTTATGGTCGAAGCGGTAGGGATGAAAAAAGCCCCAGTATCCCGTAGTGCTCCTAGGCTTATTAGGACTAGGAAATTCCCGCCTAATAAGTTTTGGTCAGACCAGTTTTCTGCTTTCAAACCCTGTCTCCTGATAAGATGTTATCAATGACAATGCGTACCCGAAACTTCATTAGCAATTTTAATTTTGTCCCGGTCCTGTGGTCCTGTGATCTCGCCCTGCCTCCATTTCCCTTGGGATATTCTATTACCTCATGAAGCACATGATCTCTGTGACCCACACCCTATTCGTACACTCCCTCCTCTTTTGAAAATCACTAATAAAAACTTGCTGGTTTTAAGGCTCAGGGGGCATCATGGAACCTGTTGACATGTGATGTCTCCCCTGGACACCCAGGTTTAAAATTTCTCTCTTTTGTACTCTGTCCCTTTATTTCTCAGACCGGCTGACACTTAGGGAAAATAGAAAAGAACTTACGTGAAATATCGGGGGTGAATTTTGCCCAATATCTGGCTGAATTTCTCCCAATATCACGAGTGGGAAGCGTGCAAGGGACCTTCAGAGGGGGAAAGGGAGGAAACAGGGCCACTTCCCAGGGCAGGCAAAGAAAGACACCCCCTGGTTTGAGGGGTTGAGCCTTCTGGGACAGGCAAGGCAAGACACTCCCTGGTTTGAGGGGTTGAGACTTCCGGGACAGGCAAGGCAAGACATCCCTGGTTTGAGGGGTTGAGACTTCTGGGGCAGGAAAGGCAAGACACCCCTTGGTTTGAGGGGTTGAGCATTCCATGACAGGCAAGGCAAGACATCCCTGGTTTGAGGGGTTGAGCTTTCCACATATTTCAGGGGGTTGAACCTCACACAAACCTCCAGTAGTAAGAAAAATATTCAGAACTCCCCTTTCCTTTCTTCTCAGGGGAAGAAAGAGTAGCTCCACTCCTGCCAGTCCCCCCCAGGGAAGGGGGAAGGACAGGGGAGAACAGCAGCATAAGCAGCTGGCAGAGGCAGGGAAAGACCAGCAGAGAGGAAAGAGAAATTGGGAGAGGAAGTCAGAGAGAAAGAGACAGAGAGTCAAAGAGAGAGAGAGAGAAAGATACAGAGGTCAAAGAGGGAGTCAGAGAGAGAGAGAAAGAGTGAAAGAGACAGAGAGTCAAAGAAGAGAGAGAAAGAGAGAGGCAGAGAGAGAGAAAGATACAGAGAGTCAAAGAGGGAGTCAGAGAGAGACAGAAAGAGATAAAAAGACAGAGAGTCAAAGAGAGAGAGAGAGAAAGAGAGAGGCAGAGAGAAAGAGACACAGAGACAAAGAGAGAGAAAGAGACAGAGAGTCAAAGAGAGAGAGAGAGAAAGAGAGAGGCAGAGAGAAAGAGACACAGAGACAAAGAGAGAGAAAGAGACAGAGAGTCAAAGAGAGAAAGAGAGAGATAGAAGTAGTAAAGAGAAAACAGTGTACCCTTGTCCTTTAAAAGCTAGGGTGAATTTAAGACCTATAATTGATAATTAAAGGTCCTCTCCATGACCCTATAACACTCCAATACCAGCTTGTTGTCAGCGTAAACAAGGGCATAGCCTGAAAGCACTGAGGCCACTAACAACCCATAGCCTTCCTATCAAAAACCCTTAACTCAGTAACCCGTGGATGGCCCAAATGCATTCACTCTGTAGCAGCAACTGCTTTGCTAAAGGAAGAAAGTAGAAAAATAACTTTTAGAGGAAACCTCAATGTGAGCACACCTCACCAGTTCAGAACTATCCTAAGTCAAAAAAGCGAAAAGGTGGCTTACTAACTCAAAAATCTTAAGGTATGGGGCTATTCTGTTAGAAAAAGATGATTTAACATTAACCACTGATAATTCCCTTAACCCAGCAGGTTTCCTAACAGGGGATCTAAATCATAATTAATTACCATACAAAGATCAGACCAGACATAGAAGGAACTCCCTTCAGGACAGGATGATAGATGGTTCCTCCCGGGTGACTGAGGGAAAAAACCACAGTGGGTATTCAGTAAGTGATAGGGAAACTTTTGTAGAAGAAGGGTTGGGAAAATTGCCTAATAGTTGGTAAGCTGTTTGCACTCAGATAAGCCTTAAAGTACTTACAGAATCAGGAAGGGGTCATCTATACCAATTCTAAGTTAATTTAAACTAAACAAAGTGTTATTAGTAGCAAAGGATAATTGAAGTCCCAAACTTACAAGGTTTTCAATAAAGGTAAAGTTTGCTAAAAGTTAGCAGTGTAACCTGTATTCTCCTAACTTTTAATCTTGTGGCCTTAGGCAGTCTAGTCCACAGACATGAAGGAAGTTTGCTTTGGAAAAGAATGGTTATCATCTTTGGGAAAAAAAAACGGGGGGGAGAATTTATGTAAAAAGAAAGTTACGTGGTAGAGAGATCTGTTCCAAGATGGCTGAATCGGAACAGCTTCGGTCTGCAGTGCCCAGCGTGACTGATGCAGAAGATGGGTGATTTCTGCATTTCCAATTGAGGTACCTGGTTAATCTCACTGGGACTGGCTGGACAGTTGGTGCAGCCCACAGAGGGCGAGCTGAAGCAGGGCAGGGCATTGCCTCACCCGGAAAGTGTGATGGGTAGGGGGATTTCCCTTTCTTAGCCAAGGGAAGCTGGGACAAACTGTACCTGGAAAAACAGGACACTCCCACCCAAATACTGCACTTTTCCCAAGGTCTTAGCAACTGGCAGACAAGTGCTATTGCTGAGGCTCGAGTAGGTAAACAAAGTGGCTGGGAATTTCGAACTGGGTGGAGCCCACTGCAGCTCAGCAAAGCCTACTGCCTCTAGACTCCACCTCTGTGGGCAGGGCTTAGCTGAATAAAAGGCAGCAGACAACTTCTGCAGACTTAAATGTTCCTGTCTGACAGCTCTGAAGAGAGCAGTGGTTCTCCCAACATGGCATTTGAGCTCTGAGAATGGACAGACTGCCTCCTCAAGTGGGTCCCTGAACCCTGTGTAGTCTAACTCAGATACATCTCCCAGTAGGGGCCGACAGACGCCTCATGTAGGTGGGTGCCCCTCTGGGATGAAGCTGTTCTGCAATATTTGCTGTTCTGCAGCCTCTGCTGGTGATACCCAGGCAAACAGGTAAACAGGGTTTGGAAGAGACCTCCAACAAACTTCAACAGCTCTGCAGCTGAGGGACCTGACCGTGAAAAGGAAAACTAACAAACAGAAAGCAATAGCACAACATAAACAAAAAGGACATCTACACCAAAACCCTATCTGCAGGTCACCAACATCAAAGACCAAAGGTAGATAAAACCACAAAGATGGGAAGAAACCAGAGCAGAAAAGCTGAAAATTCTAAAAATCAAGTGTCTCTTCTCCT
Organism: Homo sapiens; assembly: GCF_000001405.40. Lineage (NCBI taxonomy): Eukaryota > Metazoa > Chordata > Mammalia > Primates > Hominidae > Homo > Homo sapiens. The sequence goes on from NC_000005.10 coordinate 119,440,125, forward strand.
CCAAAGGATCACAGGTCCTCACCAGCAATAGAACAAAGCTGGACAAAGAATGACTTTGACAAGCTGACAGAAGTAGGCTTCAGAAGGTTGGTAATAACAAACTTCTCTGAGCTAAAGGAGCATGTTCGAACCTATCGCAAGGAAGCTAAAAACCTTGAAAAAAGGTTAGACGAATGGCTAACTAGAATAAACAGTGTAGAGAAGACCTTAAATGACCTGATGGAGCCGAAAACCATGGCATGAGAACTTTGTGACACACGCAGAAGCTTCAATAGCTGATTTGATCAAGTGGAAGAAAGGGTATCAGTGATTGAAGATCAAATTAATGAAATAAAGTGAGAAGACAAGGTTAGAGAAAAAAGAGTAAAAAGAAATGAGCAAAGCCTCCAAGAAATATGGGACTATGTGAAAATACCAAATCTACGTTTGATAGGTGTACCTGAAAGTGATGGGGAGAATGGAACCAAGTTGGAAAACACTCTGCAGGATATTATCCAGGAGAACTTCCCCAACCTAGCAAGACAGGCCAACATTCAAATTCAGGAAATACAGAGAACACCACAAAGATACTCCTCGAGAAGAGCAACCCCAAGACACATAATTGTCAGATTAACCAAAGTTGAAATGACGGAAAACATTAAGGGCAGCCAGAGAGAAAGGTCGGGTTCCCACAAAGGGAAGCCCATTGGACTAATAGCAGAACTCTCGGCAGAAACCCTACAAGCCGGAAGAGAGTGGAGGCCAATATTCAACATCCTTAAAGAAAAGAATTTTCAACCCAGAATTTCATATCCAGCCAAACTAAGCTTCATAAGTGAAGGAGAAATAAAATCCTTTACAGACAAGCAAATGCTGAGAGATTTTGTCACCACCAGGCCTGCCTTACAAGAAAGAGCTCCTGGAGGAAGCACTAAACATGGAAAGGAACAACTGGTACCAGCCACTGCAAAAACATGCCAAATTGTAAAGACCATCAATGCTAGGAAGAAACTGCATCAACTAATGAGCAAAATAACCAGCTAACATCATAATGACAGGATCAAATTCACACATAACAATATTAACCTTAAATGTAAATGGGCTAACTGCCCCAATTAAAAGACACGGACTGGCAAATTGGATAAAGAGTCAAGACCCATCAGTGTGCTGTATTCAGGAGACCCATCTCACATGCAAAGATACACATAGGCTCAAAATAAAGGGATGGAGGAAGATCTACCAAGCAAATGAAAAGCAAAGAAAAGCAGGGGTTGCAATCCTAGTCTCTGATAAAACAGACTTTAAACCAACAAAGATCAAAAGAGACAAAGAAGGCCATTACATAATGGTAAAGGGATCAATTCAACAAGAAGAGCTAATTATTCTAAATATGCACCCAATACAGGAGCACCCAGATTCATAAAGCTAGTCCTTAGAGACCTACAAAGACACTTAGACTCCCACACAATAATAATGGGAGACTTTAACACCCCACTGTCAATATTAGACAGATCAACGAGACAGAAGGTTAACAACGATACCCAGGGCTTGAACTCAGCTCTGCACCAAGCAGACCTAATAGACATCTACAGAACTCTCCACCCCAAATCAACAGAATATACATTTTTCTCAGCACCACATTGCACTTATTCTAAAATTGACCACATAGTTGGAAGTAAAGCACTCCTTAGCAAGTGCAAAAGAACAGAAATTACAACAGTCTCTCCAACTGCAGTGCAATGAAATTAGAACTCAGGATGAAGAAACTCACTCAAAACCGCACAACTACATGGAAACTGAACAACTTGTTCCTGAATGACTACTGGGTAAATAATGAAATGAAGGCAGAAATAAAGATGTTCTTTGAAAGCAATGAGAAAAAAGACACAATGTACCAGAATCTCTGGGACACATTTAAAGCAGTGTGTAGAAGGAAATTTATAGCACTAAATGCCCACAAGAGAAAGCAGGAAAGATCTAAAATTTACACCCTAACATCATGGTGAAAAGAACTAGAGAAGCAAGAGCAAACAAATTCAAAAGCTAGCAGAAGGCAAGAAATAACTAAAATCAGAGCAGAACTGAAAGATACAGAGATACAAAAAACTCTTCAAAAAATCAATGGATCCAGGAGCTGGTTTTTTGAAAAGATCAACAAAATTGATAGACTGCTAGCAAGACTAATAAAGAAGAAAAGAGAGAAGAATCAAATTGACACAATAAAAAATGATAAAGGGGATATCACCACCAATCACACAGAAATACAAACTACCATCAAAGAATACTATAATCACCTCTACAAAAATAAAGTAGAAAATCTAGAGGAAATGGGTAAATTCCTGGACACATACACCCTCCCAAGACTAAACCAGGAAGAAGTTGAATCTCTGGATAGACAAATAACAGGCTCTGAAATTGAGGCAATAATTAATAGTCTACCAACCAAAAAAAAAAAAAAATGTCCAGGACCAGATGGATTCACAGCCAAATTCTACCAGAGGTACAAAGAGGAGTTGGTACCATTCCTTCTGAAACTATTCCAATCAATAGAAAAAGAGGGAATCCTCCCTAACTCATTTTATGAGGCCAACATCATCCTGATACCAAAGCCTGGCAGAGACAAAACAAAAAAAGAGAATTTTAGACCAATATCCCTGATGAACATCGATGTGAAAATCCTCAATAAAATACTGGAAACTGAATCCAGCAGCACATCAAAAAGCTCATCCACCATGATCAGGTCAGCTTCATCCCTGGGATGCAAGGCTGGTTCAATGTACACAAATCAATAAACATAATCCATCACATAAACAGAACCAATAATAAAAACCACATGATTATCTCAGTAGATGTAGACAAGGCCTTTGACAAAATTCAACAGCCCTTCATGCTAAAAATTCTCAGTAAACTAGGTATTGATGGAACGTATCTCAAAATAATAAGAGCTATTTATGACAAACCCACAACCAATATCATACTAAATGGGCAAAAACTGGAAGCATTCCCTTTGAAAACCGGCACAAAACAAGGATGCCCTCTCTCACCACTCCTATTCAACATAGTGTTGGAAGTTCTGGCCAGGGCAATCAGGCAAGAGAAAGACATAAAGGGTATTCAATTAGGAAAAGAGGCAGTCAAATTGTCCCTGTTTTCAGATGACATGATTGTATATCTAGAAAACCCCATCGTCTCAGCCCAAAATCTCCTTAAGCTGATAAGCAATTTCAGCAAAGTCTCAGGATACAAAATCAATGTGCAAAAATCACAAGCATTCCTATATACCAATAACAGACAAACAGAGAGCCAAATCATGAGTGAACTCCCATTCACAATTGCTACAAAGAGAATAAAATACCTAAGAATCCAACTTACAAGGGATGTGAAGGACCTCTTCAAGGAGAACTACAAAACCACTGCTCAACAAAATAAAAGAGGACACAAACAAATGGAAGAACATTCCATGCTCATGGATAGGAAGAATCAATATTGTGAAAATGGCCATACTGCCCAATGTAATTTATAGATTCAATGCCATCCCCATCAAGCTATCAAAGACTTTCTTCACACAATTGGAAAAGACTACTTTAAAGTTCATATGTAACCAAAAAAGAGCCCGCATTGCCAAAACAATCCTAATCCAAGAGAACAAAGCTGGAGGAATCATGCTACCTGACTTCAAACTATACTACAAGGCTACAGTAACCAAAACAGCATGGTACTGGTACCAAAACAGAGATATAGATCAATGGAACAGAACAGAGCCCTCAGAAATAACACCACACATCTACAACCATCTGATCTTTGACAAACCTGACAAAAACAAGCAATGGGGAAAGGATTCCCTATTTAATAAATGGTGCTGGGAAAACTGGCTAGCCATATGTAGAAAGCTGAAACTGGATTCCTTCCTTACACCTTATACAAAAATTAATTCACGATGGATTAAAGACTTAAATGTTAGATCTAAAACCATAAAAATCCTAGAAGAAAACCTACGCAATACCATCCAGGATATAGGCATGGGCAAGGACTTCATGACTAAAACAACAAAAGCAATGGCAACAAAAGCCAAGATAGACAAATGAGATCTAATTAAACTAAAGAGCTTCTGCACAGCAAAAGAAACTACCATCAGAGTGAACAGGCAACCTACAGAATGGGAGAAAATTTATGCAATCTACCCATCTGACAAAGGGCTAATATGCAGAATCTATAAAGAACTCAAACAAATTTGCAAGAAAAAGACAAACAGCCCCATCAAAAAGTGGTCAAAGAATATGAACAGACACTTCTCTAAAGAAAACATCTATGCAGCCAACGGACACATGAAAAAATGCTCATCATCACTGGTCATCAGAGAAATGCAAATCAAAACCGCAATGAGATACCATCTCATGACAGTTAGAATGGCAATCATTAAAAAGTCAGGAAACGAGATGCTGGAGAGGATGTGGAGAAATAGGAATGCTTTTACACTGTTGGTGGGAGTGCAAATTAGTTCAACCATTGTGGAAGACAGTGTGGTGATCCCTCAAGGATCTAGAACTAGAAATACCATTTGATCCAGCAATCCCATTACTGGGTATATACCGAAAGGATTATAAATCATGTTACTATAAAGACACATGCACACATATGTTTATTGCAGCAAGCACTATTCACAATAACAAAGACTTGGAAGCAACCCAAATGTCCATCAGTGATAGACTGGATTAAGAAAATGTGGCACATATACATCACGAAATACTATGCAGCCATAAAAAAGGATGAGTTCATGTCCTTTGCAGGGACATGGATGAAGCTGGAAACCATCATTCTGAGCAAACTATCACAAGGACAGAAAACCAAACACCGCATATTGTTATTCATAGGTGGGAATTAAACAATGAGATTACTTGTAGACAGGGCAGGGAACATTACACACTGGGGCCTGTCGTGGGGTGGGGGGCTAGGGGAGGGATAGCATTAGGAGAAATACCTAATGTAAATGAGGAGCTGATGGGTGCAGCAACTAACGTGGCACATCTATACCTATGTAAGAAACCTGCACGTTGTACACATGTATCCTAGAACTTAGAGTATAATAAAAAAAATCAGGCTATCTAGAATATACATTAAAAAAGGAGTAAGCAGTAATGAAGAAGAAAAAATTAGAAATATTGATTAAGAAAATGATAATTGTTGAAATAAAACTGTGAACGCAATGACTAGCAGAAGAATGAGTAGGTAAGGGAAAGAGTCAAGAAGCACTCCCTAAAGGCATTAGGAAGGAATAAAGTGATAGAAAGTGTAAGAGAAACATTAAGAGGTATGGTGGATAGAAATAGAAATGTGAATATCGCCTCAAAGAAGTCCCCAAAGGAGAAAAAAGCAGTAAATGGAGTAGAAGAACTACTTGAAAAAATAATACCAAGTATTTTCCTGAGTTAAACAAATATGTAAGACATCAGATTGAATGTGTTCAGAGAGTTCCAAATAGAATGGATAATTAAGCTTTTGCCTTCCCGCTCCCTCCTTCTTTCCCCGTTTTGTTGCGAGGCTTCCCAACTGCCCCTTGACTCTTCTCCCCCTTTTCCACCCGCCTGCGCCCCCGCAGGAGCCTGGGACCGCCTGTGGGCAGCCATACCAGCCTGAAAGCACCCAGTCTCATCTGATCTCGGAAGCTAAGCAGGGTAGGCCTGGTTAGTGCTTGGATGGGATTCCGACCGGGAATGCTGGGTGATGTAGGCTTTTGGCTTCCCACTCCCTCCCTCTTTCCCACTTTTGTCGCCGGGCTTACCAACCGCCTCCTGACTCTTCTCCCCCTTTTTCACCCAAAAAGAAGAAAAAGAAAAAAGAAAGAATGGATAAGTAAATACCCCACATTAAATACATTATAATAAACATTTCAAAGAGAAAATTATAAAATGTTCCAGAGATAAAATTGCTCAGTAAAGATGAATAACTATCAGATTATTATCAGACATTTCCATAGCAACACTATAAAGGTAAGAAAGCAATAAAAATTGTTCAAAATTAAAAAAAAAGTTATATGGTAAATTCTTGTCCTAAAATAAATTAACTGGTTGTTTAAAGAAAGGGATGTTTGCAACAAGTCAGAAAGTTGAGGCATGTTGAGGAATTGTCTGTGAAAGTCGTGAAAAAAAAGTTATAAAAGAGAATTTATGCAAGAAATGTTGCATAATTTAATAGTAATTAGGCTTCCTGAGTGTAAAACTATTGAAGAAACACTTTATGTGCAAGGTGTGTAAGAAAAATAAAATATACTTTTGGTTAAAAGATTATAAGGAGGCATAAGAATGTGGATTTTTACCTACATTAAAAGGTTAAAAATATTTTGTTTTAAAGGTTTAAGCAAGTTTTAAAACGTTAATTGTAAAGGAAATTCTATGTGTAAACATATTAGCTAAAGTTAAAGGGGTATCATGCAGTTTTTCCGTGGACTGGACGTTAAAATAAAAGCACAGTGGGTTTTTCTTAAAACACTAACTGCTCTTTAACAAAATTATAAAAGGTTAAATAGAGTCTATGGAAATCTTACCTTATGGTCAGACATTAAAATTTGATAATTATGTCTATAGGGTTTTATTAAAATCAAGTTTAACATTAATAACACACTAATATAAAGGTAAAATTTAGCTTATCTGGTATAAAATCATACAGGAAGCATTGTCAAATGTAAAAGGGTGTTTGGGTTTCTTTGGTCTAACAACTAATAAAAATAGGTGCCAAAGGAAATTTCTCAGCAGGGAGGCACTAAGGACTATAAAGTCCACTGCTGGTGTTCCCAAATTTAAAACAAAAGATCAGTTTCTCAGAAATTATACACTTGGTTTATCTTCCACTTTCCTTTCTCTCAAAACTAAATGTCTTTTAGCACAGGTACCACCCCTAGAATTTCCAGTAAATCAGCACCAGCCTGGGGATCACATTCTTGTCAAAGGGTGGAAAGAAGGAAAATTTGTGCCAGCCTGGGAAGGACCCTACCTAGTGCTGCTAACCACTGAGACTGTTGTTCGTACCGCGGAAGGGGGTTGGACACATCACACCCGAGTCAAGTAAGCGCCGTTATCATCAGAATCATGGGCCATTGTTCCTGGATCAAGCCCTACCAAACTAAAGCTAAGAAAAGTGTAGTCTATCTATCTTTTCCTTTCCTTTCTGAATCCAGTGCCTATAGCCATTACTATTCCTACCACTAGCAACTCTAACCCCACTTTTGAGCATTTTTATGGTTTAGGAGTAGAGGTCACTGGAAAGGATCCTATAGGTTTCTTTAAGATGTGGTTTGTTCTCCCTCCTCCACCTCCTACAACTGCCCCTTTCCCAAACCTATGAAATCAAACTATGCCTCGCCTCATGCCAAATGACAAAAGCAAGGTCTCAGTAGTAGAAATAGAAGACCTAAGGCAAACCATAGCCATTGAAACAGAGTAAAAAGATGTAAATCCCTGGTTAAAATGGATTAAATATTCCGTTCGCACTTGAAACAAAAGCGACTGTTACTGTTGTGTGCACAGTAGGCCAGAGGCCCAGGTTGTTCCCTTTCCACTGGGATGGTCCTCAAATCAACTGGACATGGAGTGCATGGTAGCTCTTTTTCAAGATTCTACCGCCTGGAATAACAAATTGTGCCAAGCTCTTTCTCTGCTATTTCCTGAAGTTCAACACGCTGTGGGTCAGCCCCCAAGGGCCATCCAGCCTCCATCTTCCAAAGCCAATTTTACCTCATGTCTCCAATGACAAGGGGAAAAATTTGGCATTCCCTGGAGACTTAACAGGATGCAGGGAAGTCAGGCACTTCCAAGAGCTGACCCAACAGTCTGCCCTTATTCATCCCTGACTGGTTGTATGGTGGTATTAGGGAGGACCTTTACTGGACACTCTGCCAAATAATTAGAGCAGTACTTATGGTCTAATTCAATTGGTTATCTCTTTTACTCTGGCATTTCATCAACTGGAGGAAGGAAAAATAAGACATCGTAAAGTGAAAGAGGCCCCTTATGGGTCTTTCAACTCTCATGTCTATTTAGACGCAATTGGAGTCCCACTGGGAATACCAGATCAATTTAAAGCCCAAAATCAAATAGCTGCAGGATTTCAGCCAGTATTTTGGTAAGTTACAATTAATAAAAATGTAGGTTTGATAAACTACATTTATTGCAACCAACAGCGATTTATTAACTACCCTAGAGATGCTGTTAAAAGAATAGCTGAGCAATTAGGGGCTACTAGCCAGATGGCTTGGGAAAATAGGATAGCCTGAGACATGATATTAGCAGAAAGAGGAGGAGTTTGCATCATGATTAAAACTCAGTGTTGTACCTTCATCCCAAACAATACCGCCCCTAATGGAAGTATAACAAAGGCATTGCAAGGTCTGACTGCTCTGTCCAGTGAGTTAGCCAGCAACTAAGGGTAAATGGGCCCTTTACAGGATGCCTAGAAAAGTGGTTTGGTAAATGGAAAGGAATAATAGCCTCAATTCTTAACTTCCCTTGCAGCCGTAATGGGTGTACTTACTCTTGTTGGGTGCTGTATCATACCATACATCTGTGGGTTGGTGCAGAGGCTCATAGAAATGGCACTTACTAAATCCTCCCTTAACTATCCTCCACCTTATCCAGAGAAGCTTATTCTTTTGGAAAATCAAGCAGAACAACTAAGCCAAGACATGTTAAAGAAGTTTGAAGAGAAAGAGCTGTAAGGAAATGCAAGAGGAGGAGTTGTTAGATATGAGTTCTAAATTTCTTTTAAAAGAATCAGTATGTCAGTGTATTCAATTCTTTGCCTTCTACTTTGAAACTTAACTTCCTCGTAAAGCAACCTTTTCCGATTACCTGCTCCACCCTGTCTCATTCTGATTACCTGCTCATTCTCTACCCTGGCTCATTCCGATGTCCTCTCTGTCATAACCATTTTTCCTGCCAAACCACTCACCCTGTCACTCTCTTTAAATTAGCCAACTGGAATTAGTTTAACCTGTGTGGACTAACCCTAGGCAATAGGGGAATGACACAGCAGCAGGGGCCACATGCATCAGGAATAAGGACCCCTTCCCCTCCCTTGTCCGGGTGTGCGCTCACCATTGCTCCATCTGTGAGAGTGCAACCTTCTATAGAAGTAAACTGCGTTGCTGAGAAGAAAAAAAAATTTTATATTCGAGTGCTATTTCTTCTGTGGCACCAAAACTTTATTTATAACAGAAACCAAGCTGTCAGAGCTCTGGAACCATAGCTGTCTGCTAGGTGTCTCTAGCCATAGTTTTGCTTCCCCTTCACAGATGCAGTTTGTCTAAAATTGAAGCCATAACCCCTCCAAAGCCACTCTTTCTCCACTATTTATTTTGATGAATGGCCCATCGTAATCTAGATTTTCAAATCAAAATATAGGATTATTTCAGTTGCTCTTTTCTCATATCTACATCTAATTAATCAAAAAGACTAGTTCTGAAGCAGGAAATTTTCCTGACCCCTTCATGGGTGGGGGCAGGAACTGGAGCACATAGGATCTAGAACTAGCTGGCCGCTTTGGGTCTGGCAGGGGTGGACTCCATTCACTGGGTCCCACTGCGTTCCACAGGAACGGGGAGCACAGGTGAGTGGGTGCAGGAGCTGGGGCCAGTGCATGCAGGAGCAAAACTCTATGTGGCCCTTGGCAGTGTCTAGAGGGGTACCTAAGGCCCCTGAAGCCCCAGAGGGTGTGTGTTACAGTGCTCTTTTAACTTTGCCATCCACTGATGGCTTAAATGTTAAACAGCTCAGTAGGCCCTCTGTTTTTTGGTGTGAGGCACTTGCTCTCTGCCAGTGAGGGCAGAGGGTCAGTGTGACAGCCTTTAGTGTCACACCTGTGGCACCTGAGCTCTTGTTTGGCATCCAGGAAAAATCAGGTCACAGGAACAAATTGAATAATGGTGAATGCAGAGGATTTTATTGCCGATGAGAGTGGCTGTCAATGGGAAGGGGAGCTGAAAAGGGGATGGAGTGAGAAGGTGATCTTCCCCAGGAGCAACGCCATTAAGCCATACCTCTGAAGTCGAGCTGTTTCTTCTCTCCTCTCCTCTCTGCCATTGGAGCCTGGGGTTTTTATGGGCACAGGATGGGGGGCAGGGGGACCATAGGTGGTTTTGGAAAAGGCAACATTCAAGAGGGAAAACAGGGATGCATGTTCTCACTTTGGGCTGTGTTTTCAGGCTTGAGGTTGGAGCCCTCACTGGGGACCTGCCCTCTTCTGCCCAGAATTTCCCTGCCTTCTATCCCTGTCAGTTCCATTTGCAAATACAGTTTATCTCAACATTTCTTCTTCAACATTTCCTCTGCCTTACTTCTGGTTTCCATAATTTCCCCCAAATCTTTTCTATGTTCTCCTTGCCCACCTCTAATTATTGGGGGAACCTGCCCCCAATATTTCAACATAGGTTCTTTCTATTTTCCATAAGTGTCAGTCAGCTGAGAAATAGAGAAAGAGTACAAAGGGAGGAATTTTACAGCTGGGCTGCCGGGGGTGACATCACATATCAGTAGGACCGTGATGCCCACCTGAGCCTCAAACCAGCAAGTTTTTTATTAAGGGTTGCAAAAGGGAAGGGGGTGTAAGAACAGAGAGTAGGTACAAACATCACATGCTTCAAAGGGCAAAAAGCAGAACAAAGATCATATGCTTCTGAGGGAACAGGACAAAGGGCAAAAGCAGAACTACTAATAAGGGTCCAACAAAGATCACAAGACAAAGGGCAAAAGCAGAGCTACTGATAAGGGTCTATGTTCAGCAGTGCATGTATTATCTTGATAAACATCTTAAACAACAGAAACAGGGTTCGAGAGCAGACAACTGGTCTGACCACAAATTTACCAGGGCCGGGTTTTTCCCCACCGTAGTAAGCCTGAGGGTACTGCAGGAGACCAGGGCATATCTCAGTCCTTATCTCAACCACATAAGACAGAGCAGCCGTTTATAGACCTCCCCCCAGGAATGCATTCCTTTACCAGGGTATTAATATTAATATTCCTTGCTAGGAAAAGAATTTAGTGATATCTTCCCTACTTGCACGTCCGTTTATAGGCTCTCTGCAAGAAGAAAAATATGGCTGTTTTTGCCCAACCCCGCAGGCAGTCAGCCCATATGGTTGACTTCCCTTGTTCCCTAAAAATTGCTGTTATTCTGTTCTTTTTCAAGGTGCACTGATTTCATATTGTTCAAACACACATGTTTTACAATCAATTTGTACAGTTAACACAATTATCACAGTGGTCCTGAGGTGACGTACACCTTCAGCTTACGAAGATAACAGGATTAAGAGATTAAAGTAAAGACAGGCATAAGAAATTATAAAAGTATTATTTGGGAACTGATAAATGTCCGTGAAATCTTCACAATTTATGTTCCTCTGCTGCGGCTCTAGCAGGTCCCTCTGTTTGGGGTCCATGACTTCCCGCAACATCCAATCAATCCTCCATAATGGGCAAAGTGATCTTTCCATAGTGTAAATGTGTTCCCACCACTCTCTGGAGTAATCCTACTTAAAACCGTTTTCAGCACAAAATTCAAACATCTAAACATGATCTTGCTGGCTTTGCTTTTGTGGCTTTACCCTCTTTCTCCCCAAACCTAGCTAGTGTTTGTGCTGCCTGTAATGCCCTTCTTTCTTTGCAGGGGTCGCCACTTTAGGTCCTGGTCCTCCTTCAGAAAGTTTTTCCTCTTTCTCCCCAGCGGGGATAGGGTCTGTTTATTTTGACACCATTAGCTCACTTACACACATTGGTCACAAGTCTAGGCTGCACCGTTATTGAAAGTTTACCATCTGACTCTGAGTAGCTTGAGGATCCTATCAAAACTCAGGAGATGCTCAGTAAATGTTGATTGAACTATGACTGTTCTCAACATACAAACGCAAGATCATTTAGGAACACTTGTCAAAATGTTTTTGCCCCTTGAGATTCTATTTTGGGAGGTAAGCAGTGGGGGTCCAGGACTCTGCATTTTGACAGTCCCCTGATGTTTGCATGTAGAAGTGCAGGGATTATTACACTGACAAATCTTTACCATCCCTAAGGGGGACTTTCCTTCCCAGGGGCTATCTCTGGAAGCCCCTCAAGGATAGGGGCCGCATGCTGTTTCTCTAGGTCAGCAACTAAACCCAGAAAACGTTTATTGAGTGAATGATGAAACGACAGGTGAATAGATGAACGCAAGGTGTCGAGTTAACTATTCTTCTACACAAGTCCTAGCAGCTCCCATTGCTTCCAGCCGCAGAAATGGCCCCTGGAAGGCAAGTCTTCCAGCGAGTGGAGTCACTCTTAACTACATTTCCCAGGATTCCAAGGGAGCCGCGCGCTCTGCGCTCATCTTCCTACCAGAAATCGGCAAGTCACTGACCCTCGTCCCGCCCCCGCCATTCCCCGCCTCCTCCTGTCCCGCAGTCGGCGTCCAGCGGCTCTGCTTGTTCGTGTGTGTGTCGTTGCAGGCCTTATTCATGGGCTCACCGCTGAGGTTCGACGGGCGGGTGGTACTGGTCACCGGCGCGGGGGCAGGTGAGCATGCGAAGGTTGGAGGCCGCGCCCCTTGCTGAGGCGCAGCTGGCTGCTCTTTTCGGGCCGGCATACGCGCGCAGCCGCAGCTGAGGTCACCCCGCTGAGGTGGTGGGGAGGGGAATGGTTATTCTTGAGGCACCGCATCTCTTGAGGAGGAAAGAGCCGGAAACACCTGGTCTCTCAAGCAGGTACAGCCCGCTTCTCCCCAGCACCCCGGTGTGGGCTTCCCAAGGTCCTGCCTGAGAGGAGAGGCCAGGCTGGGCTGCTGATTGCAAAACTGGGTGAAAGTTCTCCCTGACCCTTATCTGTGGGCATCGATTGTTACTCTTCCTGCAATTAACTCTCTTAGATCTTTGCCTAGTCTTTTAAAGGACTGAAAAGCCGCGAGGGGCGGGGGCTGGAATTCGCCCCCTGAAGCGCAGAGATGTCAGCTCCTGAAAAGTCATTCGGTCGTTCAGTGTTTGTTTCCCTCTGTCGTAAGATTTTAAGTTCGTGAGAGGACCTTCTTTAAAGAGGGCGTCTGATAAGAGCCCTTCCCCGTTGGAGTTTGTATGCTTAGCAAGTCACAATCTGTTCTCGAAATCCACTGGAGTCTTGGCAGAGGTTGTAAGCTCAAATGCGCACAGGGGTCAGGCGTATGATGGAGAAAGAAAATGGGAGTAGGATGGGCACATCTGAGGAACTGGAGAGCAGAGAATTCCGAAGTGGACCGGCCAGTGGGAAAGTTGCCTGTATTTCAGGAGCGGCAAAATGGAAAATTGTTATGTGAAATAGCCCCATTTTTTAAAGTACAAAAAATTAAAACAAACCATTCATACCAACATAGATGCTGTGCAGTGAGATTTTACATTAGTTTCTCACCAGTGGGTGACCTCTGTAACCTCCAAGTGCAGGGATCTTGACATTATGCACCTTTGATTCTCCACTGGTAGTACCTTATACCTGGAAAGGCCCTAATGCATGAATTATTTGAGTTATATATTAAACGTTACAAACTGGAATTCTGTCAATTAATTCCTATGTACTTTCATATCTGTATTGATAAAGTGGCTTCTTATGCTGCCTTTCAGAAAATGCTTTCAGTGTTGATGAATAGCCAAGTATTTTATACCCATAGCTGTCTGGTTATCTCTGCATGGGCATGTATTTGGGTGTAGTCATACCTTCTAAATGTTTTTAGGAAAACATTTTGTTTACACTTTGCTTTTATTGTAAATAATGTATTTTACAACGCTTGGTGTTTTAAATCTTTTTTGACAGCTCTTGGATAATTTTCATGCAGGAGGTCCAGGGATTACATTCTAAGACGTTTTTGCCATCGCTAAGGAGACTTTCCTTTTCAGGGGCTATATCTGAAAATCATTCAAGGATAGGGACTGCTTCTTTTGACACCATTAGCATACTTACACATGGTATGCAGTACATTTTACACCAGTACTCAGTACACTTACACAAGCACATACATCTGTATTTAAAACCAGTTCATGATATAGTGTGTAGTACAGGCAATGCATCCTGAAATTTATTTTCTATTCTGTTTTATTTATAAATTGTAATTGTAACCCACAAAATTGATTTTGTGAAACAATGAGTTGTGACTAGACAGTTATGAACTTAGCACCTGCTGTTCATAAACTGGTTAAATTCTCTCTTACCCATTCAGAGTTGATTAAATTTTTTTTTTTTTTCAGAGCTAAAGGTTTTACTCTGTACCCAGGCTGGAGTGCAGTGACCCGATCATGGCTCACTGTAACCTTGAACTCCTGGGCTCAAGTGATCCTTTTGCATCAGCTTCCAGACTAGCTAGGACTGTAGGCATGTGCCACCACGCCCAGCTAATTTTTAAATGTTTTCAAGAGATGGAGTCTCGCTTTGTTGCCCAGGCTGGTCTCAAACTCCTGGCCTCAAGTGATCCTTCTGCTTGGATTAAATTCTAAAATAAGTTATTTGGTGAAATTTCCTAGTTTTGGAAAACTGTATATTTTTGGTTCTTTTTGTTTTTGTTTGAGAGGGAGTTTTGCTCTGTTGCCGAGGCTGGAGTGCAGTGACATGATCTTGGCTGACTGCAACCTCTGCCTTCCGGGTTCAAACAATTCTCCTACCTCAGCCTCCCAAGTAGCTGGGGGTACAGGTGCACACCACCAAGCCCAGCTGATTTTTGTGGTTTGAATAGAGACGGGGTTTCACCCTGTTGGCCAGGCTGGTCTTGAACTCCAGACCTCAAATGATCCGCCCACCTCTGTCTCATAAAGTGTTGGGATTACAGATGTGTGTCACTACTCCTGGCCTTGGGTTGTTTTTGGAAGGGGCTAATAATTTATGTATCTCAGTTTGTTATTTGTATACTTATTGATTAATTTATACTAAATATAAATTGTTAATTAAATTTATTCATTTGTCAATGAAATTTATCAATTAACTTAAAATGTAAAAAATATACACATATTAAAAAATGTAAACAATACAGAAAAACAATCCAGAAGTAAGCCTTCCACCCCTTATTGCTAGCCACATAGTTCTGTCCTCCAGAGGTAACCACTAATTGCCAGTTTCTAATGTGTTTTTCCCGAGATACTCTATGCCTATAAAACTTCTCTCTTGGCTGGGGATGGTGGTGGCTCACGCCTGTAATCCCAGCACTTTGGGAGGCCGAGGTGGGCTGATCACGAGGTCAAGAGATCGAGACCATCCTGGCCAACATGGTGAAACCCCATCTCTACTAAAAATACAAAAATTAGCTGGGCGTGGTGGCGGGCGCCTGTAGTCCCAGCTACTCGCGAGGCTGAGGCAGGACAATCACCTGAACCTGGGAGGTGGAGGTTGCAGTGAGCCGAGATCATGCCACTGCACTCCAGCCTGGGCGACAGAGTGAGACTGGATCTCAAAAAAAAAGAAAAAAAGCAAAACTTTCTCTCTCTCTCTCTCTCTCTCTCTCTATATATATATATATAATTTCTTTTTGGATATATAAATTTACACCTTGTAGCTTTGAGTCAGAATTAAATATTTTCTGTATTTGATGACTGTGTAGTCAGGGTTCACTGTGGGATACAGAAACCACTAGATATTTTAAGCAGCAAAGGATTCAATACAGGCAATTAGGTTTTAGGCAGGTCTTCTTAGAATAACTCCTGAAACAATAGGAAATTGATCCATTAGAGGAGGCAATACCTCTGAGGCTGTCATTGGAGCTGTGCCACAGCCCAAGTAGCACTGGCACTAGGGACCTGAAGTATGGAAGCTGCCATCCAGGGATTAGGGAGCTGAATGAAGAAGTCGCTGCTATAGTCAGTTTCTGAATACCTAGGAACTTTCAAGAAAACTAGCTTCTTAACAACAACAGCCAGAACTCCCAGTAAGGTGGTCTCTGTCTCACTTACACCTTCTAAGTTTTATGCAGATGCATCAGATGGTGGAACCCAATTCACAGCATCCTAGCAGCTAAGTAGAATGGTAGGAAGTGGTAGTAGAATAGGTGGAAAAATACAGTTTTAAGCTTTCCAGCCTCTGCAAGCAGAAGAGAGTGGATAGGTTGAGAATGTCAGTGATAGGATAGGTTGAGAGTATCATTAAAATGTAATTAATTGTTCACCAATTTCTTTAAATGGGGATTGAGTTGAGCGGACCAAAAAAATTATGCTGACATTTCTTCAACTTTCTGATTATTTTGTTTTTGATTAGGATTGGGCCGAGCCTATGCCCTGGCTTTTGCAGAAAGAGGAGCGTTAGTTGTTGGTAAGTTGGTGTGTTTTTCTTTTTAATCTGTAGCTGATAACTGAAATACAATCTTTACAAGCTATCTTTGTCTTTCTATCAAATAATTTGTCAAGGTTGAATTTTATTATTAATTTTTACTTTTGCCAGAAGGTTTTTACCCCGACTAAGGCTGTCTGTCTAAATTACTTTTAAAAGGGAACCAGTTTCACAGAATTCCCAGCTTAACAGAATTGATAACGAAGGGCTAGGGGGTAGGCATGCTGGCTTGTGGCTATAACTCCAGTGACTCAGGAGGCTGAGGTGGGAGGATCGCTTGAGACCAGGAGTTCGAGCCTGCAGAGAACTATGATTATACCACTGCACTCCAATCTGGGTGATGGCGCAAAAAAAACCCTGTTTCTCACAGAAAAGGGTGGGGACAAGCATTTATTGTATAAAAGGAAATTCTTGACTTCAGTAAATTGTAGGCTGTAATTTTTTGAGACAGGAGGTTTGTCTACTGGTGCGAGATCAAAAGAGAGCCCCTGTAAGTGTATTGATAAAAGTAAGAAATAACTGAATTTTGAGAACTGGAAGTTTGGAGTCAAGGAATCTAAAGTATGGGTTTCTTGACTCTTTCATCAAAACTTTTCAGCTGGAAGTGTTTTAAAAAAATTTAATTGAGGGGGCAGTTACATGAGTTTTTGTTTGTGGAGGGGTCAGATGGAAGATACTGTATTGAAGAATCCTAAAGGTGGGAGGTTTTAGTAATCTGCATGGTTTGGACTGATCTAATGTGCTTGACAGTTGGTGTGGACACAGAAACGAATTTGTCCACAACTGAGCCTTTCTGGGGAATAACTAAATGGGTGCTAAGTGCAGGGGGATATGTAGGACCCAGTACTTATTAGCATATTTCCTGGGATAAAACTGTGGGCCCACAATGATCTTCTAATTTCAGCTTTCTGACATCTTAACGAGGCAATACAGAGAGACGAATTTTCATCAGTTTGTTCAGGGAGACACATATAACAAAAGAGTAAGCAAGCAACCAGGTTTTCTAAACAAGCCCTAAGCAGAGCACTTGATACACTTTTCTCCTTCATTGTGGATGTGTAGCTTATCTTTATGGAAGGAACACTGACGCTTTGGATGTTCCTTGTTTAAGATCATAGGCACTGTCTGCTAATCCAATCTGCTTCTTCTGGCAGGGATGAATTTTGACATTGTATTATTTGGACAGCGAGTATATATTTCAGGCCCACTTTGTCAGATTTTCCCAAGAATAGCTCATGTTGAGGCCTAAAGACACATGCTGTTACTATTTTTAATTTTCCTTCCTTTTTATGTTGCTATTTAGTTCTTAATATTTTTACCTTATATGTTTTTATTTATTTACATCTTTTCTGCTCAATTCCATAACGGCAAGGATCTTGTTTTATCTTTTGTATCTACTAAAGGACCTAGAATATTTCTTTGTGCAAAGAAGGTACTTTGTTCATTGGTTCTTTTATTGTTGATATACTTTTCTGGGGGAAGGGTGTGTTTGAGATTGGTTGAATACATTTCTTTTTTTTGTTCTTGACTAAGATATAAACTTAGTTTATAAACCTGTTTTGTAAAAAATTTTATAACAGTGTGTTCCTGTGCATCAATTTTCCTTTATTTCCCTGTTCCCTCTCAATTTCTTAAATTCAGATTAGGAGTATTTGAATTCTAAGAAAAAATTAAACAGAGATGCTGTGTCTATCTATTTTGTCATTGCATTATTATAGTAGAGATGATAATTGTGTCAAGTCCTGATAAAAGTCCAAGAATATAGAAGAAAAATATTTCATAAACTTGAATGAAGAGCCAGATTTAGTTTAGTATTAAGGAGGAGAATTCAATCCATGTGGAAGTGCAGAAATTTTGACTGATGTTTTCTATTCCTTTTTAAAGTCTGTGTCTTACCTGTTAGCCTTTTTACATGTACACCATAGACACCGTGTTTCCAAGTTGCATCACACACACTAATTTTTTTTTTTTTTTTGAGATGGAGTCTTGCTCTGTTGCCCAGGCTGGAGTGCAGTGGCGTGATCTTGGCTCACTGCAACGTCTGCCTCCGGGTTCAAGCAGTTCTCTGCCTTAGCCTCCCAAGTAGCTGGGATTACAGGCGCCTGCCACCAAGCCTGGCTAATTTTTTTTTTTTTTTTTTTAAGTAAAGATGCGGTTTCACCATCTTGGCCAGGCTGGTCTTGAACTCCTGACCTCTTTTTAGAAGTGGCATGTCACTTCTACCGACATTTCATTGGCCAAAGGAAATCATTTGGCTAAGCCAAAAGTTAGGGGCATCATTTAAGATAGTCTCCAATTTTGTGTTAATATGATTGCTATGTTTTATATTCCATAATATAAAGCTTATGGGATATTTAAATTTGGTATAAGAACTGCTAAGCCTTAGGCTGATACTGTAAAAAGGGACATTTGCTTTTGTGTAAATTACATCTTTCAGGAAATGCTTGTGCATTTCTTAAGTAGGTTATTGGGAATTCAGTAGTTTTGAGGTTTCCTCAGTAGGTGAGCTATATCTAGTTCTCTGAATAGTAAGTTTTATTTTGAGGACATAAACACAAGAAGGACTGACAAAAAGGAGCAAAAAGAACTCCTTAGTAAAAGAAAGGGAGTTCTACTCTTGAACTGAAGTAACACCTTTGGGTAAATTGAATTACAATCTTTTTAAGTAAGATTGACATGACTTTTCCGTGCTACAGTTACATAATAATGGTAAAGCTGAGTCTTAACTTCCTGTGGCCTGATGCTAGAGCCATTGTTTTTAACCCCTATGGGATCTTGACAGCTGGAAGGTGAACTGTAGTGGGCAAGGTGCATTGCCTTTGAAGTCAGGCCAAGTTTTAAATCCTGGCTCTGCTGCCTAATTATATGACCTCTCTGTTTATAGCTGTCTTAGCTAACTTCCGGGATTATGGTGAGGGTAAATGACAAAAAATTAAAGACTTTCGGAAAGGGAAGAGAAAGGAACCAATATCAGTCCCTGCTTACCATATATGACTCACTCTGCTCAAGAACTGGATATATCAAAGTGAAGGTCTTGTTGACTGAGGTCTTGTTGACTCAAGGCACATCCTAGCCCCCTTATACATGTTTCTCCTAGATGCTTAAAGGAAAAGCTCTGTGTCTTAGTCTGTTTTCTGTTGCTTATAACAGAACACTTAAAACCGGGTAATGTATTTTAAAAAAGGAATTTATTTCTTATAGTTATGTAGGCTGAGTAGGCCAGTGCTGAGGGGCTACATCTGGTGAGGAGGGCCTCCTTTCTGGTGGGGACTCTGTAGAGTCCCGAGATGGCACAGGGCGTCACAGGGCAAGAGGCTGAGTGTGCTGGCTCTCGTCTCTTTTCCTCTTCTTATAAAGCCACTAGTCTCACTCCCATGATAACCTGTTAATTCATTACCCGATTAATCTATTAGTCCATGAATAGATTAATGCATTTATAAGGGCAGAGCCCTCACAATTCAATCACTTTTTAAAGGCCCCACATCTCTTTTTTTTTTTTTTTGAGAGGGAGTCTCCCTCTTTTGCCCAGGCCGGACTGCAGTGGCGCTATCTCGGCTCACTGCAAGCTCCACCTCCCGGGTTCACGCCATTCTCCTGCCTCAGCCTCCTAAGTAGCTGGGACTACAGGTGCCTGCCACCGTGCCCAGCTAATTTTTTTTTTTGTATTTTTAGTAGAGATGGAGTTTCACTGTGTTAGCCAGGATGGTCTCGATCTCCTGACCTCGTGATCCGCCCGCCTCGGCCTCCCAAAGTGCAGGGATTACAGGTGTGAGCCACTGTGCCCGGCCAAGGCCCCACATCTCTATACTGTCACATCAGGGATTAAATTTCAATGTGAGTTTTGGAGGGGCTAAATATTTAAACCATCCCAGGCTGCTTTAGGCACTGATACACTCTCCGCAACGGTAAGTATAGTACTTAGTAATCAAGAATATATACTGATTGAATAAGTGAAACTGATATAATACAGGGAGAAAGATCATAAGAAGGCACATGTGAATTCCAGCTGATAATAAATGAGCCGTACATGAAATACCCACATCTCCCTTGGATACCTCCATGACTATCACCAATCTGGATTATGGGGGAAAACCTTTGAATAAATTTAGAGTAGCTCTTAGCTATTTGTCATTTTAAGAGCTAGAGTAGTTCTTAGCAAGTCGTTATTTTGTCATTTGCCAGTTTTAAAAAAAGTAATAAGGTTAATAGACTTAACATCAAATAGATTCATTTATTCATCTAACATGTATTTATTAAGCGTCTATTATGTAGCAAACACTGTTCTAGATGCCAGAGGAATATAGTGGGAATAAAACAGAGTCCCTACTTTCATGGTGCATATATTCTAGTGGGGAGTAGTGGAGGGACAGATAATCAAGAAATACATATGTAAAAATATAATAGATGTAGGTGCTGTGGAGAAAAAAATGAGTGAATGGAACAGAAAATGCTTTAAGGAGAGACTGCAGGAAGTGAAGGAGTGCGCCTTGAGGAGATCTGCTGTCGCGGCATCCCTGGCAGAAGAAGCAGCTGAAGCCAGGTTACTGAGGCTGCAGCAGGCATGGTATGTTTTAGGGTTAGGAAGGGAGCCAGTGTGGTTATATAGCGAGCAAGGTCATAAGGGAGACAAAAGTGAGAGATGAGGGCAGAGGGGTCCTAGAAGGCCAGATCACATAGGACCTTTAGTTCAGAGTAAGGACTAACTTTTACCCTGAGATGGGGTAAAAAGCAATGTACATAATAGTCATCAAGTAATATTGATGCTCAGATATGAACTTTATTTCTCTCTCAACATTTCAGTAAAGGAATTTATGATTCATATCTTATGTAACAAAGAATTAAGATCTTTTATAAATAAAGGACATTTACAAATCTATAAGCAAGTATCCCAAATAAAATGTGAACTAAATAGGCAAAACAATAATAAATATAAATATAAGCCATGAAAATAAAATATTACTTTACTAGTGCTCAAAAAAATGTAGACTAAAATAATGAGCTACAAATTATAATCATGTAATTGTCAGACTGAAGGCAATGATAATAACCAATGTTGTGAGAATGTGGGGTAACAGGCATTCTCACAAACACGTGGTTCTATTTTCAGGCTATTGATGCCTGATAATTTGGTACCTTGTACTTAGTTATCTATTTACCTACTTATAGAATACTTTTTATCGGATCTAAGTGTGTTTTAGAATTCCTTGGATCCTGGCTGGGTGCAGTGGCTCACGCCTGTAATCCCAACAGTTTGGGAGGCTGAGGCAGGAGGATTGCTTGAGGCCATGAGTTTAAGACCAGCCTGGGCAACATAGCAAGGCCCGCTGTCTTTGCCAAAAAAAAAAAAAAAAAGCCACGTGTGGTGGTGCATGCCTGTAGTCTTAGCTACTCAGGAGGCTGAGGCAGGAGGATGGTTTGAGCCTGGGAGTTTGAGACTTCAATGAGCTATCATTGTGTCACTGCACTCAGCCTGGGTGACAGTGATACCCTGTCTCAAGAAAAAACGAAAAGGATTTCCCAATATTCGTACATTCCCAATATAGCACGTATTTGACAAAATTTTGGGAATGCTTTTTAGGAAAAATCTTCTGTAGTTAATAGACTGTCCGAGTCACTGATTTATTTAAAATGACAGAAACAAGGAAAAGATTTATGTTAAAAAAAACCCTCCAGGGTTATGAACTAGATTTTATATGGAAAATGTACAAATGTATCACACTTTGGAACATTTTGATAGTTTCAGCTGAAAAGACTTGACCCTTGACTATCATAGTCTTACCATTTTTTGCTACCTATTTGAAAGCTATTTGAGTTGGGTGGTTGATTTATCTTTTGCTTCATATCCTCCCCCAACAAATGTGATTTTTTTTTTTTTTTTTTTTTTTTTTTTTTTTTTTGCTTAGTGGAACTAATGATCTTTTTAGGGTAAAAGAAACTTGCTTAACACATTTGAGGAGCAGAGTGGTACTGTAGTAGGTCCAATTTCTAGTGTAAATTTTGCCGTTTCTTATAGACTTAGGGACCCGTGGTAGGATAATCTTTTCCAAACTGTTTTCTTATCTGTGAAAGTAGGAACAATTGTTACTGCCACTCTCTTAAAAAGCTATCTGGAGATTAAATGCATCAGTGTACATAGTAGTTTTATTGAAATGTGAAGTACACACATATCAGTATAAGTTATTATTATTACTACTAGAATTTTAGCTATACGTTTAAGTGGTAACAGTGTCACATGTTATGGATACAATTCTCTTTGTATATAATTGCAAAAAGTATTTTTAATGTTCTTTCTATATCTAAGCTTTTCAGCATGTACCAATGATTTTCTTTTCTTATTATTTTTAATTGACACATACATATTTATGGGGTACAGTGTGATATTTTCATACCTTTATACAGTGTGTAATGATCAAATCAGTAATTAGCATATCCATCGCCTCAAACATTTATCCTTTCTTTGCATTGGGAACATTCAAAATCCTCTCTTCTAGCTATTTGAAAATATAGTATAAATTATTGTTGGCCATAATCACCCTAGAGTACTATACACCACTAGAACTTATTCCTTCTATTTAGTTGTAATTTTGTATTGGTTAATCAATCTCTTCCTATTCCCCTCTTCCCTGCTACCCTTCCCAGCCTCTAGTAACCAGTATTATACTCTGTACTTCTGTGAGATCAACTTATTTAGCTTCCACATATGAGTGAAAACATGATGTATTTATCTTTCTGTGCCTGGCTTATTTTACTTAACATAATTTCCTCCAGGCTCATCCATGTTGCTGAAAATGACAGGATTTCATTTTTTTAATGGCCAAATAGTATTCCATTATGTATTGTGTGCCACATTTTCTTTATCCATGCATCTGTTGATGAACGCTTAGGCCGGTTCCATATCTTGACTATTGTGAATAGTGCTGCAGTAAACATGGGAATGCAGATACCTCTTTGACATACTGATTTCCTTTCCTTTGGGTTATATATACCCAGCAATGGGATTAATTCATATGGTAGTTCTGTTTTTAGTTTTTTTGAATAACCTCCATACTATTTTCCATAATGGCTGTACTAATTTACATTTCCACCAATAATATATGAGAGTTTCATTTTCTTCACATTTTTGTCATCCTTTGTTATTTTTTTTTTTTTTGCCTTTTTGATAGTAGCCATTCTAACTTGAAATGATCTCATTGTGATTTTGATTTGCATTTTCCTCATGATTAGTGATGTTGAACATTTTTTCATATACTTCTTGGCCATTTATATGTCTTTTTTTTTTTTTTTTTTTTTTTTTTTTTTAAGAAAGAGTGTTACTCCGTTGCCCAGGCTAGAGTGCAAGTGGTGTCATCTTGGCTCACTGCAGCCTCCACATCCCGGGTTCAAGCGATTCTCCTGCTTCAGCCTCCTTAGTAACTGGGACTACAGGCACCTGCCACCACACCCAGCTATTTTTTTTGTAGTTTTAGTAGAGATGGGGTTTCACCATGTTGGCCAGGCTGGTCTCAAACTCCTCATCTCAAATGATCCGCCTGCCTTGGCCTCCCAAAGTGCGGGGATTACAGGCGTGAGCCACTGCACCTGGCCATTGAGAAATGCCTATTCAGTTCATTTGCCATTTTAAAAATATACTGTTTATTATTTATTTATTAGGATTATTTATTTTTTATTTTTGGTGTTGAGTTTTTTATGTATTTTGGATATTAATCTCTTGTTGGATGAATAGTTTGCAAATATTTTCTCCCATTCTGCAAGTTGTCTCTTCACTGTTGATTGTTTTTTTGCTGTGCAGAAGCTTTTTAGTTTGATCTAGTCCCATTTGTTTATTTTTGCTTTTGTTGCCTATGCTTCCGAGGTCTCATTTATAAAATCTTTGCCCAAACCAATGTCCTGAAGTGTTTCCCGTATGTTTTCTTCTAGTAGTTTCATAGTTTCAGGTCTTATGTTTAGGTTTTTAATAAATTTTGTGTTGATTTTTGTATATGATGAGAGGTAGGGGTCTATTTTCATTCTTTTGCATATGGATATCCAGTTTTCCCAGCACCATTTATTGAAGAGACTGTCATTTCCCCCACATATGTTCTTGGCACCTTTGTAGAAAATCAACTGGTTTTAAATGCATGGATTTATTTCTGTGTTATCTATTCTGTTCCATTGGTCTATGTATCTATTTTTATGTCACTACCATTGCTGTTTGAGTAGCTATAGCTTTTTTTTTTCTTCTTTTGAGACAGCATCTCGCTCTGTCGCCCAGGTTGGAGTGCAATGGTGTGATCTCGGCTCACTGCAACCTTCACCTCCTGGGTTCAGGTGATTCTCCTGCCTCAGCCTCCCGAGTAGCTGGGACTACAGGCACCCGCCACCACGCCCAGCTAATTTTTATATATTTTTTAATAGAGATGGGGTTTCACCATGTTGGCCAGGATGGTCTCGATCTTTTGACCTCATGATCCGCCTGCCTTGGCCTCCTGAAGTGCTGGGATTATAGGCGTGAGCCACCGCGCCCGGCCTTTGGTAGCTCTAGCTTTATAGTATATTTTGAAGTCAAGTAGTGTGATACTTTCAGCTTTGTTCTTTTTGCTCAGTATTGCTTTGGTTATTTGGGATCTTTTGTGGTTTCATGTGAATTTTAGGATTTTTTTTTTTTTCTGTTTCTTTGAAGAATATCACTGGTTCCCTGGTTGTCTAGTGGCTAGGAACAACAGCAAAAAGAATGCCACTGGCATTTTGATAGAGATTGCATTGAACCTGTAGATCACTTTGGGTGGTATGGCCATCTTAACAGTACTAATTCTTCCAATCCATGAATGGGTTAATTTATTTCTAGGTACTTTATTTTATTTTTCTGGTGATTGTAAATGGGATTGCTTTCTGGTTTCTTTTTCAGCTAGTTTGGTATTGGTTTATATGGTATGGATGTTTTTCTCCTCCAAATCATGTTGAAATGTGATTGGCTTAACACCAACCCATTGGTGATAAGTGAGTTCTTACTCAGTTCATGTGAGATCTGGTTGTTTAAAACAGTCTGGGACCTCCTTCTCTCTCTTGCTGCCACTCTTGCCATTGTGATGCACTTGCTCCCCCTTTGCCTTTTGCCATGATTGGAGGCTTCTTGAGGGCCTTACGAGGAGTAGATGCTGGAGCTCTGCCTGTACAGCCCACAGAGCTATGTTCCAATTAAACCTCTTTTCTTTGTAAATTACCCAGCCTCAGGTATTTCCTATAACAATGCAGAAGTAGCCTGACACATTGGTGTATAGAAATGCTACTGATTTTTGTATGTTGATTTTCTATTCTGCAACTTTACTGTATTCATTTATCAGTTCTAAGAGTTTTTTGATGGAGTCTTTAGGTTTTTCTATATGTAGGATTGTGTCATCTGTAAACAGGAACAGTTTGATGTCCTTCTTTTTAATTTGGATGCCCTTTGTTTCTTTCTCTTGCCTAATTGTCCTGGCTAGTACTTTCAGCACTATGTTGAATAAGAGCGGTGAAAGTGGGCATTTTTATTTTGTTCCAGTTTTTAGAGGAGAAGCTTTCAGCTGTTCCCTGTTGAGTGTGATGTTAGCTGCAGGTTTGTAATATATGACCTTTGTTGTATTGAGGTACATTCCTTCTGTACCTAATTTGTTGAGAGTTTTTATCCTGAAGGAATATTGAATGTTACCACATGCTTTCTCTTGAGATGATCAGATGGTTTTTTTCTCCTTTGTTTTGTTGATGTGATATCACATTTATTGATACACATAACCATCGTTACATCTCTGGCTAAATCTCACTTGATTGTGATATATTATCTTCTAATTGGATTCAGTTTGCTAGTATTTTGTTTAGGATTTTTGTGACTGTGTTCATCAGGGATATTGGACTTCAGTTTTCTTTTTTTTGTTGTTTTGTCCTTGTCTGGTTTGGGTATCAGTATAATGCCCACCTCATAGAATGAGTTTGGAAGAAATCTGTTCCCTCCCCCTTCAATTTTTTGAAATAGTTTGAGAGGAATTTGTATTAGTTCTTTAAATGTTTGGTAAAATTCAGCAGTGAAGCTGTCTGTTACTGCTCTTTTCTTTCTTGGGAGACTTTTTATACCCGCTTCAATCTTGTTCTTTGTTATTGACCTGTTCAGATTTTCTATTTCTTCTGAGTTGAATCTTGGTAGTAGGTCATATGTCTATGTCCAGTTTTCCTCCAGTTTGTTGGCGTAGAGTTGTTGTAGTAGTCGTTAATGATCTTTTTTATTTCTGTGGTATCAGTTGTAAATGCCTTTTTTTCATTTCTGATTTTATTTGTGTTTTCTCTTTTTTTCTTATTCTAGCTAATGAATTGTCAGTTTTGTTTATCTTTTCAAAAAACCAACTTTTTGTTTCAGTGACCTTCTGTAATTTTTTAGTCTCAATTTTGTTTATTTCTTCTCTGATCTTTATTAATTCTATCTACTGATTTTGGATTTGGTTCTTGCTTTTCTAGTTCTTTTAGATGCATTTTTAGATTGTTTATTTGAATTCTTTCTACTTTTCCAATGTAGGCATTTATTGCTATAGGCTTTCCTCTTAGTACTGCTTTTGCTGTATTTCATAGGCTTTGGTATATTGTGTTTTTATTTTCATTTGTTTCAAGAAATGTTTACATTTTCTTCTTAATTTCTTTGCTACCCGTTGGTTATTCAGGAATATGTTGTTTAGTTTGCATGTATTTGTACTGTGTCCAAAGTTCTTGTTATTGATTTCTAGTTTTTCTTCATTGTGATTAGAAAACCAAAATCATATCAAATAAAAAATTTATTGAGGCTTATTTTGTGGCCTGACTTATGGTCTGTTGCGGAGAATGTTCCATGTGCTGATGTGTATCTGCAGCTGTTGGATCAAATGTTCTGTTAACTTCTATTAGGACCATTTCATTTCTAGAGCAGTGGTCTTTTTGGTCCATTTTGTTTATAGAGCAGTTTAAGTCCAAAGTTTCTTTGTTGATTTTCTTTCTGGATGATCTGCCCAATGCCATGAGTGAGGTATTGAAGTTCCCAACTATTATTGTGTTGAAGTCTATCTTTCTCATTAGATCTGGTAGCATTTGCTTTATATATCTGGGTGTTCCAGTGTTGGGTGCATATATATTTACAACTGTTATGTCCTCTTGCTGAAATGATACCTTTATCTTTATATAATGACCTTGTTTTTCTCTTTGCACTGTTTTTGACTTAAAGTCTATTATATCTGATGTAAGTGTATCGTTGACTCTTAAACAACATAGGTTTGAATTGTGCAGGTTCACTTATACATTTATATTTTAAAAACCAAACATCAATAGAAAATACAGTATTCATAGGATATGAAATTTGCATATATGGAGGGCCTACTTTTTGTATACGTGGGTTTCACAGGGCCAACTTCAGGACTTGAGTAGGCACAGATTTTGATGCACGTGGAGTGTCCTGGAACAAATGCCTTGTATATACTGAGTTATGAATGTAGTTATTCTGCCTATTTTTGGTTTCTATTTGTATAGAATATCTTTTTCTGTCCTTTCATTTTCAGTCCATGTGTGTCTTTACAAGCAAAGTGAGTTTCTTGTAGGTAGCATATAGTTGAGTATTTAAAAAAATCTATCCAGCCAATCTCTTTATCATTTAATTGGGAAATTTAATTCATTTATATTCAAGATAAATAGGCAAGAACTTCTGTCATTTTGTTAATTGTTTTCTGTTTTTTTTTGTATGTTCTTTGTTCCTTTCTTTGTCTTTTATTGTCTATCTCTTCAGTTTGGTGGTTTTTTTGTAGTGATGAAATTGGATTCTTTTCTCTTTCTCATTTGTGTATGTGCTCTGCCAGTGAGTTTTAAGCTTTCATATGTTTTCATGATGGTAGTTCATCCTTTCACTTTCAAGTGTAGGACTCCCATAAGCATTTCTTTTAAGACGGGTCTAGTGGTGATAAATTCTCTCAGTTTTTTCTTGTCTGG
Organism: Homo sapiens; assembly: GCF_000001405.40. NCBI lineage: Eukaryota > Metazoa > Chordata > Mammalia > Primates > Hominidae > Homo > Homo sapiens. The sequence goes on from NC_000005.10 coordinate 119,468,336, forward strand.
GAAAGACTTTGTTTCTCCTTTATTTCTGAAGGATAGCTTGCTGGAGTAGTGTTCTTGGCTGGCAGGTTTTTGTTTTTTTTTTTCTTTCAGCATTTTGAATGTTATCATTCCATTCTCTCCTGGCTTGTAATGTTTCTGCAGATAAATCTGCTGTTAGTCTAATAAGTCTTATATGTGACTTGATGCTTTTTTCTTGCTGTTTTTAATATTCTCTTTTTGTCTTTGACTTCTGACAGTTTTAGGAGAATGTGCTTTGGAGAGGACATTTTTGGGTTGAATCCATTTGAAGACCTTTGAGTGTCCTGGATATGGATGTCCATCTTTCTTTCAGGACTTGGGAGTTTTCAGCTAAAATGTTTTCTATGCCCAACTTCGCTCCTTCTGTAACTCTCAATATGTAAAAATTTGTTTACTTAATGGTGTCCCATTACTACCATAGGCTTTCTTCATTCTTTTTTATGTTTTTCTCTTTCCTTTTTTTTTTTGTCTGACTGGGTTATTTCAAAAGTCCTGTCTTTGAGTTTAAATATTCTTTCTTTTGCTTGATGTAGTCTGTTGTTGAAGCTTTCAATTGTATTTTTAAATTTCATTGATTGAATTCTTGTTTTTTTTTTTCTTTTTCCTATCAGTTGGGCAATGTGCTTATTTCATGACAACGTTTGAGGGAGGCATATCTTACACGAGTGTGAACACTCAGTCATCACACTTTATTCATTGTATTCTTAAGCTCTGTTTTTTTTAATGATATATATATCTTTTTGTTGAATTTCTCATTTAGATAATGAATTGTTTTTCTGATTTTCTTGTATTATCTATCTATATTTTTCTTGTATCTCACTGGATTTCCTTAAGATCATCATTTTGAATTCCCTTTCAGGAATTTCGTAGATTTTCTTCTATTTAGGTTTGTTACTGGAGAGTTGTGTTTCTTTGGAGGTGTTGTGTTTCCCTGTTTTTCCATGTTTCTTTTTTTTTTTTAACTTAAAAAAAGTGTTTAAAGAAAGGTATCTATTTTTATTTCTTTATTTATCCACCTAGAGACAGGGTCTCACTCTGTTGCCCAGGCTGGAGTACAGTGGCGCGGTCTCGGCTCATTGCAACCTCTGCCTCCTGGTTCAAGCAATTCTCCTGCCTCAGCCTCCTTAGTAGTTGGGACTACAGGTGTCCACCACCACGCCTGGCTAATTTTTGTTATTTTTAGTAGAAATGTAGTTTCATCATGTTGGCCATACTGGTCTCAAACTCCTGACCTCAAGTGATCCACCTGCCTGGGCCTCCCAAAGTGCTGGGATTGCAGGCGTGAGCCACTGCACCTGGCCTGTTTTTCCATGTTTCTTTTGTTCCTACATTGATATTTGTGTGTCTAGTAGAACAGTCGTATCTTCCCCTTTTATGAATTAACTTTTGTAGGGAAAGACTTTTTTCTCTATGTATCAGTTAGGTTAGGTGTTTGGTTTAGCTTCTGGTTGGGCACAGATGTGTAATTGCCTTGTGATTTCTTTGGCTGTAATCAACATCAACAGTGTCTGTATGTGCCTCAGTGGCCTTGACTTTGGGGTTTGTGGAGACAGTGGCATGGTTTTGCTGGGAACAGGGATTGCCAGATGGGTTAGTTGTCTGTCCCTGGTGGGTGAGCATGGTGCATGGTAGATCCTCCATGGGAGGGGGAAGGGTTGCTGGTGGTGTCAGTTGTCTTGGTCCATATGGGGCACATGTGGCACATGGTTGCTCTACTGCTAGATAGGTCATGGTTGCTTGAGGTGATAGATGCTGGCCAGGCTAATTCTCAGTCTCTGGGGAATGCGTATGTCAGCCTTTCTCTTCCTGGTGGCAGCGTCCCCATTGTACTTGAATGTCTGTTTTTTTTTTTGGAGTGTAGGGTGCTGCATGGACTCAGGTGCTGAGGTCATAGTGGTACCACTGAAACTAGCTGGGGTCATGATCCTGCAGCCTTCTGTGTGGGCATGGTGGGATGATGGCAGATGGCACCCCTAGGATGTGGAGGTGTCTGGGCTATTGGCCTCCAGGTCAGAATGCACACCAGCAGTGGTTCCATTACCAAAATGGTGTCATACTGTAACAGCTTGGGTCTCATGGGATAGGGAGGACTCAGCTTGTGTTTCTTTTCAGGAGCAATTCAGCTGTGTATACTCCAGGCAGGTTCCTATACTGAGCTCAGGGTCTGTGATTACAGGTATTTGTGATGGTAATGGCGACTCTTGGGTGTCCCCCACTTAACCTTTTGCCCACAATGGGAAGTCCCTGTCAGCTCTAAGCTGATTCCATCTGGATGCTTCACTTCCCCCTCTAAGCTGCCATGCAGAGTTTCTGTGCCTCAGAGGGTTTTTGTCACTTCCTTGCTGAATTTTCATGTTCTCTCTTAGACATTCTACCTGAAGTGCTGTTATTTGTTGTTTTGATTCTTCTCTGCGGAGGAGACAAGGATTGGGCACCTCTAGTTGGCCATCTTGATGACATCTAACCAGTATTTTCTAGTTAAGATTTTAATTTCTGTGATTTCGCTCTGGTGATAATGGGATTGCTGAGTGGGTCAGTGTCAATTTAGTGGTCTCTAATGTAGAGATTTGTTTGAGATAAATTTACCCCAATATTATTTAACTACCCATGATTGATCTCAATAAATTATTTATCCAGCTTTCAATGCTTGCCTGCCTGGTTGCGCTTTGTAAAATTTCCACTTGGGGGTAGTGTTTCATTGCACAATCAAACAATGCTTTCTTCACTTAAGTATCACGTTTTCTAATTTGCTTTTGAACTTTCTTGTGCTTAAAAAGGGTCATAAAAGACTGTTAACTGTCTTAAAATCTTGATTTTTTTAACTGGTTGTTTCCTGTCATTTGAATAATTGCATTGAAATGAACAATTAATAAGAATTCAGTCTTTTGAGAATCCTAACACTTTTTCCATCTCTTGAGGGATAATACAAGCCTCTTTCTATTATTTTGTGTCTTGTAACATTTTTATTTTCAGTAAGACTTATCATATTATACTATCAAAAAAAAATCTCAGTCCACATTTTGAAAAACTCATTTCCTGTTTTTAAAAAGTTAAGTGAAAATATATATGCCTTAGCTAATTTTAGGCATTGGCTTTTTCTCCATATTATCCCATTACTTATTTATCCAATTCCACTTTCAACTCTCACCCCAGTTTTAAAAAGAGCAGTTTTTCAGAAGAAAAAAAAATCTTGTTTAAAAAAAATTGTGTTAATCATAACTATTACATTTTCATGTATACCATTATGCTATTTATTAATTAGTAACTTTTTTATTGTTACAGCTTTCAAAATCTATGCAATAACCCTATGGAGAAGATCATTTCACAATGCAGATTCTTTGTTTCAAGTAATTCTCTTAAGTTCTGTTTTTCCAAGTTATTTGGCATTTATCTATGTATCTTTTTATTAGTTTTTGCATGTTATTTTGTAAATTTTTTCATAAATTATTGTGTAAATTAACTTTGATATTTGTTCTTATTTGATTATGTTGGCTTGGATATACACTTTATGCTAAAATCTGTGTATTACTGTGGCCATCGCATACTTAACTTTCAATAGATTATAAACTCTTTGAGGGCAAACACCATTCTTATACATTTGTGTGTCCCTCTGTAGATTTTCCTGCAAATAGTAAATTATCAATTAATGTTTGTAAATATATAATTGGATATAGGGAGATGTTTTATGGTAAGTGTCATCAGTTAAACATATGAACATGGAGTTATGGTATAAATTAGTGACTAAACATATATTGGTTCTGTATGTAATTTTTGACCTCTTTTGAGAAATAGTTTTTATTTCTTTCATTTTAGACACTGTGTGTTGTAAAAACTTAAAATATGATTTTCTAATATTTTAAGCTCATGCGTGTTTCTTTTAAAATCACCATTCTTATACATAAAGACTTTCTTATGGAGAAGATATTTCAACATTGTGTGCTTAATCTTTAAAAACTTTTTTATTGTGGTAAGAATACTTATGACATCTATCCTCTTCACAAGGTTTTAAGTGTACAATATAGTATTGTTATAGGTATGTTGTATAGCCGATCTCTAGAACTTATTTATCTTGCATAATTGAAATTTTTTTTTTTTTTGAGACAGAGTTTCCACTCTGCTGCCCAGGCTGGAGTGCAGTGGCACGATCTCAGTTCACTGCAACCTTTGCCTTCTGGGTTCAAGCGATTCTCCTGCCTCAGCCTCCCGAGTAGCTGGGATTACAGGTGTGCATCATCACGCCCAGCTAATTTTTGGATTTTTAGTAGAGACGGGGTTTCACCATGTTGGCCAGGCTGGTCTTGAATTCCTGACCTCAGGTGATCCACCCGCCTCGACCTCCCAAAGTGTTGGGATTACACGCATGAGCCACCGCGCCCGGCCCAACGTAATTGGTACTTTATACCCATTGGTTATCAACTCTCCATTTCCAGCATCTCACTAGTTCCTGGCAACCATCATTCTATTTTGTGATTCTATGAGTTTTGATATTTTAGATACCGCACATAAGTGGAATCATGCCAGTATTTGTCCTTTTGTGACTCACTTATTTCGTTTAACATAGTGTCTTCAGAGTTTATTCATATTATCACATATTGCAGTATTTTATTCTTTTTAAATGCAGAATTACGTTTCATTGCTTGTATATACCCCATTTTCTTTATTCATTCACCTATCCATGGACATTTAGGTTGTTTCCACATCTTAGCTATTGTGAATTGTGTTGCAGTGAACATTGGAGTGCTAATATCCTTTGTTATTTGAAGAGAATTTCAAGTCAGTTTTTCTTCTGATTTCAGTTCTTTTGGATAAAGATGTGGAAGTAGGATTGATCGATCTTATAGTAGTTTTGTTTTCCTGTGTATTTAATCTTAAAGCGATTTTCACATTTTTTCTTTTCTTTTGCTGAAAAGTGGATGAATCTTTTTTTTTTTTTTTTTTTTTTTACTTTTCTTCCCTGCTCCTTTTTTTTTTTTTTTTTTTTCCTGGAAAGGGTCTTGCTCTGTTGCCCAGGCTGGAGTGCAGTGGCATGATCATAGCTCACTGCAGCCTTGATTTCCCAGGTTCAAGCAATCCTCCCACCTCAGCCTCCCAAGTAGCTGGGACTACAGATACATGCCATAATGCCCAGCTAATTATTTTGGTTTTTAGTAGAGATGAAATCTTGCTATGTTGCCCAGGCTGGTGGTCTTAGACTCCTGAGCTCAGGTAGTCCTCCCACCTTAGCCTCTCAAAGTGGTGGAATTACGGGTATAAGCCACCATGCCCAGTCTTCTTTACTTTTTGAAAGAGGAAAAACACTGCACAGTTAAAAATTTCATGAGAACAACCTGTATTTAAATAGTTTTGCTGTTTCTTTATGTCTGTATTCAAAAATGAAGAGGAATGTTTTGAAAATGGCTGTGTTGTGTTTAGTAAGATGGGATAGGGTAGGAAGGAACTGGGCAGATGACTGAAGAGATGTGCTAGTAATTAGAATTTCATTTTCCACACACACACACACACATTTTGAAAGTCTAGAATAATTAATTGTTGTTTGCTTGTTTTTGCATTACAGTGAATGATTTGGGAGGGGACTTCAAAGGAGTTGGTAAAGGCTCCTTAGCTGCTGATAAGGTTGTTGAAGAAATAAGAAGGAGAGGTGGAAAAGCAGTGGCCAACTATGGTATGGTATTTGAGAGAACTATACTATTTATTTTCCTTCAACTAATGCTATTTGTCACATTAATAATCTTTGAGCAAATATCTCAGTATTCCAGTATAATTATGATTTTCTAAGTCTGCCAAAGTTTTCTGACTACATATTTTATATATGTGAGAATTGTTAAAACTTTTGATGTAGACTATTTCATGATTCTAAGCTTTGTTCTATTGTTTACTATTTTTATTAGTGAGCACATGATATAATTAGTAAATTATTGTAGATATGGATATGTTCTTCTGAGTTCTGTTGGGTGAATAGTATTTGTCGTGTACTCTGACCCACAGAATTTAGAAGTCCTTTGGAAGGGAGGTTGCCGAAATTTCATACAAATTTTCCTTTCCCTCAGATTCAGTGGAAGAAGGAGAGAAGGTTGTGAAGACAGCCCTGGATGCTTTTGGAAGAATAGGTGATGTTTCTTTGTGTTATGGCTCTTGTGGAGCAACTTCTACCTTCCTAATGAAATATTTTTAAGTTGACTTTCATTTACTAAACAGATACCTCTTTCCTCATAATCACATTTTAAAATTTGATTTATAAGTTAATTATTGTACTTATTTCATAAAGGGTTTAATTGAGGTGGCAATTTTATGGATATAGTGTTGAGTTTGTTTTTTTGCACCTTAAGTGCTTTAAAAAACTTACGAGCGTTTACTCAGTGCCCTTTTTAAAATAATTCAGTTAAACCTCAAAGATGTTTATAAGATTAAAAAATAAACCAATATTTTGGCAATAGAGTACCCAGTGGATTCTTTTGGATAATTATAATAATTTGGATTAAAATAATCCAATATCTTGCAAATTACTTAAGATGATTTCTCTATAATAAAAATCTTAATTTTTAAGAAGTATTTCAAATAAATTGTTGAGTTTGTTATTTCTGTAGCTAATCTTCCCAGTTTAGTCCCACACACTCTTAATAAAAGATTATTTAACTACTAGATGGAGACATCACGGAACATAAGCCCAACATGTTTACAATCTGAAAAACATTACTTATTCTTAATTGAATGTGCTCTCCCTTTTTTGTTTGGTCTATTACACTTATTTTTCTAATTTTGTTTGATTGAACTCATAAGAACCATGTTCACATATCGTCTGACAGGGATAGAAACCACAAAAATGTGAAATCATAGGGTGAAAATAGCCACAAGAGGGTTGAACCTTAAAAAATAATTATTTTCTTTCATAGTGAGAAAATAATTATGTATCAAGATAAGGCATCAGTTTGTAACTCTAATGGTTTTCTTTTTGGACTTTTTACTTTTGAGTGGCAAGGGAAAAATGTAACTTTAACTTGCTAAGTGAATTTTGAGGTTAAGTGTAGAATGGCTTATGGTTCTGATTCCTTAGAACCTAAGAGTTGTAAAATGGCTAATTCTATAATTAAGTGGATAGAATTTTGATAGAGAGGTGGGAAAATTTATAGATGTTAGTTTGAGAGGAAGGTGCTTGATATAATGTGATACTTAGGCTTTTGTGAGTCAACTTTTTTTGATATAGGTATAGACTTTTGTTTTGAAAGCACTCTTTACCTATTATATTTACTTTTTCATGGTTAAAAAACGCCAGTTTTGAGAGAAATGTGAGTTGTAAGCAAATGCAAACTAATATGCTTGCTTTTAGATGTAACTTGTATCTTTTTATATTGTAGATGTTGTGGTCAACAATGCTGGGTGAGTATTTCTTTTTCATTTTTAGTGATGTGTGTATAATTTTTTTAAAAAGTATATACTTTCCTCCTTTTACCCTATACAACATTGATTTTTTAGAATTCTGAGGGATCGTTCCTTTGCTAGGATAAGTGATGAAGACTGGGGTAAGTTGTTTTTAGTATTTCTCTGGGGAACATACTTATCCATTTAGCCTTTTTAGTATTTGATAAATTTATACATTTAAGGAAAAACCTGCTTCTATCTACTTTTGCTGCTAATATAAATGATGAGTAAACTGTATACTGAAGACAATGAATAGTTAGAAGTAGCCTCTTTTAGAAAACATTTAATACTTTTAAAAAATGTTAAATCATTTGTTTAGAAGATATCTAAAAGGATTTTATTTCTTCAGGTTTCCCTCTCCCCTTTTTTTCTCCTTAAGAGGTTGTCAGCATTTTCTAGAGGTATTAACTCTTAACAGCCTTTAACGTGCTTATCCAGCTGTGTGAATCTTTTTCAAGAACAGGAGCAGGATATTTAAGGGAGTCTAGTGCACTAAAAATGATGGAGATTTTAGAACAGGTTAGGACAAAACCTGGATATAATTTTGAAGCTTCTAGTAAATAGGAAAGTTTTCCATTCTTTCTGAATTGGAAAGATTGAGTTTAGATAATGAACAAATCACAGTTAAGAATTTTTTTTTTCTTTTGCTCCTCTTTGTGCTTACTTTCATTGGCCATCAGAACTAAAATGAACAGTGGTGGCTGAGACAGAGGGAAGCATGGCAACTGAGGTGAAACAATTGTATCATTGTTTATAGAGTGTGTTTTGGGGGAATAGTGCCTGACTGTCTTTTGGAAGAAGAGTTAGTGTCTTTGATTTAGAATTAAGCTAAGAAGAGCTTTTAGTTTCTGCTTCCCTTGTAACAACTGGGGTAAAAAAGAAGCTGAGAAAGATAGGATTTGCTGGCAAAGGGGGCCTATGTTGGTGCTTTTCTTGGTGCTGCAACGGGACTGAGGTATTTCCTTCTCTGATTCCATCCTACTAAGCCACTACTCCTGACTACCCTTCTCCCTCTCTTTCTTTTTTTTAGTTCCTTTTTTCACTCTTACATTCTTCTTCTAATATACACATGAAAACATTTGTTTTACCAAAAATAAGTAAGAATGCTTAAAAAACTTGACAATTAAAATCTAGAATTGTCTGTCTGAATGTTTCATAAGTGGTCTGTTCGTTAGATTGAAATTTGTGAAAACAGGCCTCTCACTAACTCATTTGCAAATGGTAACAATAGGGATCTAGTGAGTATTTTGTAAATATTTCTTAATGAGCTATGTGATTTATGATTATGCCTTAACTGATGTTAGTGTTGGGTGCCAGTTATATTTATAAAAATCTTGGATTTTATATTAGCAAAATTTTTATATGAAGTAGGCATAAAATAAGGGCGTAGCATTATATTTAGATGTGTATAGGCATTACATTAATTTTACAAATTATGAGGAGAGCTGTTGTAGTTCTAAGTGTGAAGTATTGATTAGTAGCATAACTGGAATAAAGGCAAAATACTCATTGGGGTGTGACAGTAGGCAATTTTATACATTAGGTATAAAATGAACATCTTTGTATAAATACAACATTGCTTATGTTGATTCTTAGACATGCCTAAGTTTTTACAAAATATTTAATAAAAATAATTTATTGTTTTAGATATAATCCACAGAGTTCATTTGCGGGGTTCATTCCAAGTGACACGGGCAGCATGGGAACACATGAAGAAACAGAAGTATGGAAGGTAGAGTTGCATGTGGTTGTCAAGGGGGATTTAAGATGTTGTGTCTGGGGGTTCTTGTGTACAGGGAAAGATTATGTGAAGTGTTGTGAAATGATTTATGACATTGAGGAATATGTACAACCTTTTAACATATGGTTTTGGCACATACCCTCATTAAATTGGTATAATTTAGTCACAGATTGGCTGAGCTGGAAAGCTTTATATTTATTTTTTACCTCTTTTTGTTATTAAAGATTTTCTTGCTGCTCTCTGGCAATTTTTATTTTATTTTGAGACATAGTTTCATTCTTGTCCAGGCTGGAGTACAGTGGCATGAACATGGCTCACTGTAGCCTTACCTCCTGGGCTCAAGCAGTCCTCCCACCTCAGCCTCCCAAGTAGCTGGGACTGCAGGTATGTGTCACCATGCCTGGCAAGTTTTTTAATTTTTTGGTAGAGACAGTATCTCGTTTTGTTGCCCAGGCTGGTCTCAAACTCTTGGGCCCAAGTAATCTTCCTGCCTTAGTTTCTGGCATTTTAGAAGATAGTATACACATTGAGGATTCGGTTATACCTTATTCTGTAACCCGAATATTATTTCATGTCTTACCAGCTGGGGAGAGATGAATGGCTAGTCCCTGCTGGCTGGTGCTAGTCAGACGTGAGTTAGTCTTTATAAACTGTTTAGGAACTGTAGGACCCCTCATGATTGCTCCTAGATAAGTAACTCATTGTGGCAGTGCTAGTATGCTTTAGTCCATGTCCTCTGTTGCACTCTAGTGCTGAGGTCATTCCTGTTAATTTAGGATTCATACATACCTAATAGAAGCAAATTGCTTGTGATGCCTGTTTTTGTTGGAGATTTCTAGTTTATCCTGGTCCTGACAGTTTCTGAAAATAAATAATATGATTTATTTTACTTAGCCTAAGTAGAGTGAGTGAGGTTGGGTCAGATTTTGAGATGGCATTGTTTTAATGAGGCATTTAATATTATTCAGAAAGGGAGAGAGGCAAAGTGATGAGGACTGAAAAATTAGAACTGTTCGATTTAATATTTCTTGCTAAAATTTTAACTTACATGTTACCAGGTTATTTTATGGTTGTAAAGCATAAGTCTAAGATCATTTGGTTCTGGCCAGAGAATCTTTTTAAAACAGTTAAATCTTGTAGTTGAATTTTGAGAGATTACTTATATATTAATATTATTTTAGTTACATAAATCATGATCGTAAGAAGCTAATGACAGTACACATAGTTGCTTTTGATAGGTGCAGTAGTACCAAAACAGAGTTAGAGTTGCAATGTTATCAAATTATGGAAAAGATGATATTGAGAGATTGATTTTCTTTTTAGGATTATTATGACTTCATCAGCTTCAGGAATATATGGCAACTTTGGCCAGGCCAATTATAGTGCTGCAAAGTTGGGTCTTCTGGGCCTTGCAAATTCTCTTGCAATTGAAGGCAGGAAAAGCAACATTCATTGTAACACCATTGCTCCTAATGCGGGATCACGGATGACTCAGACAGTTATGCCTGAAGGTAAGTAAGCAAGCTTATATTTTTCAGTGCTGTTACTTACAAACCTATGTGGAATGAGCTTTACAAAAGTATTTAATTTTCTGAATACTTAAAAATTATTATTTTTTTCAATTTCGAAAGCATTATCTGTAAATTGTGTTCATTGTGGAAAATTTAGAAAAGCACAAAGGAAAAAATAAAAAATGACCCATAATTCTACCACATCGATAAAAACTTTCATTCTTTTTCTCTGCATATTCATAATTTTTTTTTTGTTTTACACAATGGGGTAATATTCTTCCTGTTTCATAATAATTATTGTAAAAATACATTATTTTTTAGAGCAGTTCTAGATTTACAGAAAAATTGTACAGAGAATTCTTCTATACTTTACCTCCCACAGTTTCCCCTGTTATTAACATCTTTGGTCAGAGTGGTATATTTATTACAATTGATGAACCAGTATGGAGCCGTTATGATAAGCTAAAGTTCGTCGTTTACACTGGGATTCACCCTTTGTGTTGTACAAATGTATGGGTTTTCACAAATGCATAAAGTTATGTATCCACTGTTATAATGTCATGCAGAATGGTTTTACTGCCCTAAAAATCCCCTGTGCTTCACCTGTTTGTCTCTCCCCTTTTCTTCCTGAATTCTCAGGGATTGAAGCTCATTTCTTTTTATTTTTCAGTAATATTCCGTGGTATGAATGTACTACAATTTGTTTATTCATACACCTATTGGGGGAGATCTTGGTTGCTTCCAGTTTTTGGCACTTATTAATAAAGCTGCCATAAGCATTCATGTGCAGGTTTTTGTGTGGACATAAGTTTTTAAGTCGTGTAAATACCATGGAGTGTGATTGCTGGATGGATGCTATGATAAGACTAGGTTTAGCTTTGTAAGAAATTGCCAAACTATCTTCCAAAATGATTGTATCATTTTGCATTCCCACCAGCAATTAATGAGAGTTCTTGTTGCTTCACATCCTCGCCAGCATTTTTTATTGTCAGTATTTTGGATTTTAGGTTTTCTAATAGATATGTAGTGATATCTTATTGTTTTAATTTGCACTTACCTAGTGACATATGTTATTGAACATTTTTTTCCTATGCTTATTTGGCATTTATTTGTCTTTTTTGTTGAGATGTCTATTCACATCTTTCACCCATTTTTAAATTGGATTGTTTGTTTTCTTGAATTTTAAGGGTTCTTTGTATATTTTAGAAACAAGTCCTTTATCAGATATATGTTTTAGAAATTTTTTTTTCAGTCTGTGGCTTGTTATCGGGGTCCTGCCCCGATAATTACGTAGGTTCTTTTCTATTTTCCTAAGCATCGGCTGGCTTGAGAAATAAAGGGACAGAGTACAAAAGAGAGAAATTTTAAAGCTGGGTGTCCAGGGGAGACATCACACATTGGTAGGATCTGTGATGCCCCACAAGCCACAAAAACCAGCAAGTTTTTATTAGGGATTTTCAAAAGGGGAGGGAGTGTGTGAATAGGTGTGGGTGACAGACATCAAGTACTTAACAGGGTAATAGAATATCACAAGGCAAGTGGAGGCAGGGCGAGATCACAGGACCACAGGACTGAGGCGAAATTAAAATTGCTAATGAAGTTTTGGGCACCATTGTCATTGATAATATCTTATCAGGAGACAGGGTTTTGAGATCAACCGGTCTGACCAAAATTTATTAGGTGGGAATTTCCTCTTCCTAATAAGCCTGGGAGCGCTATGGGAGACTGGAGTTTATTTCACCCCTGCAGTCTCAACCGTAAGAGACAGGTACGCCCCGGGGGGGCCAGTTCAGAGACCTACCCCTAGGTGCGCATTCTCTTTCTCAGGGACGTTCCATGCTGAGAAAAAGAATTCAGCAATATTTCTCCCATTTGCTTTTGAAAGAAGAGAAATAATGGCTCTGTTCTGCTCGGCTCACCAGCGGTCAGAGTTTAAGGTTATCTCTCTTATTCCCCGAACAATTGCTGTTATCCTGTTCTTTTTTCAAGGTGCTCAGATTTCATATTGCACAAACACACATGCTGTACAATTGGTGCAGTTAATGCAATTATCACATAGTCCTGAGGCGACATACATCCTCCTCGGCTGACAGGATTAAGAGATTAAAGTAAAGACAGGCATAGGAAATCATAAGGGTATTGACTGGGGAAGTGATAAGTGTCCATGAAATCTTTACAATTTATGTTTAGAGATTGCAGTAAAGACAGGCATAAGAAATTACAAAAGTATTAATTTGGGGAACTAATAAATGTCCATAAAATCTTCACAATTCACGTTCTTCTGCCATGGTTTCAGCCGGTCTCTCTGTTTGGGGTCCCTGACTTCCCTCAACACCTTGTCTTTCTATTCTCTTAATCTCCTTTACTTTTGAAGGATAAGTTCGTTGGATACAGAATTCTCTGTTGGTGGCTTTTTTCTTTCAACACTTTAAATACAGGCATATCTTGGAGATGTTGCAGGTTTGATTGTAGATCACCACAATAAAGCTAAGATTGCAATAAAGCAAGTCATATAAATTTTTTGGTTTCTCAGTGCATGTAAAAGTTATATTTACACTATGCTGTAGTTTATTAGATGTGCAATAGCATTATGTGTAGATCTAAACCATATACATGCCTTAATTAAAAACCACTTCATTGTTAAAAAATGCCAGTATGGATAAATGGAGTGAGCACATGCTGTTGGAAAAATGACACTGATAGACTTGCCTGATGTAGAGTTGCCACAAACCTTCAATTTGTGAAAAACGCAATATTTGCATAGCATGATAAAGTGGAATATAATAAAATGAGATATGCCTGTATTTCACATCACTTTCCTCTTGGTTACATGGTTTCAGAAAGGAAGTGTGACATAATTCTTATCCTTATTCCTCTATAGGTAAGGCATTTTTTTTCCCCCTCTGTCTTCTTCCAAGATTTTCTCCTTATCTTTGGTTTTCTGCAGTTTGCGTATGATGTATTTAGGTGGAGATTTTTGATATTTATGCTGCCTGGTGTCCTCTGAGATTCCTGTGGTTTGGTGTCTGTCATTAATTTTAGAACATTCTCAGCCATCACTCCTTCAAATACTTCTGCTTATTCTCTTTTTCTTCTTCTCGGGTTCTCATTGTATGCATGTTACATCTTCTGTAATTGTCCCACAGTTCTTAGATATTCTGTTCCATTTTTCTCATTCTTTTTTTGCGTTTCCGTGCAGGAAGTTTGTATTGACATATCTTCAAGGTCACTGATTTTTTCTTCATTTCTTTTACGATGGTTTTGATTTCTAGCATTTTCTTTTAATTTTTTTTAGAGTTTTATCTCTCTGCTTAAAGTAACCATCTGTTCTTGTGTATTATCCACTTTTTCCATTAGAGCCCTAAGCACAGTAATCATAGTTATTTTAAATTCCTTGTCTGGTACTCTCCAAATCTCTGCCATATATGAATCTGGTTCTAATGTTTGTCTCTTTAGCCTGTGCTTTTTCTTGCCTTTTAACATGGGTTGCAATTTTTTTGTTGAAAGTAAAAAATAATACTATTGAGTAATAATAGCAAGTGAGATTAATAGGCTTTTAGTGTGAGGTTTTATGTTTATCTCGTTAGGAGTTAGGCCGTGTTTATTATTTACTATAGCTATGGGTATCACAGGCTTCTGTTTCCTCTCTGTTCTTGTTTTTTTATACTCTGTTGTCTTTGAGTTTCCTTAGAAACTCTTTGTTAAGTAGAGTTTGTATCTTGCAGCTCTCACTTGTAATTGTTATTATACTGGAGCCCTGTTGATGGAGTGGTAAGGTATTGGGGAGGGGAAGTGTTCTGTACCCTTATTATTAAATCTCCATTTTTTGAGTGGGTCAGAGTCCTGGGTTGGGACCTTCAGAAGACTTTTTTAGCCTTTTTTTTTTTCTTTTTTTCTTTTCCTTCCCTTATTTGAGATGGGAAAGCTAGAGAAGTTCCAACTGTCTAATCACTCTTCCCCTAGGTCAGACAAGGCTCTGGTAAAGTAGTTTCTCTTCAGAGCAGGCCTTAAGTAGAACAGAATACTCTGGGCATATTTCAAAATGGTTTCTTCCCCCTTGTCTTGTCCAAAGCATGAGGGGATTTTTCTCTGATCTTCACTGTGTGATGGGAAATTCTGGAGGTAAAACTTATAAAAGTGTTGGAGTCTCCTCCTAAGATTGGGCCCTCCTAAGATGAAACAAGTCCACATTCAGCCTCTAGCAATTTGTCGGTTACTGTTTAAGTGTTCTAACTGCTTGGGCTCTGGGGGCTTCTATCTCAGTAAGCTGGGTTTTCTGAATTTGCCTGTGTCTCCAGTTTTCCTGATGGTGGTTTGCCCTGTGACCTGAATTCTCTGGTGCTGATAAGCAGAGTTGTTGATTTTTAGCTTGTTAAGCTTTTATCTTGGTTTGAGGATGGAAGTAACAACTTCCAAGCTCTTTTTATGTTGGAGTGCAAACTGGAAGTCTAATTATTATTATCTTTTCCCATATCATGAACATTTTCCCATTTAATAAAATAGTGCAGGGTATCTTTTAATGGTTGCATTGTATTTTACCTTATTCATGTTCCATAATTTTAAAAAATGCTTTTTATGGTCATAGTTTCTTTGTGTAAAAGGAAAGACTTTTTTGTGTAGCTTTCCAATATACATAAGAGTAAAGAAAGTTAAGAACTGTTTGTACCCATCGTTCAGCTTCAGCAAATGGTCAACAGCCAATTTTGTTTCATTTTTTGATCACCTTCTCCCTTTTCTTCTGCATTATTTCAAAGTAAATCCTAGACATTATATTTTATCTAATGAACACTTGGAAATGAATATCTAACAGATATGGACATTGTAACCATAATGCCATTATCACAACCAAACAAAATAACTTGCTAATATTACCTACCAAATTCATATTAAAATTTTCTAGTTGTCTAGAAAGAGATATTTTTCGAGTTGGTTTATTCCACTAAGGATCCAAACAAGGTCCACAGACATTTTTGTTGTTATAGCTCTTAAGTTTCCTTTAAAACATAATAGTTCATCTTCTCTTTTTTTAAAAAAAGTCAAGCTGGACAGGGTGGTTTGTGCCTGTGGTCACAGCTACTTGGAAGGCTGAGGTGAAAGGATTGCTTGAGCCCAGCAATTCGAGGCTACAGTGAGCTACGGTTGCACCTCTGCACTCCAGCCTGGGTAATGGACTGAGACCCTCCCTTAAAAAGAAAAAAAGCTGTTCGTTTATTCAAGAATCTAATTCTTTTGTTCTATAGACTATTCCTCATTCTTGATTTGGGTTGCCTTTTCACCTTTGTGGAAAATCAATCGACTGCTTACACCTGGGTCTATTTCTGGCTTCTCTGTTCTATTCCATTGATCTGTGTGCCTGTCCTTTCAGCAATATTATGATGTTTTGATTACTCTAGTTTTATATTAAGTCTTGGAATGAGATAGTGTGAGTCTTTCCACTTTCTTTAAACATTTGAATGGATAATTGAGAGCCTACCTTTATTTACTTATGCAATATATATATAATAGTTGACTATGGAGAACTGTGGCTTTTGGTACTCTTGGTTTTTATATATTTCTGAAAAGAAAATCTACATAATACTTTAAAAGTAGCTTCTGTGAAAAGGTACAAAATAATTGATGAAATTATTTTAAAATAAGCTACTCCATGGAACACAAATACTTATGGTACCATATATTTTCCACATTTGAACTAACATTCATTTTAGAACTTGGGATTTGTAATACTACAGCAGTACTTTGCAGTCTTTGCCAAGAGCTGTGTCTAACCAATTTTCTTTAGTGTAGAATACCTATTTGGACCTGAGATCTAATTTTTTCCCCTGTTTCCTTGACAGCAGAGCCATTTTTAAAGCCTCTTATTCTTTAAAAACTCTTTATGTTCTCATAGTCGTGTCAAAGGAATTCTTGTTGAAGAATCATATTATGTGAAAGATATATAATTTATTTGTTTCAAGTATGATACTATATAGACACAAAACAGTATAGGTTATAGATAAGAAATAAAGCATGAAAATGTAATGAATATTCATGAACTCACTTCTCAACCCAAGAATTGGAACATTGCCAATAACTTGCATCTAACTTTGTACCTTCTTTCTACCCCCCTGCTTCATACCAAGAGACAAACCACTAGTTAGAATTTGTGCTGATCATCCCTTTGTTAGATTTTTACCTTTAGTCACTTTTTGCCATCGGTTCTAGACTTTTTGGGAAGCCGTACGTTTTCAAGAAAGTACTTAAAACTTCAGATTTTAAATTTGTTTTTCTTTGGGAATATGGTATCATTTATTTGAACAGATCTGGACCACTAAAGGCATTAGGTAAATGTTTAATCCTTTATGCCTACCATGCTCTAGTAAAAGAAGTTTAGAAAATAAAGTCTACTTTAGACAAATGACTTAATCTTTCTGGATCTGTTTTCTCTTCCACAAAGTAAGAAAGTTATAGATCATTTTTAAATTTCCTTTAATTTTGGGACTATTATTTCTAGTCCTAAAATTCCATTATTTTTATTCTGCTTTTTTCTTACTCTTTTATAGTTTAGAATATCTGAAAATTTATTTTGATCTGAAGCTTTTCTTCTCCTCCTCTAAAATATTTCCTTATGGGCAATTAAAGGAATTATTTGTTAAAGAACCAGATATTATGAGTAATGTGTGGAGACATTTTTGCTATTTCATTTCCCCTTTGAAATACACTTGATACGTGAAAAATAATGTGTATAACTTACATGTTTCTTACATGAAATAAAATAAAACCCTATAATGAGTATCCAGGAACTAACTTTCCAAGCTGTATTAGTTATTTACTGCTCTGCAGTAAACTACTCTAAAACTTAGTGGATTAAAACAGCAAACATTTATTATCTCACTCAATTTCTGGGGTCAGGAATTTAGCCTGGCTAGGAGGTTCTGCTTCTAGGTCTTTAATGATGTTTTAATTAAGATGTTTGCTGGCACTGAAGTCATTTGAAAGCTTGGCTTGGAGGATTTACTTCCAAGCTCATTTGTGCACATGGCAGTTGCCAAGAGGCCTCCGTTCCTTCCTACCTGTTGTCAGGAGGCCTCAGTTTCTCACCATGTGGCTTTTCCATAGGACTGCTCTTGACATGGCAGCTGGCTTTCCCCAGAGCTAACGATTTGAAAGAGAGGGTCACCAAGACAGAAGCTGCAGTGTCTTTTATAACTTACTTCAGAAGAGATGTACCATCACGTTTGTCCTATCCTGTTGATCACACAGACTAGCCTTGGTACACTGTGAAAAAGGACTACAAAAAGGGATAAATTAAAGGACATGGGGGTCATTGGAGGTCATCTTGATGACTTGCTGTCATGCAGCCCCCAAACTGGAGCATTTCCATAACTTGTGTCTATTTTTGTTACCTTTTTACCTCACCCCATTTCTTCCCCCAGGAGGTAATCACTTAAAGAGAATATTCATTCCCTTACCTTTAATTTTTTTTAATAAAAATTGCATGAATAAACACTTTATTGTTTGGTTTTCTTGTTTTTGATCTTTATGACATTTGTCATTTAAAAAAATTTGGGGGAATTGTACTTTGTCTTTCCATGCAATTTTAGGGCTCTAAGATTTATATAAAGCTGTAGCTCATTCGATTATATTGCTGCAAGACTGTTATGTGAATTTACTTAATTATTATTAATGAACATATCGGTTGCTTTTTAATTAATCTGCTTTTATTCTTGTACATGTGTTCTGGATTACAAGAACAAGAATTTTTCTAGGATATGTACTTCAAAGTAAAATTGTTGAGTCAGGAAGGGTACAAATGCTAATCAATAGTTAACTTTTCTTTATAATATATTTTAAATTCCAACATTTCTATTCCATTGTAGTTCAAATCTGCTGTTTCTTTTAACTTTTACTCATAGTGGCTTCCCTTCATTGTGTGCTTGGTGATTTCTAATTACCAGCTCTTTACCTGATCTTTTTCTGTATTTGTTCTGTGTTCTAAATTGGCAATGTTTTCTTCAGAGAGGATCTGTCTTTGCTACTGCTGATTACCAGGAAGCATAGCCAATTTTGTTCTGCTTCAGTCTTCCTTAAAAGTTGAAGTTCAGCGTAGAACAGTTTAGGTTTAGGACCCCATCTTGATGCTGGCCTATCTCTGAGTACCTAGGTATCAGTATTGTTATTTGTATCATTCTCAGGGCAACCCTGCCTTCCCTGTAGCATGTAGCACTAGGGACTCTTTTCTATTTTTTTTTTTTTTTTTTCTGGTTGGAGGATACCTTCTTTATCTCAGTAATGCTTTAAAAGAATCTCATTTCTGGAAGCAGAAGTATTCCTCAGAGTACTTGGCTCACTGTAATGCTAGATATCCTGACATCTAGTATTGTGGAAGAAACACTGGGTTGAGTAAGTAAACCTTTCTATTTTTGATTTCATATAACTTTATATCTTAATAGCTATGGGACTTCTCTGATCTTTTATTTACTCTCTTAAGGTTGGTTTTTTATTTATAACATTGAGTTTAATAGATGCTGGCTAACCTAGGAGTTTGAGAATGAACTGGAAAGCAAGAATATTTGCTTATATTATTAGTGATAATATATAAAATAAACTGCAAGGCAGACGTATTTTTTTGTATGTGGCTTATGTTCTTTTCTTTTTTCTCACGTAAGGTAATAGATACTCTGTTGCATTTTATAGATATGTTTATTTCTCATTCAGTTTGAAGTTAGCCAACTCAAATATCCAAATCCCTGTACATAAATATCCTTTAACATTTAGTTTTGTCAATTGATGTATGGGAAATTAGAGGAATGTTATGTATTGAGATGAATGGATATTTAAGTTAATAATTTGTTTTAATGTACAATTTGAGATGGTTGGAGTCTTCCTTTTGTTTTTTCCTCGTGCATATAATGAAAAATGGAAGACAGGGTGCCATTGGAATGCTTGTGTACTTTTGAGAGCTTTTAGAGGCTATAAAGTGAAGAGTTTTTGCAACTACTTTTTAATTTACAGGACTATATACACCATCTTTTTTACTTTAACACATTAATACAAAATTGTATTTTGTCATTTCACAATTTTTGCATTTATTTGATCTTTTAGATAAAATTGTATGATTTGTAAGACACAAATTGTATCTCATTTGAGCCTTGGAACAACTTGGTGGAATAGGAAGCAGAAGCATTTAAATTACTAGCTTACTGATGAAGATACAGGCCCAGGGAAGTTGAATGATGGGCTCAGGTTCCTAAGTTGCTTGCATAGCAGGTTCAGTACCAAAATCAAAGTCTTCATGTTCTTCATGTAGTACCTTTCTGCTTCACCAAGGTACTCACAGAAAAGGTGCAGTGGTAAAGAGAAGTTGGCTAAGGGCTACGAAAGTAAGCTTAGATAGAAGGAATAAATTCTAGTATTTGATAGTACAATAGAGAAATTATAGATAACTATAATTTATTGTGTATTTCAAAATAGCTAGAAGAGAAGATTTATAATGTTCTCAACACAAAGACAAGATAAATGTTTGAGTTGATGGATATACCAGTTACCCTGATTTGGTCGTTACACATTGTATAAGGTATCAAAATATCACATGCACCTTCAAAATATGTACAACTATTATATATTAATTTTTAAAAAGTTCAAAAGGTAACATATGCAGTGGGAAATTAGTTCTTATACTTTGTGCACTCACCAGTGATGTCTTCAAGGTCTATTTCAATCATTATCTGCCTACCCTGGTGGTCTAGTGGTTAGGATTCAGCACTCTCAATCATTATTTGCCACTGTAATGGTCTAGGCTGTTTTGTGATTTTCTAGATTGTTGTTAATAGCTGGGAGAGTAGAATAATTTTGGGAATGAATGGTACCCAGATTTCTCATGTTAAATACAGTTTTGCTCACCAATCTTTGTCTAGGCAGTTCTAACTTTTCTTCTTCTGAACAGTATTAATATGTTACTCATCTTGGAAAGGTGTGTCTGATACTTACAATTTTAGAAGCTTGAGAGCCCTTTAGAAATGGCTCAGTTGAGATTACAAAAAGTTCTTCGCAAAGACTTAAATGTTAGACTAGTTATATACATACTAATTTTGTTCCTATTTTAAAGGTCTCTGAATTACCTATAATTTTATAAGTAAGAAATTCTTAGAAAGTAAAATGATTGATAAGATATGTGTATATTCTTTATTTCAGATCTTGTGGAAGCCCTGAAGCCAGAGTATGTGGCACCTCTTGTCCTTTGGCTTTGTCACGAGAGTTGTGAGGAGAATGGTGGCTTGTTTGAGGTATTTGCACCTTCCTGTTTTCTCTTATTAGTTTTCTCCAGTTGCTTACATTTGTAAAAATCTGTACCAGTGGACATCACTTGTATATTTTTAAATATTGTGTCTATGTTATAATTAAAAGTGTTGACTAATATCCATTTTTTGGAAAGTAATAGTAACTTTATAAATTCTGTTTTTACTTAGTTCTACATTTGTAACATTCCTACCAAATGAAAATGTGGCTGGTTTGATCTGTTCGGTCAAAATGTGGGGAATTTCATTATTTAAGAAGCTGAATGATAAGGTGGAAAGATGAAGCTTGGAGTTTAGAGTCAACCAGGCCAGATTTTGAATTCTTATTCTGGGAATTGCAGATTTGACCTTCGTGAGCTTTAGTTTTCTGGGGCTTTCTTGTGACAACTACAAGTCATATTTTAAACCCTTGGCATAAGGCCTAATACATAGCACTCAACCACCAATTTTAATTATCAGTATAGCAGGAATTTAATCTTGTGTGATAGGTCAATAAATATAACATTATTTATTTTTACATAAAAAATGAACTTTTCTGTTTTTTTTATTGCAGAGCTTTAAATGTTTATTATAAAAATAATTATCCACACATAATCCCATCATGCAGTGAGATCCATTGTTCACTCTTTGATGAAAGTTCTTTTAGACCTTTTAAAGCCAATTTATATATTTTTGATTACTCATTTGAGTTTGATCTCTTTTTTCTAGCCTAAACTGTTGTATATTAGACCCCCCCCCATTTTAAATTATCTGTGGTAATAATGAACCTGTTGTATACAGAACCTGTTGTAAACCTGGCTCAATTTAAAGTGAGGGATATATTAGCTTATTTCATTTGAATGAAAAGCTGATGGGTAAGTTAAGACAAAAAAAACAGTTTGCATATCTCTGAGCAGATATATGCACCTCCACTTTCCTAATCACAGCCATTGGGTGTGAATTGTGGCATAGTAGAGGTAGAAAGAACTTTACAACTCTGTTTTATAGAAGAGGAAAATTTAATAATCTCAAGCCATCTGTAATTCAGAATTTTGCCTGCTCTACTTTTACCTCATTAAGGAATTTTTAAAAACTATTTATCTTTTACAGTTATGTTTATTACTAACTTTGTGAACAAAAATAATATGTGCTGTTTGTGAAAATTTCGAATATATAAGACCATATAAAAAATAAAATAAAAATTGCCTACATTATCACTATCCAGAGAGAACTAGTATGAATATTTTTATGTTTTTCCTTCCAGTCTTTTATTAGATATGTGTTTTATTTTTTATTTTTATTTTTTTTGAGGCAGAGTCTTTCTCTGTTGCCCAGGCTGAAGTGCAGTGGCGTGATCTTGGTTCATTCACTGCAACCTCCGCCTCCCGGACTCAAGTGATTCTCCTGCCTTAGCCTCCTGAGTATCTGGGATTACAGGCACCCACCACCAAACCCAGCTAATTTTTGTATTTTTAGTAGAGATGGGTTTCACCATGTTGGTCAGGCTGGTCTGGAACTCCTGACCTCAAATAATCTGCCCGCCTTGGCCTCCCAAAGTCCTGGGATTATAGGCGTGAGCTACCGCACCTGGCCTAGATAGGCGTTTTATACACCCAAACACACAGACAATTAGGATAATGCTGCAGATGAAGTTTTGTTATGTTGCTGTTTTCTTTTACTATATTGTGAACATTTTTAGTGAGGAACATTTAGCATGCATGATTGATAAACTATACTAAGAGCTGTGCATAATATCCTGACTTAAACCTTGAAAGTAAATTGCCACTTTTTGAAGTTCTGATAGATATCTAGAGTGGCAGATACAAATATTTTTTGGCTCAGCTGGAGCAATTGTTTTTAGCACCTGAGAGGAACTTGTAGCTTATTACTTCGCTTCCAAAATACAGTAAAAAGTGGTAGTTATTTTGCCTGTTATCAAAACCACTGCTGATTTGTCTAGTGTAACTTTATCAAGGCTGACTGGTTGTATCATAAAAGGTGTAGGCATATTAATATAGAGGCAAAGGATGATGAAAAGCCACACCCTTGAACTTAGAGCCACTAAGATGTCTGCTGATACATTTCTTCTATCATATGCATATGAAATTTTTGTGGTAAGTTTGGGTACACTGTAGTTGTGGTGTTTGAAGTGACAAACAGATTTTCTTTACATCAGACTCATCAGACTTTTTTTTTTTTTTTTTTAGGATTTTTCTTGAATGACCTCTAGAAAAAATTATAGCAGTGAAAATTTATCTTTCTGGGTAGCAGTTATTATTTGGTCATTTGTCTTATCTCTGCATAAAGATGTTTCATTAAAATGAGTATATGTAGTTCACTAAGTCAAATACTCATTTTATTTGGCTTTGGTTTTCTTTGTAATTCAGTAGGTCCTTCAAGAGGGACATTTATTTGGATCTCATGATATGCTAGGCAGTGTACTATTTATATTGTTTGCTTCATGGTAACCACATGAAATATGTACTGTCATTTTTATTTTACATTTGAGGAAACTTGGATCACATAATTTGGCCAGGGTAGTCAGTAGACAAATTTGTATCAAGCCTTGGTCTCTGACATCAGATTCATTCTTTTCTATTACATGCATTTCTACTTCATTGTACTGTTTTACGTTTGTGCTCCGATAACATGAGCAGTGCAAAGTCATGGGGGCCAGTGGACTCTTACAGAGCTGTATTATTTTCATCTCCTGTTGCCTTGAATTCTAATACTGCTAGTAGAGGAGCTGACTTTTTTCTAATTAAAACAATTGTATTAGTGATTTCACATTAGATGGTATAATGTTTTCCCCCTCTTTTTGGTAGGTTGGAGCAGGATGGATTGGAAAATGTAAGTCTCTCTCAGTTTTTGGTTTGTATAGATTATTTCCTTATCTTTAAACCTACATATCCAGTTGAGATGGGTAAGATTTTTGTCAAATGCCTAACCATTGGATATAGTGCTTGCATATTCAAACTTAAACATTGCTATAGCAACAGGTATTTTTAAACATTGTGATTGTCCTATAGGTCTGTGGCCCTTTCAAGACCCTATCTATTCTTCCTGTAGGTAGTCCTTATTCAGGACTTGTCCTGTTTTATTCAGAACTGGCTATTCCTTCAGACAGCATATATTGATAATCATCCTCCCATGTCTTTGACTTCCCACATGCTCGTTCTTGCTGTTTCAGCAGAGAAGTGAGTGGGAGGGAGAGCTGTTTTGGAAAAAGATGGGTTGAGCCTATTCTAGAGCAGCAGGCAAGTTCTCCAATTTTCCCATGTAATTATTTTCTTCCATGAAGCAGGAGACGTCAAGGGGAGTGAGGAATCACATTGGACAACTTACTGGGACAGAAATTGCAGCTGATCTATGGGAATTATTCCGCTTTAGCCCAATAGTTATTTTAGATAGTAAAATTATTTTAAATAGTTATTTTAAATAACTATTTAAATTAAATATTTTAAATAGTTAAATAGTAAATTTACTTGGCTTCAACCCTCTCCTACCCCATCTCTCAAACCTTGTGAACTCCAAATTTGAGAATTGCTTTATGGCATTAAAAAAATTGTGAAAATTTCTGTGTCTCAGCTTATATTTAGTTGGCTATGGGTATCAAAATTAATCCAATTAACTGAATCAGTTAAAAGGTTGCTATCTCTGGAGGGCATTGCTGTAGTAGTATAATATTTTTAGAATTAATGGTCATTTTCTCTAATTGTTAAAGTGGCTTATATTCTTGAAGCATTTTTGAGTGTCTTATTGCATTCATTTAAAAAAGGAACATAAGGTTTTGCAGTAAAAGCTATATCTGGCACTTTATCAATAGGAAAGCTCTAGACACAGGCATTTCTGTCATTCCCAAAGACAAATCTTCAGTTTAACAATCATCAGTGTCTGACTATTATGTTTAAATAAGGTTATTAGTAGTTGTTTATACCTCTGGTTTTTAAAAAGAAAACAATGTTAAAAATTCTCCTTATGCAGCAGTAATGGTTTTTATGAATCTGTGCATTCTAACTGACTTCTTGTGGAAATAGAGGTAGAGCAAAGAGAAGGTAAGGGAGAATTATTTGGGGCCACCTGTTACACTAAATTTTTGTTAACTGAAGTCTTTGACCTATTATTTACTATTAGTCTTCAGTTTGCTAACTCAGCGAAGCTCTATTCAGTTATCTTCATTTTATAAACAAGAAGAATGAAGTATATTACTTTGGGGATCTGTGGTCATGAAGTCAGTCTTTTGATGTGATTATTATATAATTAAACTTTTTCACATACAGCATAACATTCTACCTTTAGTACTGTCTGGCATAGTCAGAGGAGAAATTTTTCCCTTCAGCTTCAAATGTTTCTTTAAATTGACCTTATCCTAGTGGGTTTGTTGGGAAAAATTCATTTTAAGGCTTATGGTAAAACTCTTTAGGAGTTAGAATCCCTTTTTTTCTGAATTTCCTTTCTCTTTAAAAATGAAAGGGTTCTTATGCATCTTACTTTCTGTCTCTCAACTATGTGCTCAGTATGTTAGTTTTGTTTCTATAACCAGTACGCTGGGAGCGGACTCTTGGAGCTATTGTAAGACAAAAGAATCACCCAATGACTCCTGAGGCAGTCAAGGCTAACTGGAAGAAGATCTGTGACTTTGAGAATGCCAGCAAGCCTCAGAGTATCCAAGGTAAAGAGAGTCCCCGTCACTTAGCCCTGGTTGGGGAATCAGAGGCAGCAAGCATTTTCTTCTCTTATGTAGTTGTCTTCTATGTTAACTGTAGTGTTAAGACACTTGAATCGTCTATAGCATATTTTCTGCTCTAGTAGGTATTAGAATTCTTCACATTTAAGATATTTATGTTATTCTCACTGTCAGTTTTTCAGCTTTATTATAATCCTGTTTTTTGGGTTTATGTGTGATTGGGGGATGGATGGCATAAGATGTTTACTCATTTGTGCTGAATGCACTTACATCCTCACTGATGGTTGGTTTCAAAGTCTTCCATTACCTACCTATATGCTCCCAATCTTACCATATTTTTCTCTTTCTTCCTTTCTTTCTTTCTTTTCTTTCTTTCTTTCTTTCTTTCTTTCTTTCTTTCTTTCTTTCTTTCTTTCTTTCTTTCTTTCTCAAAAAGATTATTTAAGCCTTTTTATTATTTAGGCTTAGCTCTTTTCTGTTTAGTGCATAAATGTGGCTTTGTTTTAGCACTTTGTCTTTGCTACTGTTTCTTTGCTTTTCTAACATAGTTCTTCTACCTTTGATCTCCTCTGCTAATCTTAATGCTTCTTTAGAAAAACTCAAGCCCCAGATGTTCAACAAAACCGCCCAGATATTCTAGGGTATATTGATCTTTCTGTTAGCTGAGCTCCTACCACTTGAGCATCTAATTTTAACTGTTCTCCACTTCTTTTGTTTCATGAATGTATGGTTTCTTAATTGCCTGGTAAGTTCCTTTGAGGCAGAGACTGTATCTTGTTTGTACTTCTTGTATATATTTGGTGTTAGCATAGTGCTGAACTCATAGAAGGGACTTAATAATTGCTTATTAACTTGAATTATTTAATCTCCTGTTACATACCACAGAAATAGATAACCAAATAAAAGTCAGATTATTTTTTTCTAGTATAACTCACATATACATGTAATATATGAAATTTGAAGTATTTTTCTGAAAAGATCATGAGTCAGGGTCATTTTGTAGAAAAACTTTTTTTTCTCATAGTAATGTAATATTTAAAGTTTGATAGAAGAATATATTTGAAAAATGACTATTCGGTTTTTTTTTTCTCCTTAATGATACTTTCCTACCTACTGGAATACTCACTGAAATTTTCATTATGCTTATTCTCAATCAGATGATAACATGATTGTTATGTCATAAATGGTTAACATTTTTGTATTTTATATTTAGACATTTGAGAAATTTATTCTATGAATAACAGTCACTTATCCATGAAAACAAATGAAAGAAAAGTATAGGAAAAACTTTCCTCTGATATTTATCTCAAAAAGTATTTCTGCCTCAAAAGTGTTAAACTTATTAAAAAGCTATCTAATTGAATTATTATAACTAATTGTAAGTGAAAAGATACCTCTATTTGAAGCACAATTTTTAAAAAATGATCTTTTCGATAAGAATTGACTTTCCAGAGCATCTCTTCTACTGTTTTTATTTTACAGATGATGGAACTAAATCCCAGGAAAACCTAAACTAGCCAGTGTTTGAGCCAAGAAGTAATTCATGTTGTCTATTTCTGGAAGGAGGTGGCTTTCAACTAAATAGTCTTCCCTCTAGATAGCAATATGAATGGGATGGTAGGGAGAAGATTAATAGGCAAGAAACCTCTCTACTGGTGTCATCAGGAATGGCAGATATCTCTGGTCTTCTCAGACTCTGTAATTTGGTTATTTATTTATTTATTTTTAAGACAGAGTCTTGTTCTGTCTCCCAGGCTGGAGTATGGTGGCATGATCTCAGCTCACTACAACCTCTGCCCCTTGGGTTCAAGCGATTCTCCCACCTCAGCCTCCCAAGTAGCTGGGATTACAGGTGTGTGCCCCCACGCCTGGCTAATTTTTGTATTTTTACAAAAATTAAAAATTTTTGGTTATGGTTTTGTCTGAGTTCAGAAGGAAGCCCATGTCTCTAAGGTTTGTGAGAAAGGTCCCAGGGCCTTCAGAATATCTTATGGAGATGTGGATGCCCCATGAGCCTCCTTTATTAACCTTTTAGACCTGCAGAAAAGCAGCTTTTGATCCCTGTCTGGAGTCATTGGTTATGATGATGATTTTCTCTGGAAGAATTTTTGGTACTATCTTCAGAGCTATTACTTGTACAAAGAACTGGGAGTAGGGGTGAGGAGGTAATCTTGGCATTCTTTCATCCTGGGAAGAATGGAAATCAGTTGAGAGGAGGAATCAGTGATCTCTCCATCAGACAAATTGCATGTCTATAGACAAGTATTTCACTTTAAAGGTTGTAAAATAGCTTAAAGACATTGGAAAGCCCAGTGCCGCCTTAGAATCAGATAACCAGGGAAGGATATGCTAGACAATGTCTTGTATTTCATTGAAGATGTCCATTTATTTTTGGCCTATTTCAGTCTTTCGCAATTTTTTCCTTCAATAGCCTGACATACATTCAGTTCATGAGTGGCAATGGAGGCTCTGTAGCAGGTTTGCTGAATGTTATAGGAATAATTATGTAGCATATTGTAGCTTTTCTTAGTCACATCTTTAACAAAGCTTTATTTTTTTTGTTTTTCATTTTTCATTTTAGAATCAACTGGCAGTATAATTGAAGTTCTGAGTAAAATAGATTCAGAAGGAGGAGTTTCAGCAAATCATACTAGTCGTGCAACGTCTACAGCAACATCAGGATTTGTAAGTGGGAAAAAAGCCTAAAGCGTTTGCCTTCTCTGGAGACTTTCCCTCCCTTCTTCCCTCCCTGCTTTCTTCCTCCCCTACTTCTTTCTCTTTTCTTTTGGATGCAGTTACTTTCTTTCAGTCTCTAATAATGGAGAGAAGCAGTGGCAGAGATAATTTAAAATAGAGGATTTATTCAGGAATCGTTTATGATTGACTTTATAACATACAGCCTGATTTCAACATACAGAGTATTCAGGACAGTTGAGCCACATGAAGAGATGGCTCAGGATGAATTCTAACACTGTCCAGAGTACTTTATTTGTCTTTTTAGTTTCTCCTTTTCCCTCTCTTAGATTTCTCTGGACTGTACCCTGCATTTCTTTTCCCTAATGGGAAAGGAGATCAGAGCGATTGGGTATCAGTTTCCAAGGTTTTGCCTAGTAGCCGAGTGGGGCTTGGAGAATGGAGGTAACCCACTCAGCTTCTTCTCCTGGTTGGAAACAGAGCTGCTGAAAGCTTATCATGAACTTTTTAGAGGGATACTCCTTACTTGCATATAATTTTTGGTAGGCTCCATTGGGGGGTGTGATGAATCAGGTTAGCTGCCTGAGTGGTGCTTTAGCCAACCTCATTTTTACCCCCTGCAATGCTGTTTGGAAATTGACTCAGGGAGGTACTGAATGGAAGAGGAAAAAAGGGAGTAGTACCTCAACTGTTGATAAAATGAACTGTGGCTAAACTGATATCTAGTCCAGATATGTATGCCTGCCTGGACTGTCTGTCTTCCATATACAGTTCTCATTCTACCCGTTCATAGTTCTTTATCTCTTTAAGGATAGCTTTAAATTGACTTTAAGTAGATTTGAGTTGTGTGGGAATTTGTATTTGGGAGGGGAGACTATGACACCATGACTTCTGGAGGTTATATGCTCCCAGGTTCTTTGTTGTGTTTTTTACCCCTTTACCTAATGCCCATAAGGCTTTAAACCTCTATGTTGAAAGTGAAGTGCCTATAATCAGCAAAATTTTGTTTGAAATGTAAATAATTTTGAAACTTTTTTCACATACAAAAAAATTATTTTCTAAGCTATTTATTGCTAAATGAGTGATGATAAAACTGTATAAAATATGTACTAAATATTGATAGAATTTGAACATAAGCTCAGATATTAAACTTTTGCTTTTTCTTTTTCAGTACCATTAGATTTCTGTATCTAACTGTATGACAAGTATCATTTTTTTTTCTTGACCATCAGTAATCCTACTTTAGTAACATTTTCTGACTCTTTAGAAAAGGATATCTAGTTTAGTGCTCTTTTGGGTCCGTTTCTTTTAAGGGAAGCATCGATATTGTATTTTAGAACTATTTCAACATGGCTGCAAGTAAAATGCTTCCCATTGAGTCAGAAATTCGAGAACAATTGTGATAGCTCATGTGAAATTTGCCTATTTACTGTTCCTGTTTGTATTCTTTCTTAAAAAAACTGTACTGGATAAATAGGAAGAAGTAAATCATATGCCATATTAGATTCTGTTGTTTTGTAACCTATGGTAGGCATTGTGATAAAGAAAATTAAAATTCTAATTTTAAGCCTGAGAATGTGGTCAGTATAGAAATGTGATTTTTCCTCAAAATAAGGGTTGGCAAACCTTTTTGATGAAGGGCCATATAGTAAATATTTTAGGCTCTGTGGGCTACATAGTGCTTCTATTCTAGTACATATTCTTTCTCTTTTTCTTATTTTTAATCAACCTGTATAAACCATTTTAGCTCTTAGTCCTTGTTTGCCAACTTCTACTTTAGAATAAAAATGATTGAAAAATTGGACATTATTCTTTTATATGTACTTCACTTATTAGCTACGCATATTATCACTAAGTAGAAAAAGACAACATCCAGTTAGACAAAGGATATTCCTGGGAAGGAAATTCAAGTTAATTTTATTTTACTTAACATTATGAGGGACTGGGCGCAGTGGCTCACGCCTGTAATCCCAGCACTTTGGGAGGCCGAGGTGGGTGGATCACGAGGTCAGGAGTTCCAGACCATCCTGGCCAACATGGTGAAACCCTGTCTCTACTGAAAATATAAAAAAAAATTAGCCAGGCATGGTGGCACGGGCCTGTAGTCCCAGCTACTCGGGAAGCTGAGGCAGGAGAATTGCATGAACCTGAGAGGCAGAGGTTGCAGTGAGCCAAGATCATGCCACTGCACTCCAGCTTGGGCGAGAGAGCGAGACTCCATCTCAAAACAAACAAACAGAAACCATTATGAGGCAATCAAATTTACATCCATTAAGCAGTGTTTTACTCATCTGTTTACAGTGAACTTTATACATTAGATCTTACAAGCAATTTACTATCCTTAATAACAAATTCATTATTTTTTGGATTTTTGGGTAGCTAATAGTTGCTGAATTAGAGACAGGAAAGTTGAGTATGAGGCATACTGTCTGTTAGCAAGAAGCAAGCAATAAAAAACTTCTTAACTGTAAATGAAGTCCTTTTCTACACATTACCTAATTAGTTTCTATTAAAAAATAAAATATAATTGCAATAATTATGCTCCATCAAATTCACTAACATTCTAGTCACATCTATTCAAAAACAAAACTAGGTATGTAAGAAGTTAATAGTTTTGAAAAGTTATCAATGAAATAAATTACTTTTTAAAACTGTTCTTAGGCTGGAGCTATTGGCCAGAAACTCCCTCCATTTTCTTATGCTTATACGGAACTGGAAGCTATTATGTATGCCCTTGGAGTGGGAGCGTCAATCAAGGATCCAAAAGATTTGAAATTTATTTATGAAGGAAGTTCTGATTTCTCCTGTTTGCCCACCTTCGGAGTTATCATAGGTCAGAAATCTATGATGGGTGGAGGATTAGCAGAAATTCCTGGACTTTCAATCAACTTTGCAAAGGTATGCCTAATAAAAAACCTTTATTTTGCTTTTCTATTTCTGTAAATATTATTCATTAATGTCATATCTTATATATATGTGTGTGTAGTGTGTGTATATATATTTATATAATTATTTATAGTGGTTAGTTTAGCATATCTTTTGATTTTTCTTTTTAAGAATAAAAGAGGGGAGAGTTAGTTCAAAATGCCAGCAAAAAGAAGAAAATAACAAGTATGTGTAGTCCCATAACCCTGGCATAATGTTATTCTCTCTCTGCCATTTACTTGATTCTTGACCAAGGGTAAATAACATCTCTAGGCTTCAGTTTCCTTATCTATAAAATGGATATGATAATCCTCACCTCATGACATTGGTGAAGAAGCAAGCCAGGGAGGAGTATTTAAAGCAAATAGCACATACTTGACTTGTTTTTGGAACAGTAATAGGGCCAGCATAGCTGTAGAGTGAGCAAGGGGGCAATGGTAGGAGAAGGTCATGGAGTAATTGTAAAGATTTCAGCATATACTTTGATGAACATGTGAAGCCATTTGTTGATCTGAGCTGAGTAGTGACATGATCTGGCTATGTTCACAGACTGGTACAAGCTTGTTGCTTTTGGAGACTAGGTTATAAGGGAGTCAAGCATGAAAGCAGAGAAACCACTTAAGAGTCTATTATAGTAATCCAAGTAAAAGTGCTGCATATGAGGGTTAGAAAAGAGGAGTCAAGGATGAAGATGTTTGTTCTGGATAATTGGGATATGTATATATATATAGAGAGAGAGATGGGTGCATATATATACATTGTATATAGTTATACATTGTATATAGTTATACATTACACATATCTATATGTAATGTATAATTATGTATAGTGTATTTAATATGTATAGTAATTACATATGGCATTATGTATAATTTATACATACACATTTATTTTAAGGTGGGGTTGATCAGGAGTTGGTTTTAAATATGTTTGAGGTGTCTGTTACACATTTAAGTGGAAATATAAGATGGACAGTTGAATATATGAGTCTAGAGTTCAGGGAGGGGTCTAACTGGGTCCTTAGCATTTACGTGATGTTTAAATACTGGAGATTAGATGAAGTCACCTAATGTGTGAGAGTAAGTAGAGAAGAGGCCTGAGTTTAGAGGCCCTGAAATGTTGAGAGGGTAAAGAGATACAGAGGAACTAGCAAAAAGAGACTGCACAGGAATGGTTGGTGAGGTATGAGGAGTATCATGAGAATAGGGTATTTGAGAAGCCAAATGAATGAAGTGTGTCAAGAAGGAGGAGGGAACAGTGGTGAGAAGTTCTTTGAGACAGGGTATATTTTATTTCTTGGAGTAAGATTCAGGTTATGAGCCTGGTAATAATTTTTGAATCATGGGGCTATGAGCTGGTATCTGTAACTTTGACTGATTGGAGAACTTATTTACTGGTGGATCAGTTAGCCCATTGCTGCTCTGAGTTGATGGCCACTTATTTTATTAGAGTGTTTCATGAAGTTGGGAGGAAGACAAGAAATATGTGCTGGGCAGTTTGCTGTTTCATTCACACTCCCATGGTTAGTTACTATATACTCTGAACAATGTAAATGCAAAAAATTAAAACAAATGTTTCAAAATTCCCCCTAACAATTGGAAATCGTAAATGGTGTTCATGCATCTTGGAACTTGAATCCTAGTCTTCTTAACCTTGACTTTTTCAAGCCGTATGACACAGTAAAGCTGACCTTCATTTGTCTTCTCATCAACCACCTCCCCTTCTTCTTCTTCCTTTTTTTTTTTTTTTAAAATCCTTTTGGGTTCTGAGGAAGACTGGTAAACTGGCCCTCTGCAGTGAAAGTGGGATCATTTGAGTGTATGCTTCAAGTTTTGGTTTTCCTGTCCTGTTGTTTTCCTATATACCTTGGTGCATTCTTTGTTTGATACATTGAGGTTAAGTGGCTATTAAGTTACACAGTGTCCTTAGTATCTACTCTTTGTAGATAATTTACAAAGTATTATAAGAAAGGGATATTCACATTGACAGTGCTTTCATTTTGAACATGGTTGTAAGGTTTTTCTTTGTGTTTTAGTTGTGTCGTTTGTATTTGGTATATGTGACCTGAAATTACTAGCACTGGCGCATTTGTTCATTCTTATTCAATGAATATTTATTGGATGCCCAATATGTTCCAGGCACTGTTATAAGTTCTGGGAATACAGCCTAGTTTATTGTCTCTTGGCAAATAATATGTAATTAACAGTCAACAAGGCTTTATGAACGCCAAGAAAGAACACAAATATATCTTCTCTGCTCCAGAAGAGCTGACTGTCTTGAGATTGGGGGATTGATTATTTTTCAATCACATGATTAAGAAGAAGCCAAACAGAGATAGATAACTTGGAGAGAAATGTGAGCCTGTGGATGGTAAAATGTCACTTGCGAGTAACAGTATCCATAGGCAGAACCTGTGGAGCAAGAAAGTTTGCTAATAAAATTTTGTTTACCCTAACATAGGTTCTTCATGGAGAGCAGTACTTAGAGTTATATAAACCACTTCCCAGAGCAGGTGAGTTATTGATATACTAATTCCATAATACCATACTTTTATTTCCAGATTAACCTTTTAAACAACATCAGTGTGTTAAACTGGTATAGAGTGACCTAATGAAACATATCACAAATTGTTATGCACATGTGAGCCATTAGAGTAGACTGATGTTAACTAGTATCTGTTTTGGTCACCTTAAGCTTTGTCCTTTAATAGTCTTAAAAATTTATTTCATAATTTATCTCTGTTGATGTATGTGTTATTAACAACTGAAAGGAACGTTCGTGTATGTGCTCTAGACTTAGTGATTGCATATAATCTGTTATGGTTCTTATGATTATTGTTCTTTTCTCAGGTATTTATCTTTATACTGATTTTCATAAAGCAAACAATGTTAAAAGATACAGAATTTCTTGTAATTCATTTTTTTCTTTTTTTTTGGAGAAAATAAAAACAAGTCTTTAATAATCATTTTTACTTTTCTCAAAAATATCTTACTTGTTTAGTAAATCTCTTTTAATTTTTTTCACTATAATTGGATATATTTATTTCTCTACTTTGATGTTTGAATGTTGTCTAATTATATACTGGTCATATAAGGTGGTAGAATACAAAAAGGAATGTTTTGTTAATATTTGTCATTTCATGTTATACAATGTAGAGGTCGGCAAGTAGCTAGAATCCTACTTGAATATTTTTCTTAAACCTTTTTATTTTTCTAAAAAATGTATGAGATTTTTATTGCTTGAAGCTGAATAGCTTTATTTCAGTGTAAGTATTATAGCATAAGGTTTCAAAACAGCTCTTTTTATGTGAAACAGTACACTTTGTGGTGATTGTGCATTGATCAAATATCTGCTGGATACCCAGTATTTGCAAGGCACAGTATTAGGTAGTAGGTAATTTTCTAACCTGTCTGTATATCAAAATCACCCGAGTTATTACATTATATTATCTGTTAATTTAAGTAAAATGTAGATTCTCAATCCCAACCTTGGAAATTGTGTGTGTGTGTGTGTGTGTGTGTGTGTGTGTGTGTGTATGTGTGCATGTATGTATGTGGTGGGGTGGTGGTGTTGGTGACAGTGGCTAGGAAGCTCCTTACATGTTTCATATGTACCCAGCCCTATGGGTCCACTTGGAAACCATTGTTATAAGGGAAGTAGAAATGTGCAAGATAGGTTTCTGCCGTTAGGGATTTTAAAATACGAAAAGAGAGATTAGATGTATACTCCAGAGTGATGATAACTGAACAGTGATGTGAATAGGAAGGTGTAGAGAATAACTTTTTCATTTTTTTTTACCTCCTTAGCCTCAAGTTATATTTCTCATGAATTATTTTTTCTCAGCCTGTGCATTTTCTTTAAGCAGTTTTAAAATTTACTGTGTAGTAAATGTGAATGTTCAAAATATGAGATATTTGTGGTTTGGAACCTTTTAAACTGCAGAAAACCAAGGTCACGACTACTGTTTATAATCTACTACTGTTTATAAAACACACCAATTGATGAGACACAGAGTGTCAAGCATCAGGAGACTGATAACAACATCTCTTAATGGCTCATTTGTTGGCTATAGTGGTAGTGTCATAGGCTGACTTACCCTAATCATGTTAAAAATAACCACTAGAAGGAGTGAAGGAACGCAGCAGTACTTTCTTTTCTGTCTGTTT